>NW_025791788.1:0-300000 GCF_000001405.40 Homo sapiens
AGTGAACAGAGCATAAGGAATTTATGGGGTGCCATCAGGTAGACCAATACATGCATTATGGGGCAGGTGGGTCTTAGTAGGATAAGACATAGAGAAAGGGGAAGGAGATAGGCAGATTATTTCAAGAAATAATGACCCAAAACTTCCCAAATTTGACGAAAGACATAGACACGTAAATCCAAGAAACTTAATAAAATCTGAAGAAATACACAATAAAATACATAAATTGTTGAAAGACAAAAAGAGACTCTTGAAAGCAATAAGGAAAAAGCAACTTATCACATACATGGTGCTACAGTTTGAATGTCTGTCCCCTCTAAAACTCATGTTGAAATTCAGTTGACACTGTAACACTAGTAAGATGTGAAACTTTTGAGATGACTAGGCCATGATGGCTCTACCCTCATTGGTGGGATGAATGTCACCAGAAAATGGGAAGTTCAGGTTCCCTTTGTCTCTCTCTCTCACCCCTGTTGCTCTTCTGCCACGTGATGCTTGTCACCATGGGATCACACAGTAAGAAGGTGACATGGAAGAAGACCCTCACAATATGCCAGCACCTCGATACTGGATTTCTTGGTCTCAACAACTGTTAGCCAGTAAATTTCTGCTCAGTATAAATTGCCCAGTCTCAGGCATTCTGTTAAAGCAGCACAAGATACTTCCTCAAGGAAATTATCAGCATATTTCTCAGCAGAAGTTGTACAGTCCAGAAGTTAGTGGGATGGTATAATTAAAATGCTGAGGAAAAAAAACAACCAAAAATTCTATATCTAACAAAACTGTCCTTCAAAAGTGAGGGAGAAATTAAGATATTCCAGATAAAAGCTGAAGGACCTGCCCTACAAGAAATGCTAAAGGGAATACTTCAAAAGGAATAAAGGATGCTAGACAGTAACTAGAAGCCATGTAAAAATACAGATTTTCCATAAAGGCAAATCTATGGATAAATATAAAAATCAGTTTTTGGCTTATAACTTCACTTTTTATTCTTCTACATAATTTAAAAGACAAAAGCATAAAAATAATTATATAGTAATGGGTACACAATATATAAAGATGTAACTGTAACATCAATAATATAAAATGGTGGGTGGTGTTGTAAAGGAGTAGAGTTTTTAAATTGTGATCGGAATTAGCCGGTACCAATTTAAAATACACTGTTACACATGTAGGATGCTATATGTAATCCCCATAGCAACCACAAATATCAATAGAATGTACACAAAAGGAAATGGGAAGGAAATCAAAATATTTCACTACAAAAATCAACTACACAAAAAGGCAATAATGGAGGAAATGAAGGACAAAAAAAGCAATAGGACTTAAAAGAAAATAAATGGCAATAGTCAGTTCTTCCCTATCAGTAATTACTTTAGTTGTAAATGTATTAAACTCTGCAATTAAAAAACATAAATTGGCAGAATTGATTTTTTAAAAATATGATTCAACTAGAGAATATCTACACAGACTCACTTTAGATCTAAAGACACAAATAGGACGCTGGCCACAGTGGCTCACACCTGTAATCCCAGCACTTTGGGAGGCAGAGAAGAGCAGATCACTTGAGGTCAGGAGTTCGAGACCAGCCTGGTCAACATGGTGAAACCCTGTCTCTGCTAAAAATATAAAAATTAACTGGGCATGGTGGCGTGCATCGGTAATCCCAACTACTTGGGAGGCTGAGGCACAAGAATTGCTTGCAGGAGGCAGAGGTTCCAAGGAGCCAAAATCATGCCACTGCACTCCAGCCTGGACAACAGAGCAAGGCTCCATCTCCAAAAAAAAAAAAAAAAAAAGACACAAACAGGGCCAGGTACAGTGGATCACACCTGTTAACCCAGCACTTTGGGAGGCCAAGGCAGGCAGATCACTTAAGGTCAGGAGTTTAAGACCAGCCTGGCCAACGTGGTGAAACCCCAACTCTACTAAAAATACAAAAATTAGCTGGGCATGGTGGTGCACACCTGTAGTTCCAGCTACATCTACTCAGGAGGATGAGGCAGGAGAATCACTCTAACTTGGGAGGCAGAGGTTGCAGTGAGCCGAGATTGCGCCACTGCACTCTAGCCTGGGTGACAGAACAAGACTCCATTTCAAAAAAAAAAAAAAGATAAAGACACAAATAGGTTGAAAGTAAAATAATATAAAAAGGTACCTCTGATTCTAATGTTGGGTGTGTTAGGCCTTAGGTGTAGGTCTCAGGAAACAGAATCTTTCTGACTCCTCTTGTCTTCCCTTCACCTGTCCCAAGGTAGGATCTAATCTTCCCTCACCTCTTCCATGAAACCAGTCCCTGGTGCCGAAAAGGTTGGGGATGGCTGCTTTAGAATAAACTGGCAAACATTAAGTGCTTTCCTGAGCTCTGTAAGCCACTCCAGCAAATTAATCCATCCCAAAGAGGGAACCCCAACTTGAAGCCTGTCAATCAGAAGTTCTGGAGGCCCAGAGTTGTAACTAGTGGTTGGTGGGGGAGCAGTCTTGGAAACTGAGCCTTCAACCTGTGGGGTCTGACATTATGCCCAGGTAGATAGTGACAGAATTTAATTGGAGGATACCCAGCTAGTGTCTACTGCTTGCTGGTGGGGAGAATCCCATACAGTTTGGTTACAGACATCTTCTATGTTGATGACTGTCTTGGTGGTTTGAAAGCAGAAGAAAAACATGGTTTGATGGCTCCACCCCCGCAAAACAGCACCCTATGCAAATAGTAATAAAAAGAGATTAAGACCAAGCGCGGTGGCTCACGCCTGTAATCCCAGCACTTTGGGAGACCAAGGTGGGCAGATCATGAGGTCAGGAGATCGAGATCATCCTGGCCAACATGGTGAAACCCCATCTCTATTAAAAAATACAAAAATTAGCTGGGCATGGTGGTGTGTGCCTGTAATCCCAGCTACTCGGGAGGCTGAGGCAGGAGAATCACTTGAACCAGGGAGTCAGAGGTTGCAGTGAGCCAAGATCGCGCCACTGCACTCCAGCCTGGTGACAGAGCGAGACTCCATCTCAAACAAAAAAAAAAAAAAAAAGAAAAAAGAGAGAGATTGGGGTGACTATAGCAACATTAGACAAAATAGACTTTAAGTCAAAAACTGGTATAAGGTACATGAACACTGTATAATGATAAAAGCATGAACTCACCAAGAAGATATACACATTTTTCTCAAGTGCACATGGAACATTTTCCAGGACAGACTATGGTAGGCCAAAAAATAGGTCTTAATAGTTTAAAAACATTTAAATCATAGAAAATACCTTTTCTGATAAAAATGTAATCAAACTAGAAATAAACAGCAGAAGAATCCACATATATGTGGAAATCAAACAACCTTTCTCTTTTTTTTTGAGACTGAGTTTTGCTCTTGTTGCCCAGGCTAGAGTGCAATGGCATGATCTCGGCTCACTGCAACCTCTGCCTCCTGTGTTCAAGTGATTCTCCTGTCTCAGCCTCGTGAGTAGCTGGGATTACAGGCCCCCGCCACCAGCCTGGCTAATTTTTGTATTTTTAGTAGAGACAGGGTTTCACCATGTTGGCCAGGCTGGTCTTGAACTCCTGACCTCAGGTGATCTGCCCAACTCAGCCTCACAAAGTGCTGGGATTACAGGCATGAGCCACCACACCTGGCCTCAAACAACATATTCTTAAACAAACAATGGATCGAAGAAGAAATTACAAGGTAAATTAGACAGTATCTTTGAATGAAAATACAATATACCAAAATTTATGGCAGCCAGCAAAAGCAGTTCTAGGGGAAATGTATAACTGTAAACACTTCGATTAGAAAAGAAGAAAGATCTCAAATTAATGATGAAACTTTACATCTTAATAAACTAAAAAAAAAAAACCAAAAAACAAAAAACTAACTAAACCCAAAGCTGGCAGAGAAAAGTAACAATAAAGGTTAGGGCACAGAAATAAAATAGAAAATTTTTTAAAAAATAGGAAATCAGGCCAGGCGCGGTGGCTCACGCCTGTAATCCCAGCACTTTGGGAGGCCAAGGCGGGCAGATCACAAGGTCAGGAGATCGAGACCATCTGGGATAACATGGTGAAACCCCATCTCTACTAAAAATACAAAAAAAAAAAAAATTAGCCAGGCATGGTTGCAGGCACCTGTAGTCCCAGCTACTCGGGAGGCTGAGGCAGGAGAATGCCTGAACCTAGGAGGCAGAGCTTGCAGTGAGCCAAGATCGCACCACTGCACTCCAGCCTGGGTGACTGAGCGAGGCTCCATCTCAAAAAAAAAAAAAAAGGAAATCAACAAAATCATGTGTTCTTTGAAAAAAAACAAAACAAAGAAAAAACAAAACAAAACCAACAAATGAAAAAACAAGGGCTGGGTGCAGTGGCTCATACCTGTAATCCCAGCACTTTGGGAGGCCAAGGTGGGTGGATCATCTAAGGTCAGGAGTTTGAGACCAGCCTGGCCAATATGGCCAATATGGTGAAACCCGTCTCTACTAAAAACACAAAAATTAGCCAGGCATCATGGCATGCACCTGTAGTCTCAGCTATTCAGGAGGCTGAATTGCTTGAACCTGGGAGGCAGAGCTTGCAGTGTGCTGAGATCACGCCACTGCACTCCAGCCTGGGCGGCAGAGCTAGACTCTGTCTCAAAAAAAAAAAAAAAAAAAGAAAACAAAAAAACTAACAAATCTTTAGCTAGGTTACCCAAGACAAAAGAGAGAAGACAACTAAAATTCAAAATGAAAGAGGGGATATTGCTGATTTCACAGAAATAAAAAAGATAAGAGAGAACTATGAATGATTGTATGTCAACAAATGGATGATCTACATGCAATAGACAAATACTACAAAAACACAATCTACCAAGGTTGAATCATGAAGAAATGGAAAATCTGAAGCCTATAACTCATCAGGTGATTGAATCAGTAATCAAAAACTTCCCAACCAAGAAAAGCCCAGGACTAGGTGAATTTACTGGTATATTCTACCAACATTTAGGGAAGAATTAACATCAATCCTTCTCAAACTGTTCCAATAAATTGAAGAGGAGGTAACACTTCCAAACTCACTCTACAAGGCCAGCATTGTCTGATACCAAAGCCAAAGACACTGCAATAAAAGAACACTAGCAAACAATATCCCTTATAATATTGATTCAAAAATTCTCAACAAAATACTAGCAAACCAAACACAACAGTGCATTAAAAGATTATCCACCAGGAATAGGTGGGATATATTCCTGGAGAGCAAAGATGGTTCAACATCAATGGTACTGATAGTTCAACACCATTCAACAAAGATGGTTTCAATGCACAAAATCAATCAGTGCAGTACACCACATTGATAGAATAAAGGAAAAATATCAATTATTTCAGAAAATACATTTGACAAAATTCATAAAACACTTCCCTTAATCAATACCTCTAAACTCTATCACATCATAAACTATGCATATACTTTCAACCCCAAAGCATCCTAAAACAACTCCTATTTAAAAATACACTTATATCCATGCTACTCACAAATATACATCCCAAGTATATGCAAGAACCCTAGAAATAAAGAATTAAAATTTCTGAAACCCACATATACATGATATTATTCTATTCTGCTGAGCAGTCTAGGAAGAAAAGAATAAAAAATAAATAAATAAGAAGGAAATAGCCCTCGTGTGCCCCACTGAGGGGGAGGGGTGGGCCGGAGGTGTGGGTGGAGGGTTTGCAGTTCCATTGCAGCAAGGGCTCCTGTGTCCCTGTGCAGAAATGTCACATGGAGTCCTGTCATGTCACATGAGAGCGCAGCACACAGACACTCACAAAGAGAGGGGAAATACACGGTGCCTGGCTGTCTGCCGCCCCCGGCGCCTCCCCCAGCCGCCCTGGCCAGGCCCTTTGTGCACTGCTCCCACTCCCTGGCCCCATACCCTCCCCACCACTGGGTGCCTAAACTTGGCTCAGGCTGCTCAGTAAAGTACAGAACTCGAGTCCCACTGGAACAGAAGATGAACTCAACTGAATTCAGTGAAGATGTAGAAGAACTTCTAAGAAGTGAGAGTGGAGACAGGCCAAAGTTGCTGCTCTAGGCAGCTCCATGAATTCCAGGACTTCTGAGAAACACCCTCTGGAAAGCATCTTCACTGCCCTCCAGGACTTGACTGGTCAGCAATGGCCAGCCAGAGTCCGTCCCCAGCATAGAGAGGAGGCAGCTGATCCCAGAGGTGCTCCTAGCACGAATGTGGAACCTGAGAAAATCTAGCCCTGCCAAGGCAATGGAGAGCAGGCCAGCAGGGCAGGAGCTCAGGCTCTGTGTGGCCAGGCAAGGAGGAGCTCTGCAACCATGCCACCACCCCTTACTACAAAAAGCCTATGTATGGCACCTCACACAAGTTCATGGAGAAGAAGAACCGTCCCTCAGGGGACCTGCTAAACATATATGAGCTCTTCCAGAAGGTAAATGCCAGCAACAGACCCTCGTCACTTAGGCTCCTGAATGAGCCACAGAAGTGGGACTATGGCAGCACTGGGGTGGCCACCAACAGTGACCCTAACATCTACTTCCTGATCCAGAAGATATTCTACATGTTCAACACCCTCAAGTCTAACAGGTCCCAGCTGCACAGCACAATGGACATACTCTCCCTGAAGGTGAACCCCACTGAGATGGTGGCCAAATTCCAGCTGCCCCCACCACCGCATAGCAGCTCATGGGCCGCAGAGCTCAAGCAGATGGTGGACCAGAGCCTGTCGGGTGGGGTCTTGGCAGGCTGCCCACTGGTGCAGCTCTTCCCCAAGCTCTTCAGCTGCAGTTGACTTCTCCCGAGGCTGCAGTGCCTGTAGCTTTGAGGCCAAGCGTAAGTTGGAGTCACTGCACCTGCAGCTCATCCACAACTACGTGGAGGTCTACTACCCCTCGGTGAAGGACATGGCCGTGTGACAGGCCGAGTGCTTGCCCCAGCTGAATAACTTCTTCAGCCACTTCTGGGCCCAGAGGGAGATGGAGAACAGCCAGCCCGGTGGCCAGGCTGCCAGCTTCTTTGAGGCCGAGCAGTGGACCCCGGCCACTTCCTGGACCACAAAGACGAGGAGGACGGCCTGTCTCTGGACCGGAGCAGCACCATGGCCTCAGACCACGTGGTGGACATGCAGGACCTCACCGAGTTCCTGGATGAAGCCTCTTCGCCCAGCGAATATGCTGTCTTCCTCCTCCACTGGCTCTTCCCTGAGCTCTTTGACCACTGCAAGCTGGGCGAGTACTACAGCTGCTATGGGGATGGCAGCAAGCAGGAGCTGGAGCCGCAGAGGCTGCAGATCATCTGCAACTACACAGAGGTCTACTTCTCCCATATGCAGGAGGAGGAGGCCTGGCTGCAGCAGTGTGCCCAGCGCATCAACGACAAGCTCCAGGGCCTGAGGCTGGATGCGGGCAGTGAAGACGAGCCCCCCACGTGATGACTGCTACAACTCCTCCAGCCTCCCGATGACATCTCAGTAATCAGGGTGGAGGATAGCTCCAAGGGCGAGCAGCGCCGCTCCAAGAAGATCTGGCTGGTACTCATCAACCTGGACAAATTGGAGATCCCCCAGCCCAATTTGGAGGTGCCTGGCACCGACTGCCTGCTCAGCAAGGAGCATCTGCACAGCATCTATGAGAGCAGCCTGTCCATTGGCAACTTCGCCTTGCACCTGCTGGTGCCCCTGTTCCCCAAGCTCTTCACCCATGAGAACCTGCACAAGCAGTACAGCTCCAGCGGTTCCCTGGGCAAGAAGCAGCTGGACCTGTCCTGCATCAAGCTCATTCGCCAGTATGTGTGTCTGCTCTACCTCCATGCCAAAAACGACCGCTTCTGGACCCTGGAGTTCATGGGCAACCTGCGCCGGGACACGAGCAGAGGCGCTCCTACCAGCAGCAGTGCAAGGTCCACGTGCTGGCCCCCAGTGCAGAGACATGAGGAGCTATGCAATCAACCCTGAGAGGTTTGAGGAGGAGTTTGAGGGTCCCCCGCTGCCCCCAAGAGGAGCAGGAAGGACTTTTGCAAGATCCCCTTGGACAAGGTGGTGGTCCCTCGCCCAGCTTCCCGGTGCCCTCTCCCTACCTGCTGTCCGACAAGGAGGTGCGCGAGATCATGCAGCAGAGCCTCTCCGTGGGCAACTTGGCTGCAGGGCTCCTCCACTGCCAAGAACCTCCCGCTGCAGTACAATCATTCCCGGGCTTGCAACAAGAAGCAGCTGGACCCTACGCAGCTGTGGCTCATCTGCAGACTTTTTAGTACACTTTTAGTGTGCTCACTTTTAGTACCTTTTAGTTCCCTTTTTTTGGTTGAAAGTGAGACATGATACACTGGGCAAAAGGAACAGAGGTAAAGAGGTCTTTTGTGTAAGGCTCTTGTGTTTATCTGGCTGGTAGTTAGACTGTCTTCACTGTTTGGTGTTGCTGTAGGTGTCAGAGGCAAAATGTACTCAGGTGTCCTTGTTAGTATCTCCCCGCTTGTCTTTGAGTTTCCCTAGAGACTCCTTCTTAAATAAGTGCTGAGACAGTCAATTCCTTCCATTATAATTCCCTTATTATACAAAAGTCCTACTGATGTGGTGAGGAGGCACTTATGTGGGAGAGGAAATGTTCGATAATCCTGTAATTAGGTTCCAGGCACAGTGCACAGTGAGCCTATGCTCCTAGGCTGTGACCTGCACATGTGCTTCTCAGTAGCCCGTGTCCCTGGTGGGACAGGAAGGCACAGGGAACTGGAGTTTGACACTTCTCTTTCCGCAACTCAGTTAGACTCTGATAAAACCCCAATACATTAGGCTCTGGTAAAAATATTTTCTGTTAAGGATAGGTTTTTGCAAAGTAGAACTAATGTTCTGCTTTTATTTCAAAATGGTTACTTTTCCCATCGTCCTGCCAAAATCAGGAGGGGGTTTTTCTCTGATCTACACCCTGAGAATCTGGTAAGGCTACTGAAGGTAAAACTCCTGAAAGTTGGGGCTCTCCTAAGACTGGACATGGAGTTTTTAACTGTCAAGCTCATCCACATTGAACCCTCAGCACTTTGTCAATTACAGTTTAGGTTTTTCTACCCTGGGATTGGCTCCAATAGCCAGCTTTTACATCTGAGCTTCCCTTCAGATTAACCGTGATTCTCTGTATCTGCCTGTCTCCAGTTTTGAGGGTAGTAATCTGCCCTGTGACCTCAATTCTCTGACAGATCTAAGAAGAGTTGTTGACTTTCAGTTTGTTCAGCTTTTTTTTTTCTTGTTTTGAGAATGGGAGTGATGACTTCCAAGCTTCTTATACTCCAGACTGGAAACTGGAAGTCTTTAATTGATCTTGGTTCATTTCATTTCACTCCCATAGCTTGTCTGGGGATGACTTTGGCAACAAAAGCAGCAGCCCATGCCCGTGCACCATCTGGGAGAACAGGGGGGCCCTGATGATGACTCTAGGGCCCTCCATGCCCTACTCGTCTCTCTCTTCAGGAGTGGATATCTGAGGCTCACTTTGGGGACAGGTCAGAGTAAGCCTCCCTCAGGTGTCTGAGGCTTGGATAAAAGGCATCTTGGGTGCAGTCTGTGGGTGTGGAAAGAACAGTGATTGAGCTCTCTCAAGAGAGATCTCAGTTTGAATTTCTGTTCCACTACATACTACCTATGATATCTTTAAAAAGCCACTCAACCCTGGCCGGGTGTGGTGGCTCACGCCTGTATTCCCAGCACTTTGGGAGGCTGAGGCGGGTGGATCACGAGGTCAGGAGAGTGAGACCATCCTGGCTAACATGGTGAAACCCCGTCTCTACTAAAAATTTAAAAAATTAGCTGGGCATGGTGGCGGGTGCCTGTAGTCCCAGCTACTCGGGAGAATGAGGCGGGAGAATGAGGCAGTAGAACGGTGTGAATCCGGGAGGTGGAGTTTGCGATGAGCGGAGATTGCGCCACTGCACTCCAGCCTGGGCGACAGAGCGAGACTCCATCTAAAAAAAAAAAAAACCTACTCAACCCTAATAGGCTGCAGTTTATCTTTAAAAATAAACTAAACCAGGATAAGGATACTGAGCACTTACATTGGTTTCAAGAAACAGGGAAACTAACTGTGCAGGAACTGAGATTTGTTTGATCTGTCGCGTGGACTAGGTATGTATCCCCACCCTTTGGTTTAGAGGCCTGAGAGCATCCAGGAGGACAGGAAATCACCTAACCCCTGGCATAAGGTGTATAACAGGCAGGCCCTCAGGACACAGCCAGCCTGTGGCTGCCACAAAGGAGAATAGTGGCTCTGGGGACAGTGGAGTGGCTAATACTCTAAACAGAACTGCCCAAGCTCCCCTGACCTTCTGGAGAACATGCGTGGAGCACATGCTGTCTTGGTAACTCACTGACCTCTCAGAGTCCTGAGCAGCCCTGCTCTGAGACCCCATAACTGAGCTTACCACCAGGGGAGGGAACACTTTCTGTGGAGACCGCTGAGCTCTAAGGCTGGACACTAGTAGTGGACATATTACTAGGCATGGCAGTACCTCAGTGGTGGAGCTCTGGTCAGAGGCAGGGACTGCTGGAAATACCCCTACAGGAGTGGATACTGGGAAGACACTTTCTTCAGGCCTCACAATATTATTTTGGGGTGAGAATTCCTGCATGAGTAGTAGAGGGTTTAAGCCAGTGAGGTCCTAGTGTTGACATGCATGTGAGTCTATCTGTGCCCCTTGCCTGTGAGGGTACAGGAAATGTGGCCAATACCAAGACTGGGGACAATGTGCACTGAAACTTTTGGATGGCGCCTTGTCCATACAGACATGTGCTAAATGGGAGCTCTCCCGTTTTCCCGTGGTCTCTGAAGGCTGGGGGTAGGCTGTGCTGAGAGGCCTCTAGGAGTCCTGCTGGCTGCACAGGGCTGTGTCCAGCAGGCTTGCAGGAAGGATGGCCCAGAACACTATTTTGAGGCTTATTGCTGGGGCACTAAATCCTGCATCAGCTAAGTAGATAAGGTAATACCAGGCTCTACCAGCTGGAGGAGTACAGACTTCTTGGGGCAGGGTTGGCCAAGGGCCTTAGACAGGAGGGAGCATGTTTATGCAGGATTGGGGGCTTTGGAGATGGGCAGTGGGTCAAGTGCCTGCAGACTTGGGGAAAGCAGGGCCTACGGGGACAGGTGAGGAGGGGCAGGAATTGTCCCTAGGCGCAGAGCTCTGAGCATGGCTGACCTAAACCTCGGCTTTTGGCTTGGCATCAGGACCCTCCTCCATCTGCTTCTGTCAGTCTTTCCCAGACCCTCATGTTTTGAAAGCACTCTAGCTGCAGGCTGGAACCCTCTTCTCATGGCTGGGATCCTGTTCCCCAGTCCTGCTCAATTACTTTGTGCACCAGCCACTTCCCTTTTTCCGTCTCCACTGGGAGTCGAACCTCCCTCCTCCACGCCCCAGGAGCGCTGTTCCTGTACTTCAGAGAAGCCCTTGCTCCCTGACACTGTGGACACCAGGTGTAGTTTCAGCTCCTCTGAAGGCCTGGGTGCTTCCTGTGGCAGGAGCAACGTTGAGTGCAGACTGACCCCACTCCCTCCCAGCTGGCGGCCTCAGCTCCCTCAGCACCCCTAGTGTCCCCCCTACCCCTGCTTTCCTCCTAGGAGCCCACAGTTGAGATTCTTTGTGTGAGGTCCCAGGTTCCTGCCCTGGGAGTCAGACAATGAATCCTATGGAAAGGGCAAGCACTAAGGAGCAGGAGGGGCCTTGGAGGGCCGTGCGGGGTGGAGGAGGAGCAGATGACTCTTTTGTTGGGTTTGGTTTTGTGTTGCCAAGCTTGGTTTGGGGAATGGCAGTTGATAGGCAGAAAAGCCAGGATTAGGAACCATTTAGAGGGACAGTGGGCTAGGGAGAGGGAGGGTCAAGCATGGACACCTAGGCCGAGCAGAGAGAAGGGGTCGAGGGGCTCTGCGGTCATCACAGGGTCTGCCATGGGGCCCTGAGGGTAAGTGGCAGCAGGAGCCAGGTCTGTGGCAGCACAAGGGCTGCGCAGGGCCCAGGCAGGCCAGCAGCCCTCAGAGGCTTGGGTGGAGAGCAGGTGTGAGGAGCCAGCGCGGGGTCAGAAAGAGGAGTGAGCCTCATGATTTTGTCAATCCAGTTGATGAAGTAGGTGACCCTGGTGAAGATGCTGGGGTAGGCAGGATGCCGGCAGTCCAGGCCCCAGCTGGCCAGCCCCACCAGGACCCAGGCACTGGGGAGGTAGCAGACTAGAGGCCCCCCAGAATCGCCCTGAGAACAAAGAAAGAGGAGTTAGCTTTGGGGGATGAGTGTGTCTGAGACACCAGGTGGCAAGGTCGGACGTTCTGCGCCTCTGCTCTCTGAGTCAGGGTCCCGCTGCAGACCCACCAGATGGAAATCTCCAGGCATCAAGCTCCTGAGCTGACCCTCAGAGTGGACAATCATAGATCTGAATCTACCAACACGTGAACCCACCCTCTGCCCTCTACACCCAGGACAACACACTGCTTGAAGCCTAGAGGGGACAGCTGTATGTACAGGGCCTGAGAGGCGCTGGGCCTGCTAGCAAAGCACAGCCAGCTGAAACCTCTGTGCAGAGCGCAGCTCTTGTGAACCCTAAGCTGCAGCAGAACATCCCCTCTGGGCGCCCCGTCCTTTTTTGTTCATTTAGGCCTTTGGTTTTCTCTCAACTTTTTGGTAAAGTATCTTTAGAAAGTGCCCATGCCCAGGCCCTGTGGAGACAGCCCACATCACTAGGGAAGCAGGCAGGGGTCTCCAGAAAGTTGCTTGGAGTTACTGGAGTCCTGAAATGCTGTCAGGGTGGGATCATGCAGTTGAAAGCCCCCTATATCATGGGCCAAAAAGTGAGACCCAAAGAAAGGGTCTCAGCTGGGCACGGTAACTCACACCTGTAATCACAGCACTTTGGGAGGCTGAGGCAGGCGGATCACGAGGTCAAGAGATTGAGACCATCCTGGCCAACATGGTGAAGCCCTGTCTCTACTAAAAATACAAAAATTAGCTGGGCATGGTGGCGTGTACCTGTACTCCCAGCTACTCGGGAGGCCGAGGCAGGAGAATCGCTTGAACCCAGGAGGCGGAGGTTCCAGTGAGCCAAGATCATGCCACTACACTCCAGCCTGGCAACAGAGCGAGACTCCTTCAAAAAAAAGGAAAGAAGGAAGGAAGGAAGGAAGGGAGGGAAAAAAGAAAGGGTCTCATCTTCAGGGTGGTGGGAGGCAGGGCCCACAGCCGGCTCTTCCGCCCACTAGTCCAGGGTGCACCTGGGGCATCCAGTGCAGGCACTGCTCTTGGGAAACACGGGGAAAAGACAAACCCTGTCCCCCATGGTGCATAGATAAATAAGCCAACTGACCCTATGGAAGCGGGAGGACATTTCGTATCCATGGATCACAACAAGCTTTCCTGACCTTACACTCAAATAGGAAACAGAACCTACTTCTGCGAGGTCCAGAAGAGAGGGCCCAGTTGGCGCAAACCAGGAGAGGATGGGGCAAACCTTGTGGGAGGGAGTGAGGGGGCAGAGGGAGGTCTCAGAGCTGCAGAGGGGCAACTTGGAGAACTGTATGCTGGAGGGTGGGGGACACGTGACCTGTTTAAACCATCAGTCTGGTGCCATGTAGAGAAAGAAGTTGCTGAGCACCAGGTAGAGAGGAGGGACCAGGGAGGAAACTACAGGAGGGAAGAAATGGTCAGATTTGGGATGGTATTTTGAAGGAGGAGCCAAAGGACTTGTGGACTCTGGCCTTTTCTTACCAACCAGGGAAAAGGAGTGGAGACAAAAGGAAGAAGGCTAAGAACTCGGCTCTGGGGTCTCCAGCACTGAGAGGCCGGAAGGGCCCAGCCCCTCTCAGGCCCTGTACATACAGCTGTTCCTTCTAGGCTTCAAGCAGTGTGTTGTCCTGGGTGTGGAAGGCAGAGGGTGGGTCCACGTGTGATAGATTCAGATCCATAATTGTCCACTCTGAGGGTCAGCTCAGGAGCTTTGATACCTGGAGATTTCTATCTGGTGGGTCTGCAGTGGGACCCTGACTCAGAAAGAGGAGGCACAGAGCATCCGACCTTGCCACCTGGTGTCTCAGACATGATCATCGCCCAAAGCTAACTCCTCTTTCTTTGTCCTCAGGGTGATTCTGGGGGGCCTCTAGTCTGCTATCTCCTCAGAGGCAGCTGGTAGCAAAAAGTGGGAGTGGAGTGGCTGGCGACTGGCACCAGCAGCTGAGCGTGAGATGCTGCTGATGTGTCAAGGGAGCAGTGACTCTGGCAAGGCAGAGGCTGTGGACAAAGTGGCTTTGGTGGCATGAGAGGGACAAGGCTGGTTTGGGTGATTCAGTGCAGTCAGGCCTGGGAGGAGTCTTCAGGGAAGAAAGGTGGAGAAATGGGGCAGTAGCTGGAGGAGATTGTTGCCATGCCTTGACGTGGGAGGCATGAGAGGGAGGGCAGGGGACACAGGAGTAGGGGAAAGGCCCTAGCGACCCGGTGCTCAAGGATGGGTTGGCCCAGGGTGAGCCATCGGGGCAAGGGGGAGAGACTAGGCAGATCAGGGTGGGCAGATGTGGGGCCAAGAAGAGCGAGCTTCTCATTGCTTCATCTTCTCAGTTTGATGAGAAGCAAGAGAGCACACTGAGAGGGAGGGGCCTGGGCTGGGGGAGTGGAGGCCAGAGGAGAGAGAAGGGGTGACGTGGTGCGGTCACTAAAGAATACTCCCAAAGACATCCATATCCTCATCCCTGGAACCTGTGAATGTGTTATCTTACATGGCGTAGGGGACTTTGCAACTGGAGTTGAGTGGAGACTCTTGAGATGGGAGATTATTCTGGAGTATCTCAAAAGGCCCAGTGTCATCACAAAGTTTTTTATAAGGGAAGGCAGGAGGCAGAAGGGTCAGAGTCAGAGGAGGAGATATGACAACAGACACAGAGGTCACACTGATAGCTTTGAAGATGGAGAAAGAGACCATGAGCCCAGGAGTGTGGGCGGCCTCTAGAAGTTGGAAAAGGAAATTGAATCTCCTCTAGAGCCTCCAGAAAAAAACCCAGCTCTGATGACACCTTGATTTTAGACTTTTGCCCTCTAGAACTGCAAGATAATAGACATCTGTGGTCTCAGCCGCCCAGTTTGTGGGGATTTGCTCCTGCAGCCCTGGCAAATTCATGCCCGGGGTCTTCTTGGGAGTGGAAAGTGCCTTCGCTGTCTCAGATCCACCCCTCAGTGCTTCCCTACTCGGAGTGCCCACCCAGCTTGTTTGAGGGCAAGAGGAGGCCTGGTCCTCCGGGCAATGGTCCCTGACTACTCCAGGCCTCAGTGATCCATGCAGATGAACCACCTGCTTGCCAACATCACGCTTGATTCTGGGCCAGTCTGGGAGAGACGGGAAGGACTCCAAGGGTCTCCTGGCCCTGACCCTTGGGAGCTCCGAGTACGCAGAGGAAGTCCCAACATTAATGTACCCCATGCAAACTAGGCTGTGGTTTGCACTACTGTGGAGACAGAGGAAGCCACGTGTAACTGGTGGGCCTGGTGGTGAATTCCACATTGGGTGAAAGGGCAGGTCCGAGATAGGCCCAGAAGAATGAGTACAACTCAGATAGAGGAAAACAGACAAGGCCAGGAACATGGAAGCCAACACTTATTAAGCACCTGCTAAATGCCAGGCATGGTGCTACATTTCTACAGGAACCTTATGAAGTGGAGGCTGTTAGCAAGCCCACTGCACGGGTGAGAAAACTTAGCTAAGGTCACAGCACATGCAAGTGACAGAGTGAAGACTGCAACCAGCTGTGTCCTGCTCGCAGTCTGAGCGCTGAGTCACCCTGCAGCTCTCTCTCTCCTCAAAGCTGTTTTTGCGTGCTCCATGCAGGGAAGAGAAGAGAGCCACAGGGTGGAGGCGGGGACCACAGCAGATGGCTCAGCAGGAGATGAATCCAGATGGAATCTCACAGACAGGCAGTGGTGGCTGAAAGGCTCAGGAGATGTCCACCTCAGTGGTGTCCTTGGCCTGGGCAAGGAACTAGAGGAGGGGCAGGGCTGAGGGCACTGTGGAATGTCCAGCAGGTAGGCAAAGTGTGCTGGCCCTGAGGCTCCAGGGGCATGACCTTTGCAAGAGAGGCTGGTGGGGAACAAGGCTGGAAGGGAGCTGGACTAAGGACTTGTTGGCTGAGCCCCACCAGGGCTGGGCATTGGGCAGGCTCCCTGCTCCCCCTGGGGTACAGATGACTCTGTGAGGAGAAGGGGCCAGGCCACAGCCAGAAAGGAGGAACAATGAAGTATGTGGACGTGGACAGGAAACCAAGAAGCCTGGGGCTGGCTCCCGCTGGGCAGGCAGGTGGGCTGAGCTCCCTCCCACTACTCAGTTAGCTTGCCGGGCAATATTGAAAACAGTGCTGCCAATGAGCCCTTCCCACGGGCCAGGGGGACTCAGGGCTCAGACTAGGGGGAAGGAAAGACCTGGTTCTAGTTTTCAATCTATCATTTTGCTAGCATTGTGGTCTTTGCCAAACATATCCATTTCCAAGGGCTTGCCATAACACACTGCCACCACCTTGGTGGCTTAGAAGCAACAGAAATGTATTCTCTCACAGTTCTAGAGGCCACAAAACTGAAATCAGTGTGCTTCCAGGGACACACTACCTCCAAAGGCTCTAGGGGAAGACCCTCCCTTGGCTGTTCCAGCTTCTGGCGGCACAGGCATTCCTTGGCTTGTGGCGGCATCCCTCTCCTCTCCATGTCTTTCTGCACATGGCCATCTTCTCCATGTGTGTCTCTATGGCCTCTCCCCCTCTTTTAAGGACACCAGTCATTGAATTTAGGGCCCACCCTAAATCTAGGATGGGTTCATCTTGAGATTCTTAACTAATTACATCTGTAAAGATCCTACTTCCGAATAAGGTCACACTCTGAGGTTCCAAGTGGACGCCATCCTTCCAACCACCTCATGGAGGAGGCCTTGGAATCCTCACGCAGCTGATGAGGACCCAGGCTCAGGAGGTGAAGAGAACATCCCAGGTCACAGGGCAGGCACATGTGGTGGAGCAATGTCTCTCATTCCAGGGTCCCAGCACTTTCCTCTCTGCCCTACAGTGGTGTCTATGCAAAAGCTCGGCCCACAGATGTCAGCTTAAGAGGCTACCACCTGTGGGAGAGGTTGTGGAGGCAGGGTTGGCCTTGGAGTCGCAACACCTGGGCCCAGGTTGTACTGCCTCACTTAGGCTAGCCACTTTTCCTCTCTGGGCCTCAATTTCCCCACCTATAAGATGGAACATTACAGAAGGTTGAAAAGGATTTTCACACCATGTATCTTACTGTGAACTTATGTCCGGAATACATAAAGAGCTCCTAGAAGAAAAAGACAGACAACCCAACAGAAAAATGAGAGGAGAAAAAGAACTTGAAGGGAAACTTCATAAAGATATCCAATAATAATAAACATACAAAAAATTTTAAGCCAAAAACTACACACTCACCAAAATGGCCAAAATCAGAAAAGATGGAAAGGAATAAAAGTTGGTGAGAAAAGAAGCTCTCATCCTCTGCTAGAGGGAAGGCGGTTTGCTATCCTCTGCCAAAGCTGAACACACAGACACATCTTTTTATCTAGCAATTCTACTCATAGGATTCTATGCAATAAAATATATTCATCTGTGTCCCAAAGACAAATACAAACATGTACATAGCACAGCTACTTATAATACCTCCAACTTGGAACCTACTCAAATACTTATCCAATGTAGAATTCAACTCACACAATAGCGCGCTGTCGAGCAGTGAGAAGAACACACCATAACAACGTGTAATAGTATGGACAAATCTCAGAAATACACTGTTAGGACACAAGAGAGTGCTGACTGTAAATTCCACTTACAGGAATTTCAGAATCTACGGTGTTAAAAGTGAAGGTGTTTGTTACCCTTGGGCGTTAGTGATAAGAAGGAGGCACATGGGTGCTTCTCGGGTGCTGGTAACATGTTGTATCAGTGTGGGAAAGTTCACCAAACTATATACTTATTAATTATGTACTCTTGTGTATATATATTATGCTTTAATAAAAAGTTTAAAATATATTAAAAAATGCTGTTTGAAGATCCTTCCAGCAGATGTTCCTGCTGAGATGCGCTGGGGAAGGGGCTAGTCTAGGGGAGACTTCTGAGGGATGGAGCCCAGGGAGGACACTCAGAGGAGAGGAAACAGGAATTCCAAGGGACACCACAAAGAAAGCAGAGGCAACACAGAGACCCGTCCCAAGGGAAACTGAGGCCAAGAGAATATGCAAAGGAAGAGAGGAAATGACCGTACTCACTTTGCAGATGGACTTTCCTGTCGAGAAGTCCCCCCCCACACAGCATCTCCTCGTGCAAAGCTTAGGTCTCGCCTTTGCCAGTTCTTTGCCCATATAAGGTATTACAGAGTGTGTTCTCAATGAGGCCCACCTTGCCCTCCTGGAGATAGAAGGGTGGTGACAGTTGCACTGAATAGATAAGGGGGAGATCAATGACATGTCCTGTAGGTTAACTAAGAAAGTTCAGGCTACTCTGAGCCCCTACTCTGTCTGACTGCTAACCACAACCCCCCAAACATAGGTTTTCTCAGAACTGCTGAGCTTTAACTGCTGCTTCACTCTACTACCCATCCTTGATAAGCTTCTCTTCTTTTTCTCAAACCTTTGCACATAGTCATCCTATTCCCTCTACCTCTCTCATAGCAATAGATCACACCTCTCTTATTCTACAAGAGGCAAATCCCACCAACACATGACTCATTTATTGGAACTTAGCAACTATTCACTGACCAACTTACTCTTTCATGAACCATCCCATCCATTCTCCCTCCATCTATCACTAACCTTTCTTCTCCACCCATCATCCCATCCACTCACTCACCCATTCCTCCATCTACCTATCTTCCCACACCTACCCATTCATCCACTCACTTTCCAGATATTTGCCCATCCATCCATCCTTGCAGCCATCTCTCCATCGAGCCCTCCATCTCTCACCCACCTATCCTCCTCTCCACCTACTGACACATCCACCCACTGACACATCCACCCACTCCATCTGTCCACCCCTCACCAATCCTTCTATCTACACATCTATCCAAACATCCATCTACCAACTCAAATATCATCCATCAATCCATCCATCCATCCACTCATCCCTCCACTTATCCTTCCATCCATGCAGTCACCCATCATTCTAGCCATCCATTATCCATCCATTTATCCATTCATCCATCCATCCATCCATCCATCCATCCATCCATCCATCCATTCACTAACACAATCACTGATCTATTCACTCATCTATTCAGCTATCCTGGTGCTGTCTTTTACATGCTAATGATATAGATAATTTTTAGTAGAAAGTGACAGATTATATGAAATAATAAATTAAAAAATATTTTAGATTAAGTGATATGAAGAAAATAAAACAGGAAGATGTGATAGAGGGGGTTGCCTATTTTAGCTCACATGATTAAGTAAAACCAAGAAAAAAAACTGAATAGTAAATGTAAAGAAGTGACTCCTGCAAAGATGAGAATGACAAGCAAGCTAAGAAAAAAAAAAAACAGCAGCTAAAGGCCCCGAGATAGAAATAGCCTTGAGATGTTCAAAGAGTACCCAGGAGGCCCAAGAGGATGGGGTGGGGTATGTGAAGGCTGCAGTAAAAGATGGG
Organism: Homo sapiens; assembly: GCF_000001405.40. Lineage (NCBI taxonomy): Eukaryota > Metazoa > Chordata > Mammalia > Primates > Hominidae > Homo > Homo sapiens. Next base: position 19,625 of record NW_025791788.1, read on the forward strand.
GTATGTAATGGCTGCAGTGAAATATGAAGAATGGAAAGGGTGCATTGGAAGGTGGGATGTGTCATGACTGGAGCAGGAGATGGGGGATGTGAAGGGTGCGGTGGGAGGTGGGGGATGTGAAGGGTGTGGTGGGAGGTGGGGGATGTGAAGGGTGCGGTGGGAGGTGGGGGATGTGAAGGGTGCGGTGGGAGGTGGGGGATGTGAAGGGTGCGGTGGGAGGTGGGGGATGTGAAGGGTGCTGTGGGAGATGGGGGATGTGAAGGGTGTGGTGGGAGGTGGGGGATGGGAAGGGCGCGGTGGGAGGTGGGGGATGGGAAGGGTGCTGGAATTGCAGGCATGAGCCACCACGCCTGGCCATGTGTCTGGATTTCATTTTGCACAAATGAGAAGTTACTGTAGAATACTGAACCGGGAAGTGACATGACTAATATTTAAAGTAACACTCCGACACCCACATGGAGCCTACAGTGGGGGCACAGAAGAATGGAAGCTGGGTGACCAGTTCCGAAGCTACAGGCAAGAAATGGTGGTCTATCAGTGTCATGCAGCACGGTGGTACCAGCCCAGGAGCACCGTTTGGGATATTAAAACAAGTATATGTTGCCTCTACCCTCAAGGTATAACCAGATGTATGTGTGAATGCTGGGGACCAGCCAGCAGATGATCAGGGAGAATCCCCTCCATCTGGCAGTCAAAGGCCATGGATGCTAGCAGAGCCCCACTCAGTGAAGACATATTCTATCAAAAATACGTACAGCACCTCTGTTGAGAAATGCTAACCCTACACATAATTAAATATATGTTCTTCCTTTTTCCCTTAACATCATACCATAAGCATTTCCCTAAACTGTAAACACTCCTTTCTTCAATAAACACTCTTGTGTATAAATCTTTGCTTACATTTCTTTCCTACTCATCTAACGATGAAAACACACACAACTCTCTCCTCTGTTATTCAGTCACGTAACAAGACTGTGAAGTAGATGAATGACCCAGGTTAGGATAAGAGCAACATGAGGTTCAGAGAAGGTCAAGAGTTCTACGTCGCAATCATTCTAACTGGATCATGCAGCCTCAGACTGCAGAGCCACCATGTGTTTTCTCTCCACTCTTCCCAAGCACCTTCCCAAGCAAGGGACGATCCAAGTGTTTGGTGGTGACCTAGAATGGGCCAGCCCCCAAGCATGTCTTTGGAGTTCAATCGAGTCATCTTAGTCCCATGGCTGACTAAAACCTTAAAATAGTGGCTCACGCCTGTCATCCCAGCACTTTGGGAAGCCAAGGCAGGCAGATCACCTGAGGTCAGGAGTTCAAGACCAGCCTGACCTACATGGAGAAACCCTGTCTCTACTAAAGATACAAAATTAGCCGGGCATGGTGGTGCATGCCTGTAATGCCAGCTACTTGAGAGGCTAAGGCAGGAGAATTGCTTGAACCTGGGAGGCGGAGGTTGCAGTGAGCCGAGATCATGCCACTGTACTCTAGCCTAGGTGACAGAGTGAGACTCCGTCTCAAAAAATAAATAAGTAAATAAATAAATGAATAAATAAATAAAACATTAAAAAGAAGAACCATGAAGACTCAAAGAACCCAGATTCTGGATTCTCAAAAGTTAAAGATTCCCAGACTTTCAGAGCCTGGGACTCAGGGAACTCTAAAGCTATGGGATCACAAACTTTCAGAAGTAGAAAGGCCCCAGCGTGGTGGTCCTCACCTTACCGGTCATGGAAATGAGGCACAGAGGGCCAAGTCCAGTGGCTTCCTCTTTGCCTGGCTAAGCCATCCTTCCTTCTTCCCCTCTGCCTCCCTCTCCTTCCCCTCCCTCATCCTCCCGCCTCTCCCACACCCCTCTTATGGTCTTCGGTGAGCATTCCCCAGCCGGTTATCCAACAGGACACGTTACTGGGCAGCTGCATGTCCCGGGATGGGAGGCAGACAGGGACAATGTAGGAAGTGAAGTTCATAGGCAGGTGCAGCTGCAACATGGCAATGTCACTCCCAAAGGGGTGGAGCTTCTCAAAGTCTGGATGGGTGATGATCCGGTGCACAGACATCTTCTGGGTGTGCTGGGTTTGATGATACAGTTGGATGTTTCCCAACAGAACCTGATAGTTCTTCGGGGCCTGGGATTTGCTGGAGGAGGAAGGGCCCATTTTTACCATTCTCTGAGAGTGCGGGGCAGCACTCTCTTTTTACATCCACTTGTAACTGCCCACACACCTCTGGGTCCTTCTCCCCTGACATGATTCTAGGCAGCTTTGTATCCCCCTTTCTGACAGTCAGGAGCTCTTTTTTTTTTTTTGAGGCTAATGGCTATTCTACTCACAACCTCAGGACATATGGCTTCCCCAGCACACCCTTGAATCAGAGGAGCAGAGAATCCTAGTGCCAGGAAAGTCCTTGACAGAGTCATCAAATCCAGCCCTTTTATTTTACACAAGAGGAGCTCTGGCTTAATTCTGGCTCCAGCCTGATCCTTCCGAAGGCTACCTATGACCTGCTTCCTGGCCTAACCACCTTTCCTGCTCTCCCCAAGGGTGTCTTCCCCACTGTTGTAAGCACTCATAAAGGATTTGTTCAATGCCCAGATGAGTGCATGAAACTGATGCTCTTCTTGTTCCTGAACACAAGTAATGAAACTTCTGACCTTTGTGACTTTGTTCACATGGGTCAGCTGCCAGGAAACCCCTCGCCACACTCCCCATACCAAAGCCTCCCCTCTGGCAATCCCCTGCAGCTCCTCATCCTCCCTCAAGACTACAGCATCTCTCTGGATGACCCTGCCTCGGGTCAGCTCTTCTCACTCACTCTGGGCTTTCTCTCCTGCATCCTGCTTGTTGGAGCTTGTGCCTCGCCTTCCCATAGAGACACCTTCACTTGGGGTCTTGCCACACTCTGTGCCATAGAGGGTCTTGGGTGGTGTGACACCCAGGAGATGCTCACGGTGCCCAATAGTTGGAGTCTCAAAGCCACTAGGTGCCCAAGCTGACTCCATACCTGGACTGTGATGCCTTCCTCTCCCTCTGGGTCCCTCCATGACTGTTCAGAAGCTGGGCACTGAGTCAGGCTCAGGAGGGCCAGAGGAGTAGCACCCCTGACTGTCCATGTCATTCTCCAGGGTCAGGGGGCCCCACTCTTCCCACCAATACATGCAGCCTGGCACAGCTCCTTCCAGGCATACAGTTTTACAGAAAAAAAGCATCGCCTGGCTGCTGGCTACCTGCAGAGTCCCCAGTCCCTGCCTGGAGTCTGACTCACAGGAGCATGGTGCACACTGAAGAGAAGCCCTGCAGGTGGCCAGCACAGACACTGCCAATGCTCTCACGCATGTCTGGGTTGAGCAGACAGACACAGGGGCCAGGGAACTCCCTGCCAGAGCTGAGGATGAAGGATGAGGAGGTTCTGGGCAGATGGAGGGACAGTGGGTGGAGAGTGGGGAGGACAGTCCTGGTGGAGGGGACTACGGGTCAACGGCAGGCACTGCATCAGTTTGGTGGCAGCAGACTTCCCCAGAGCAAAGCCCAGAGGAGAAAGACATAACCCCCCCAGCCCCCTAACCCTCGTCCCTTGCATCTTCCTCCCCATCAGCCCCTCTGCTGGGGCCCAGGGAGGGAGGACTCACTTGAGAAAGCAGTGGGTAGTTGATACCAGCCAGCAGGAGTCGATGAGGACAGCTCCACAGAGGTGCGAGCCCCAGTAGAGCAGGCTGGCCTGCCATGGCCACTGGCCAGCTGCTGCGTCCCGGCCACCATAGATCTTCCCCACCACCTTAGGCTTCCCACACACTGTGGAGACACCCCGGTCCACCTGTTAGAGACACTAGTGGTGCCCATGAATGCCACCCCAGTGAGGCCTCTGCTCTCTTCACAGATGGGAAAACCAAGGCCAAAGAATAGGTGACCTGGCCAAAATGACTGAGGGCTACTCCAGCATCTGCCTTCTATGGCCACTAGCAGGACCAGATGACAGAGTACAATTGAGCAGGCTCTGTGGGAATGAGGGACCAGGGGTCTGGCAGGCAGGGCAAGGCTGACCCAGGGTGGCCACAGCAGCTCATCCGGACCTGCCAAGGACTGGTGGACTGGAATCCAGCCCTGGGACTTTACTTCCCTCCATCAGAACACCTGCATGCCTACTTTGCAGATCAAAGAACTGAAGGTCTCGGGGGTGTCCAAGTGGCTGTGCCCACCCCCGCACCTCACTCCAGTATCCCAGGGAGAGAGATTCTCAGGCAGGAGTCTGTTGTGCTGTGTGACTTGGGGAAACTTGCTCCCTCTCTCTGATTCTTGATCTTCTATTTTTAGAAGGTGAGAGGGGGTGGGGCTGATGTGGACAGCCTTGGTTCTGAGACTCACAGCTGGGAGGGGGAGCTGCGGGCCTGGACCCCTGAGGGGCAGTGTCCTGATCCCTGGCCTACGCTTCCAGGCCTCAACAAGGGGACATGAGACCCCAGGGCCCACCCCACTCCCGGGGCCCAGCAGCAGTCCCGGTGCTGTCTCCCTCCACCCAGCCCCGGCACCAGGCACCAGGCCCTGGCACCCCGTCCAGTTTCGTGGGCCCCACACCCAGTCCTGGGACCAAGAGCGGGAAGCCTGACCCACCTTGCTTGATGTCGTCTCTGGAGCCACCTGGCTGGGAGGGAAGGAGAGAGAGACAACGGATTCGGGTGACTTCCGGCCCTGGCACCAGGCCCAGAGCCCCGGCCTTCTCCCCACCGCCTCTAGCCTGCAGTTCCCCCATCTCTCCGCAGACGCCTGCCTCTCCCGGACACTCCTTACCTCATCTGGTCTTGCCGAGCCCTCGACCCCCTGCCCCCGTGGCCCAGTGGCCCCCTCAAATGCCCCCTGCCCCCTGCCCTCTGCCTCCGAGGCCGGCTCGGCCCCACACCCTCTGCTTCAAACGGACCTTGGGCTCTGGCTGCGGGCTCCCGGCCCTGCTGCGCCCCCAAGCTCTCTCTGGCCTCCCCCGGAGCCTGCGAGGGGCTGGCGGCGCGGGACTGTGGGGCAGGGGCGGCCTCTGGGCTCAGGAGCAGCAGCGGCAGCAGAGACCAGAGCAGGGGCCCCGGCTGGGCTCTGGTCCGCGTTGACCCCACACCCATCATCGCCTGACACGAGGACAGAAGGAAGGGGAACTGGAGCTGACCCTGACCCCCGAAACAGGCGGTGACTCCTGGCCCTGACTCCTGGGAAACAGGTCCTGACCTCGCCCTGACCCCAGCCCCAGACAGGCGCTGAACCCGTCCCTAACCCCCTCCCAAGACAGCCCCTGACCCCGCCCTGACCCTCCCCATGTCCGACCCCTGAGACCCAGGAAGCAGTCTTTTGCCAAAGAATTCCTTAGGCAGCGGCAGGTTCCAGAACAAAGGAGAGGGTGAAAGCTGCGGGGAGCCTGTCAATCCTTCTTTCCACTACAGAGCCAGGTGTCTGGGAGGACCTATGGTGCGCTGCCTAGCCCACCGAATGAGGCAGGGACAGAAGGCGCTATGGCTGTAGGTTGCCGTCACTGGGCCAGTGTAGCCATCACCTGGCCCGGCTGTGAGGCCCCATAGGCAGCTGTCCATCTACAGTGTCTGGCAGGTTTTTGCTGGTCAGCAGCTGAGCTAGTGCCAAGAAGGCCTCTTTCTCCTTGGGGAACATCAGCAGGACAACAGCGACCTGGCTCACACCCTGGCAGTAGCCCATGTCCTGCAAGAGTCAAAGTCACTGCGCTAGAACCTCACCTGGCAGGGCAGAGGTCACCTGGGAGGATAGACCTCACCTGAGAGATCTGAGGTCACCTGGGAGGCCTAAGGTCACCTGAGAGGCCCCCATCTCAGGCCTTGCAGGATTTGACACTAGGCACCCTTCTCCTGACAGAATAAGCCCAAAGCACACAAAATAAAGCCTGCTGCCTAGAAAAGAGACAAAAGAATGTTGTGTTTGTTTTGTGCTAATGCTGTTTAATTTTGTAGCAAACCCTGACAATGCAACTGAGGCCCTTTTAAGATTGTCTGCCAAGTAAGTAGTGAGATCTTCAGGGCACCTCAGTTTCTACATTATTAGGGTAAAATCTACATACAATGAAATGTAAGTATCCCATGTATACGTTTGATGAGTTTTTATTTCCATCCTGGTTGATTTTTTTAGTTTGCACACACGAAAGTTCAGTCTCAGGGCTGTGCAGTTCCATGGATCTGAGCCAATGTGTAGAGTCTCCCATCCACCACTCCAGCAACAAAAGGAGCAGTTCCTACATCCGCAAGGTCTCCCATGCATCCCCTTTGGAGCCAACCTCTCCCCACTCCATCAGCTCCTGGCAACCACGGATCTGTTCTCCATCCCTATGGTTCAGCATTGTCCAAAATGTTCTATGAATGGAATCATATCACGTGTGCCTTTTGCGTCTGGCTTCTTTCACTTAGCAAAATGCATCTAAAATTCATCCATGTGGCTGGGTGCAGTGGCTCACGCCTGTAATCCCAGCACTTTGGGAGGTCGAGGTGGGTGTATCACCTGAGGTCAGGAGTTCAAGACCAGCCTGACCAACACAGGGAAACCCCGTCTCGACTAAAAATACAAAAATTAGCTGGGCTTGGTGGCACATGCCTGTCATCCCAGCTACTCAGGAGGCTGAGGCAGGAGAATCAACTGAACCCGGGAGGAAGAGGTTGCAGTGAGCTGAGATCGCACCATTGCACTCCAGCATGGGCAACAGAGCAAGACTCCATCTCAAAAAGAAGATTCATTCATGTTACTGCATGATCAATAGCTTGTTCCTTTTATCACTAAATTGAATTCTGTTTTATGGATATACCACAGTTTGTCCATTCCCCTGTTGATCATTTTGGCTGCTTCCCGTTTTTAATGACTAGGAACAAAGCAGTGAATGTTGCATGCAGGTTTTATGTGGACATACTTTTCAAATCAGTTGGGTAAATATCTATGAGTGCTTTCGGGTTCCATGGTAGGCGTATACTTAGCTTTGTAAGAAACTGCCAAACTTTCTTCCAGATGCTGTATCATTTTGCATTCCCCCAGCAGTGGATGAGAGTCATTGTTGCTCCACATTCCCCCAGGCCCCGCCTTTTCCCTCCAGGCATCTGTGAAACGCACAGTGCACACCCAGCTGCTCTGGCCTGGCCCCCAGCCTCACCTCAGCACCATTTCCTGCTGCATCACTCTGGCTGCAGCTCAGCGGCTCTTTCCCCCTGGCCCTCTGTCCCCACCCCGCTCACTGTTCACTGGGTGATATGGTTTGGCTGAGACTGGATAATTTAATTCCATCTCAAATTGTAATCCCCATAGTCCCCATGTGTTGAGGGAGGGCCTGGTGAGAGGTGATTGGATTGTGGGAGTGGTGTCCCCCAGGCCTGTTGCCATGTAAGATGTGCCTGCTTCCCCTTCCGCCATGATAGTAAGTTTCCTAAGGCCTCCCCAGCCATGCAGAACTGAGTCAATTAAACCTCTTTCCTTTATAAATTACTCAGTCTCGTGTGGCGACTTTATAGCAGAGTGAAAACTGACTAATACACTGGGCCAGTTCCTTGTCTCTCTGTAGATCTGGGCTTGCATATGCGTACCTAGGAGTCCCTTCTCCTCACACTCTCTGTTTTTTGTGGGTTGTTGTGGCTTTTGTTGTTTTTGAGACAGGGTCTCATTTCGTCGCCCAGGCTGGAGTCCAGAAATGTGATCACCGCTCACTGCAGCCTCAACCTTCCAGGCTCAGGCAATCCTCCTGCCTCAGCCTCCCAAGTAGCTGAGATTCTACAAGTGCATGCCACCATGCCCAGCTAATTTTGTGTGTGTGCGTATTTTTGTAGAGATGGGTTTTACCATGTTACCCAGGCTGGTCTCCAACTCCTGGGCTCAAGCGATCCTCTTATCTTGGCCTCCCAAATGTGGAGTCTTAATTAGGGAAAAGGAGTCAGGCTGGTGGGACCAAATCAAAGCAAAGAGATAAAGCAGATAAGCTGTAAATATGCTTTTCTTCACGGTTCAGGACATATAAACAAAAAGAGAAAGCAGAAGAATTATAGGTCTGTTTTTCCTTATTGCCCAGGACATACAGACCTCCTGAACAAACAACATACATAACTCTCAAATTTCTGCTTAGCATCAAATGCCTCAATTTATCAAACATCCTGGCTGACAGAAGAGTGCAAGTTTGCAAGTTAGTTCCCAAGTTCCATTCTATAAAATCCTCAGCAAGCATTTGTTTCCTGGCAGTTAGCTTCTCTCTTGCAGGCTGCCCATTGCCTTATCACAATGTATTTTCCTACTTTCTTTAATACATCTGCCTTTCTCTACCTACAGCTGTCTTGGTAGTTTCTTTTACCTCCACGCCACCAGCCCAGATAGTCGTTGCTCCCCGGTGACACTTGGGTGGCCCATACGGGGACTCTCTCTCCTATTGGGAAACTCTCTCCCCTCTCTCTTTTCATTTCCCAACTCAGGACCCTTAGCGGACAAAGTCTAAGCACAGAGGCAATTGCAGGTCTCTGGTCGGAGTGACACGCTGGTGAGACTGAAAGGTGTCTGTGTGGAAGCATCTAACCACCACTGCCCATTCAGGTGAGAGACCTAAGGGTTTTTTTGTTGTTGTTGTTTGCTTTTTTTCGGTCTTTCAGAGGCTGGCTTCTAGTATCTCTCTGGCAACTGACAGTAACTGGCTGGAGCTACTCCCCAGTGTTCCCTGAAAGCCAAAGAGTGAACAGGGCTAGCTATACCACCTATAAGGGTGAAAGGCTCTCTCCTATATGTTCTGGCTAGAAGTCCCTAACCCCTATGTGTAACATGACTGACAGCAGAATAGATTTTTAAATCAACTTTATTAAAGCATACTTTATATACTATGAAATCCACTTATTATATTTTAGAGTTTAATGAGATTTGACATAAGTATGTGCCAATGTAACCATCACTACAATCCAGGTATGTCATATTTCTACCACTTGAGAAGGTTCCCTGTGCTTTCTCCAGTCCATCATGGCCCACTTCAACCTCACCACCCACTGGGAAAAAAAAGAAAAAGAAAGGAAGGAAAGAAAAAAAAAGAAATATGGTCCCAGACAAGCATTGATCTGCTTTAGATGTCTTTTTTTTTTTTTTTTTTTGGGATGGAATCTCACTCTGTCGCCCTGGCTGGAGTGCAGTGGTGCGATCTCAGCTCACTGCAACCTCTGCCACCCGGGTTCAAGCGATTCTCCTGCCTCGGCCTCCCAAGTAGCTGAGATTACAGGCGCCTGCCACTGTGCCCAGCTAATTTTTGTATTTTTAGTAGAGACAGGGTCTCACCATCTTGGCCAAGCTGGTCTTGAACTCCTGACCTCGTAATCCACCTGCCTCGGCCTCCCAAAGTGCTGGGATTACAGTCATGAGCCACCATGCCCGGCCTAGATGTCTTTTTCATACAAGTTGAATAGTAACACAGGTATATTTAGGGATCTGGCTTCTCTCAGCATAATGTTTTGGAGATTCATCCATGTTGATGAGCAATAATAATTATTCTTTTTTCCCTCTGAGAAGTAGTACATTGTAAAGATATAACTCAATTTATTAACCTTTTCACAGACATTTGGATAGCTTTAAATTTTTTATTGTTATAAATAAAGCTGCTAGGGGCATTCCTACATAAGCTTTTATATGGACATATGCTTTCATTTTTTTTCCCGGTAACAACCTAGGAGTGCAATTTCTAGGCTGTTTGGTAAATATATATTTGATTTATAAGAAATTGCCAGCTGGGCATGGTGGCTCACACCAGTAATCCCAGTACTTTTGGGAAGGCAAGTTGAGAGGATTGCTTGAGGCCAGGAGTTTGAAACCAGCCTGGGCAACATAGTGAGACCCTGTCTCTACAAAAAATAAATAAATAAATAAATAGTTTTAATTAGCTGGGCATGATGGTGCATACCTCTAGTCCTAGCTACTTAGGACGCTGAGGCAGGGCGATCACTTGAGCCCAAGAGTTTGAGGTTATAGTGAGCTATGATTGCACTACTGCACTCTAGCCTGGGTGACAAAGTGAGACTCTGTCTCTATTTAAAAAAAAAAGAACTTGCCAACCTGTTTTGGAAAAAGATTTTATCCCTTTGCATTCCCACCAGCAGAGTTTTTGTATGCTCTGAATTCTGTCCAACACGCTGTAGTATCAGTCTCTGAAATTTTAGCCATTTGAATGATAGTATAGTAGTATTTGATTGTGGTTTTAATTTGCATTTTCCTGATGACTAATGATGTTGAGCACGTTTTCACATGGTTTTTTTGGCCTATTTCTCTATCTCCTTTTCTGAAGTATCTATTAAAGACATTTACCTTTTTTAATTGGGTTGTTTTTTATTATTGAGTGATAGAAGTTCTTTATATATTCTGGATACAAGTCCTTAGTCAGAAATAAGTTGAATGTTTAGAAATAAAAAATGCATGGCCTGAAATTAATATTTATTATGGGCAATAAATGGCAGAATAAAAGATTAGTGAGCTTGAAGACACAGGATTAGAAATTACCTAAAATGAGAAATGACACAGAGGGAAGAAAAGAGTAGAAAACAGAGAATCAGTGATGTGCATGGGACAATTTAAAGGGGCTTAATATAAATTTAATTGAAAACTCCAAAGGAGGCAGGGGCATACAAAAATATTTGAAGAAATTAAGGCAAAACATCCCCAAATAATGAAATCCATGAACATACATATCCAAAAATCGCAAGAAATGCAAAGAAAACTACACCATGCACATCATAATCAAATTACTTAGGCTGGGATCTGTGGCTTATGCCTATAGTCTCAGCACTTTGGAAGGCCAAGGCAGGAGGATCACTTGAGGCCAGGAGTTGAAGACCAGCGTGGGCAGGTGGTGAGACCCCATCTCTACAATGCAAAATAAAAAAAAAAAAATTACTTAACCAGCTATAAAGAGACAAAAGGAACTAGGAAAAAAAAGGAAAATTTACAGGGAATAAAAAATAAGAATAAGGGCTGGGCATGGTGGCTCACGCCTGTAATCCCAGCACTTTGGGAGGCCAAGGCAGGCAGATCACCTGAGGTCAGGAGTTTCAGACGAGCCTGGCCAACATGGTGAAACCCCATCTCTACTAAAACACATACACACATACACACATACACACACACACACATACACACATGCGCACACACACACACACACACACACACACACACAGAAATTGGCTGGGACCTATAGTCCCAGCTACTCAGGAGGCTGAGGCAGGAGAATCGCTTGAATCCGGGAGGCTGAGGTTGCAGTGAGCCAAGATTGCACCATTGCACTACAGCTTGGGCAACAGAGACAGACTCCGTCTCAGAAAAAAAAAAAAAAAAAAAAAAAAAGAATGAAACAAACTTCTTATCATAAACAATGGAAGACAGAGGGCAATGGAACACTGACCTTTAAACTACTAAAAGTTTCTAAAAAGCTGTCAGCTCTAAAGTAAGGGGGTAGGGAGACAATAAACATAAAAGCAGAAGCCAATGATATATAACACAGAAAAAGAGAGAAAATTGATTTTTTAGGACATTAATGAAATCAATAGAAGAGAGGAGGTGGAGCAAGATGGCCAAATAGAACCTTCCAGTGATGGTCCCCCTACAGGAACATCAAAATGAACAATGATCCACTCAAGAAAGTACCTTCATAAGAATGAAAAAATCAGATGAGTAATTACAGTACCTGGTTTTAACATAATAATGACAGAGGCCTGGAAGAGGGTAGGAAGGACAGTTTCACATTGCCTACAGCATCCTTTTCCTAACCCCAGGCAGTGCAATACAAAGAGAGAATCTATGTTCTTGGGGGAAGGAAAGTGAAGTGAGTGTAGGACTTTGCATTGGAAATCAGTGCTGCCCTGTCACAGTGGCCCATAACACAGGGCAAAATTCTGCTGGTGCCCAAGGAGGGAGTATTTGGACCAGCCCTAGGTCAGAGAGGAATCCCTCATACCAGCGGGAGGAAACTGAGTCCCAGCTGGCTTAACCACCAGCTGACTAAAGTAGCCTTCATCTTGAATAAACATCAGTGGCAGCCAGGTTGTAGTGGCCATGGGCTTTGGATGAGCCTCAGTACTGTGCTGTTCTGGAAAGCTGTGGGCTTCAAGTGCCATTCAACATGGAGCCAGCTATGGTGGCCATGGGAGTGCCTACATCACCCCTCCTTCAACTCCAGGTAGCTCAGTGTAGTGAGAGACTCCTGATTAGGGGAAAGAGAGGGAAGAGAGTGACGAATTTTGCCTGGTAACCCAGGAAATTCTCTCTTATCTTTCCCAAAGCCACCAAGGTCACATGTCTATGAGTCTACAAGAGTTGCAGCATTCCTGGACTTAGGGCACTCACAGTGCTAAAACAGCTAACAATGACCACAGGCTTATGTAACAACACTCAATCCCATTTCAATTACTGAAAGCCTTCTCAAAAAGGATGGATACAAACAAGTCCAGACTACAAAGACTGAAATAAATACCTAACTCTTGAATGCTCAGATATCATTGAACATCCACAAGAATCAAGAGCATCCAGGAAAACATGATCTCACCAAATGGACTAAATAAGGCACCAGTGACCAATTCTGGAGTGATTAAAGATATGATCTCTCAGACAGAGAATTCAAAATACCCATCTTGAGGAAGCCCAACAACTTCAAGATAACACAGAGTAGGAATTCAGAATTCTATCAGATTAATTTAATGAAGAATTAACATTTAAAAATCAAGCAGAGGCCAGGCACAGTGGTGCACGCCTGTAATCCCATCACTTTGGGAGGCTAAGGTGGGTGGATTACTTGAGGTCAGGAGTTCCACACCAGCCTGGCCAACATGGGGTTTAGTAGAAACCCTATCTCTACTAAAAATACAAAAAATTAGCTGGGTGTGGTGGTGCATGCCTGTAGTCCCAGCTACTCAGAATGCTGAGACAGGGGAATCACCTGAACCTGGGAGGCAGAGGTTGAAGTGAGCTGAGATTGCACCATTGCACGCCAGCCTGGGCAATAGAGTGAGAATCTAGCAGAAATTCTGGGGCTTAGAAACTCAATTGACAATCTGAAAAATGAATCATAATCTCTCAACAGTAGAATTGATCAAGTGGCAGAATGAATCAGTAGATTCAAAGACAGGTTATATGAAAGCACACAGTCCAAGGAGAAAAAAGCAAAAATACGTAAAAGAGAAGGAAGCAATATTACAAGATCTAGAAAATAATCTCAAAAGGGCAAGTCTAGTAACTATTGGTCTTAAATAGGAGGTAGATGGAGAGACTGGGGTAGAAAGTTTATTCAAATAAATAATAACAGAGAACCTTCCAAACTTAGAGACATGAATACCTAGGAACATGAAGATCAAGAACACTTAGAATATTCAAGCCAAATAAAATTACCTCAAAGTATACAATAAGCAAACTCTCAAAGGTCAAAGATAAAGAAAGGATCCTAAAAGCAGCAAGAGAAAAGAAGCAAATAACATAAAAAGGAGCTCCAATACACTTGGCAGCAGACTTCTCAGTGGAAACCTTACCAGCCTGAGGAAATAGAATGACATTCAAAGTATTAAAGGAATAAAAACTTTGGACTAGAATATTATACCCAGCAAAATTATCCTTCAACATAAGAAGAAATAAAGACTTTCTCAGACAACAAAAGCTAAGGGATTTTGTCAATACCAGACCTGTTTTACAAGAAGTTCTTCAATATGAAAGAAAAGGACATTAATGAGTAACAAGAAAGCAACTGAAGATATAAAACACACTGGTAAACTTAAGTACACAGACAAATACAGAATAGCCTAATACTGTAATTGCATTATTTAAACCACTCATATCGTTAGTAGGACTAAAAGACAAATCTATCAAAAATAATAATGACGGCCAGGTGTGGTGGCTCACACCTGTAATCCCAGCACTTTGGGGGGCTGAGGTGGGCGGATCACAAGGTCAGGAGATCGAGACCATCCTGGCTAATACGGTGAAAACCATATCTACTAAAAATACAAAAAATTAGCCAGGCGTGGTGGTGGGCACCTGTAGTCCCAGCTACTTGGGAGGCTGAGGCAGGAGAATGGTGTGAACCCAGGAGGCGGAGCCTAGAGTGAGCTGAGATCGTGCCACTGCCCTCCAGCCTGGGCGACAGCAAGACTCCATCTCAAAAAAGAAAATAATAATAATAATAATGATAATAATAATGACAACATAGGAGGCTGAGGTGGGCGGGTCACTTGAGGTCAGGAGTTTGAGGTGAGCCTGGCCAACATGGCAAAACTCTGTCTCTACTAAAAATACAAAAATTAGCCACGCACGGTGTTGCACACCTGTAATCCCCACTACTCACAAGGCTGAGGCATTAGAATCACTGGAACCCAGGAGACGGAGGTTGCGGTGAGCTGAGATCATACCACTGAACTCCAGCCTGGGCGACAGAGTAAGACTTGACCTCAAAATAATTATAATAATAACGACAATTTCTTAAGAGATAGATGATATAAAAAGATATAATTAGAGAAACCCTCCCCCCAAAAAAAGGCAAAAAACAGCCATTGAGGCAAGGGAAGATGGAGTAACATTGTAGAGTTTTTTTTTTTTGAGTTTTCTCTTTGCTTGTTTGCTTTTTTTCCTTTTTTCTACTCAGTGTTAAGTTTTCATCAGTTTAAAATAACTAGTTATAAGCTGTTACTAGCAACCCTTATAATAACCACAAAGCAAAGACCTATCATAGATACACAAGAAATAAAAAAACAAGAAATTAAAACATATTACCAGGGAAAATCACTTACAAAGGAAGACAGAAAGGAAGTAAGAAAGGAAGAGAGGACCAACAAAACAACCAGAAAAAATGAACAGAATGGCAGCAGTAAGTTCTTACCTATCAATAATAACATTGAATGTCAATGTACTAAGTTCTACAAATCAAAAGACATAGAGTGGCTGAACAAATTTTTAAAAGACGCAACTATATGCTGCCTACAAGAAACTCTCTTCACCTATAAAGACACACATAGACTGAAAATGCAGGGATGGAAAAAGACATTCCATGCAAATGAAACACCCCCAAAAAGAGCAGGAATAGCTATATGTATTTCAGATAAAATAGATTTTTAAGTCAAAACCTGTGAAAAGAGACAAAGACGGTCATTATATGATGATAAAGGGGTCAATTCAACAAGAGGTTATAATAATTGTAAACATTAATGTACCCAGTGCTGGAACACCCAGATAGATAAAGCAAATACTATTAGGATTAAAGAGAGAGAGAGAGAGAGTTCCCAATACAATAACAGCTGGGGACTTTGACACTCCACTTTCAGCATTGCATAGAAAATCTAGACAGACAATCATCAACAACAACAACAAAAACCCTTATCAGACTTAATCTGCATGATAGACCAAATGGACCTAATAGACATTTACAGAACAGTTAATTCAACAGCTGCAGAATACACATTATTCTCCTCAGCACATGAAATATTTTCAGAGACAGACCATATGTTATGCCACAAATCTTAACAAAGTTTTAAAAATTCAAATAATAGCAAGTAATTTTTCTGATCACAATGGAATACAACTAAAAATCAATAACAAGTAGAACTTTGGAAACTGGAGATACTGGCTGGGCACTCACACCTATAATCCCAGCACTTTGGGAGTGTGAGGTGGGTGCATCACTTGAGGTCAGGAGTTTGAGACCATCCTGGCCAACATGGTGAAACCTCGTCTCTACTAAAAATACAAAAATTAGCTGGACATGGTGACATGTGCCTGTAATCCCAGCTACTCAGGAGGCTGAGGCAGGAAAATCGCTTGAACCTGGGAGGCAGAGGTTGCAGTGACCCAAGATTGACCCACTGCACTCCAGCCTGGGCACCAGAGGGAGACTCCATCTCAAAAAAAAAAAAAAAAAAAAAAAAGAAAGAAAGAAAGAAAGAAAAGAAAGTATAGAAACACATGAAAATTTGACAACATGCCTCTGAACAACCACTGGGTCAATGAAGAAATTAAGAAGAAAATTTAAAAATTTATTGAAAGAAATGGAAATGAAAACACAACAGAATGAAACCTATGGTATACAACAAAAGCAGTGCTAAGATAAAAGTTTACTAGAATAAATGCTTACATCAAAAAAGTAGAAAAACTTCAATTAAACAACCTAACAATGCATCTTAAAAAGCTAGAAAAGCATGGCCGGGTGTGGTGGCTCATGCCTGTCATTCCAAAACTTTGGGAGGCCAAGGCGGGTGGATTACTTGAGCTGAGGAGTTTGAGACCAGCCTGGGCAACATGGTGAAACTCCATCTCTACAAAAAATAGCCAAGCATGGTGGTGCACACCTGTAGTCTCAGCTACTTGGGAGGCTGAGGTGGGAGGATTGCTGGAGCCTGGGAGGCGGAGGTTGCAGTGAGCGGAGATTGTGCCACTGCACTCCAGGCTGGGTGACAGAGTGAAACCCTGTCAAAGAACTAGAAAAGTAAGAGCAAACCAAACCCAAAATTAGAAGAAAAGAAATAATAAAGATCAAGCAGAAATAAATAAAATTGAGACAAATAATATACAAGATAAAAAAGTTGGAGTTTTGAAAAGAAAAACAAAATCTACAAACTTTTAGCCAGATTAAGAAAAAAAGGAGAGAAGAACCAAATAAATAAAATCAGAGAGAAACAGGAGACATTACAAATAAACCGCAGAAATTCAACGATCACTAGAGGCATAAGCTCTATGCCAATAAATTGAGAAGCATATAAAAAATGGATAAATTCTTAGACACATACAACCTACAAAGATTGAACCATGAAGAAATCCACAACTCAAATAGACCCGTAACAAGTAACAAGATTGAAGCCTATAATAAAAAAAGTCTCCTGTCAAAGGAAAGCCCAGGATCTGATAACTTCACTGCTGAATTCTACCAAACATTTAAAGACAATCTAATACCAGTCCTATTCAAACTATTCCAAAAAATCAAAGAGGAGGGAATGCTTTCAGATTCATTCTAAGAGGCCAATATTACCCTGATAACAAAACCAGAAAAAGACACAACAAAAAGGCTGACCCAGTGGTTCGCACTTGTAATTCCAGCACTTTGGGAGGCTTAGGCAGGAGGATTACTTTTGGTCAGGAGTTTGAGACCAGCCTAGGCAACATAGCAAGACCCTGTCTCTACAAAAAAAAAAAAAAAATTTAGCTGGCTGTGGTGACATATGTCTATAGTTCGAGATACTCAGGGGTCTGAGACAGGGAAAACTGCTTATGTCCAGAAGTTTGATATTTTTGAGGTTACAGTGAGCTATGATCATGCCACTGTACTCTAGCCTGGGTGACAAAGCAAGACTCTTGTCTTAAAGAAAATCAAAATGGTAAATTTTAGGTATATTTTACCATAATAAAAATAAAGGAAGTTAGTTGGACTACAAAAAAATAAATTTCCTTCAATACAGAATATGGGAGGAGTTCACAGTGTTGAGATAATGGGAAGCAAAATACCATGAAGTAAGAGGTTGATAATAGTGCCCAAGTCAAGATAAATACTCACAACATATTGCCAATAAGAAAAGGCATTGCAAATCTCCCACTGACATAGAAGGAAATGACCTAATATGATGACCTTTTACCAGTGATATGGTTTGGCCCTGTGTCCCCATCCAAATCTCTTGTTGAATTGTAACCCCTAATGTTGGAAGAGGGATGTGGTGGGAGGTCATCGGATCATGGGGGTGGATTTCCCCCTTGCTGTTCTCGTGATAGTGAGTTCTCACGAGATCTGGTTGTTTGAAAGTGTGTAGCACTTCCCTCTTCGCTTTCTCTCTCCCGTCACCATGTGAAGATGTGCTTGCTTCCCCTTCACCTTCGGCCATGATTGTAAATTTCCTGAGCCCTCCCCAGCCATGCCTCCTGTACAGCCTGTGGAACTGAGTCAATTAAACATTTTTAAATAAACTGTCCAGTCTCAGGTAGTTTTTTTTGTTTTTTGTTTTGTTTTGTTTTTTTTGAGACAGGGTCTCTCTCTGTTGCCCAGGCTGGAGTGCAGTGGCGCAATCTCGGCTCACTGCAACCTCCGCCTCCTAGGTTCAAGTGATTCTCATTCCTCAGCCTCCGGAGTAGCTAGGACTACAGGCACATACCACCACATCCAGCTAATTTTTTGTATTTTAGTAGAGACAGGGTTTCACCATGCTGCCCAGGCTGGTCTCGAACTCCTGAACTCAGACAATCCGCCTGCCTTGGCCTCCCAAAATGGTAGGATTACAGGCGTGAGCCACTGCACCCAGCCTCAGGTAGTTCTTTACAGCAATGTGAGAACAGACTAATACAACCAGCAAGAGAAAAACCTAAAGTAAAACAGCAAAAAGTGCAACCAACATTTATACATAAGGATTATATACAATGTGTAACAATAGTAAAGTGTTAAATTCTAAAAGATGGCTTTAGAATTGCGGATAGACTTTTGTTTGTTTCATTTCAGATCATGACCTTGAGCTGCATGACAGTCTTTTTTATTTTTGAAATTTTCTGTAGAGATGGGATCTTGCTACGTTGCCCAGGCTGGTCTTGAACTCCTGGGCTCAAGTGATCCTCTCCCCTTGGCCTCTCAAAGTGCTGGGATTACAGGCATAAACCATGCCACCCAGCCCCACTTCTTCTAATGAGGTAGCTGTCATTTACATTCTCATTTAATAGAGCAATGTGCTGTCTCATTCAGCAGAGCTTTTCACGGGAGGTCTGATGAGCAAGAAGAACAGGCTTGTGAGAGCAAATAACTAAGACCATAAGCAGAGGCCTGAGGTGGAGCTTTCAGCACAGACTGAACAACTCAGGCCCTCTCAGACAGGCCACCTGCACATGAGTATCTAAGAGGGGACCAGAAGACCCCTGTGAGGGCACCCACCCTGGAGCAGCATTCAGGGAGAGCTGGAAGGGCTTTATGGGGCTAAAGAATTGATGGGCAATTGGAGTGGGTTGTGGGAAAGTATTAAATTATGTTTGCGTGAGCCTTGCCATCAGGAACATGTTTTATCTTTAGCTGATGGCGACACTGCTAGAAGTAAATAAGCTCTTCTCATGAACCAAAATTCCCAGTGGCACTATGGAGTCCTGGTTAAGTTGACAGGTCTCTGGCTGAGGGAACACAGAATCCACTTTCAGCAGCTGTGTTAAGAGACAGTTAACCATGAGTCCATTATAGCATTACTTTGCTCAGGAACCAATCACAGAAAAGGCCATATGTGGACATAGTGAGAAGATGGCCAGCAGATAATGTCAAGGAGAGAGGCCTCAGGAGAAACCAAACCTGCTGACACCTTGATCTTGGACTTCCAACCTCTAGAAATGTAAAGAAATAAATTTCTGTTGTTTAAGCCACCCAGTCTGTGGTATTTTGTTATGGCAATCTTAGCTAACTAATATAAACATTATTTCTCTCTTCCATTTATATAGGCTTTGTTTTTTTTCTTTTCTTTTTTTTTTTTTTTTGAGACGGAATCTTGCCCTGTCACACAGGCTGGAGTGCAGTGATGCAATCTCGGCTCACTGCAACCTCCGCCTCCTGGGATCAAGCAATTCTCTGCCTCAGCCTCCCGAGTAGCTGGGATTACAGGCACTCGCCACCACGCCTGGCTAATTTTTTTGTATTTTTAGTGGAGACGGGGTTTCACCATGTTGGCCAGGCTGGTCTTGAACTCCTGATCTTGTGATCCACCTGCCTAGGCCTCCCAAAGTGCTGGGATTACAGGTGTGAGCCACTGTGCCCGGCCTACAGGTTTTCTTTATTATCTCTAAGGAATGTTTTGTAGTTTTCAGTATACAAGCACTATACATCTTTGGTCAAATTTATCTCTGAGTATTCCATATTTTAGGATACTATTGCAATAGGGTTTTTGTTTGTTTGTTTGTTTGTTTTTGAGATGGAGTCTCGCTCTGTTGTCAGGCTGGAGTGCAGTGGTGCGATCCTGGCTCAGTGCAACCTCCACCTCCCGGGTTCAAGCAATTCCTGCCTTAGCCTCCCGAGTAGCTGGGACTACAGGCGTGCGCCACCATGCCTGGCTAATTTTTGTATTTTTAGTAGAGACAGGATTTCACCATGTTGGCCAGGATGGTTTTGATCTCTTGACCTCATGATCTGCCCGCCTCGGCCTCCCAAAGTGCTGGAATTATAGACGTGAGCCACTGTGCCCAGCCTACAATAGGTTTTTAATTTCAGTTTCTGACACTTATTAAAAATGAACTTCTATATCTTCAGATTTATAAAAAAGATGCAAATACAGCTGATATACTCACACGCAGTTTACCTGATCACTAACATCTTACATTATTATAGTTTATTGATCTCATTTTGTTTGTGCAGATATTGTTTACCTGATTTTGTGTGTTCTTTGTAGCTCACTGAACATCTTTAAGATGATTACTTTGAATTCTGTCAGACAACTAATAGATCTCCATCGTTTCTGTTTTTTTCTTTTTTCTTTTTTTTGACACATGGTCTTAATGTGTCACCCAGGCTGGAGTGCAGCGGCATAATCATGGCTCATTGCAGCTCGACCTGCCAGGCTCAGGTTATCCACCTGCCTCGGTCTCCCAAGTAAGTAGCGGGGACTACAGGCACATGCTACCACATCTAGCTAATTGTATTTTATTATTTATTATTTATTTTATTATTTTTTCTAGAGACAGGGTCTCTCTATGTTGCCCAGGCTGGTCTTGAACTCCTGGGCTCAAGTGATCCTCCCTCCTCAGTCTCCCAAAGTGCTGGGATTAGAGGTGTTGAGCCACTTTGCCTGGTGATCTCCATTTCTTTAGGGTTAGTTTCTAGAGATTTATTTGTTCCTTTGATAGGGCCATGTTTCCCTGTTTCATGGTATGCCTTGTGATTTTTTTTTTTTTTTGAGACAGAGTTTTGCTCTTGTCCCCAAAGCTGGAGTGCAATGGTGCGATCTTGGCTCACTGCACCCTTCGCCTCCTGGGTTCAAGAGATTCTCTTGCCTCAGTCTCCCGAGTAGCTGGGATTATGGCGCCCTCCACCACGTCCAGCTAATTTTTGTATTTTTAGTACAGATGGGGTTTCACCATGTTGGCCAGGCTGGTCTCGAACTCCTGACCTCAGGTGATCTGCCCGCCTCGGCCTCCCAAAGTGTTGGGATTATAGGCATGAACCACCACACCCAGCCGTTTTTTTTTTTTAAAGACAGGGTCTGGGCTGGGGTACAGTGGCTTGATCACGGCTCACTGCAGCCTCAAACTCCTGGGCGCAGGCAATTCTCCTGCTTCAGCCTCCCCAGTAGCTGGGATAACAGGCATGCACCACCACAGCTGGCTAATTTTTTAAATTATTTGTAAAGATGAGGTCTCTCTGTGTTGCCCAGGCTGGTCTTGAACTCCTGGATTCAAGTGATCCTCCTGCCTTGGTCTCCCAAAGTGCTGGGATTACAGGCATGAGCCATTGTGTCCGGCCACCTGCTAATCTTTTGTTGAGATTTGGGCATCTGAAAAAACAGCCATCTCTCTTAGCCTTTATAGACTGGCTTTGTAAAAAGGAACAGCATTACAAATTAGTTTAGCTGGAGATCTTGGGGACCTCTTGAATCTTTTCTAGCGATGTATCTTCTCTGGGTTTGTCTGTGCAATTTCCTGAAGAGGTTTGCCCCTGTGTCTTTTTAAGGAACTCATAATTTCTTGCTCCCCTTGGTATCTGTTTATGATACTAGTTCCTGCAGTGCTGTAACAAGGCTATAGGTCTCACATTTGTTCTCAGCAGCCCCTAGTCATCCAAAGTATGACACTGTTCCTGTCAGTGCTCTGAGTCACATGAACAGAAATCAGTCCTTTGGTCAGCCCCACTATAAGCCAGAACATGGGACATACATTCCACTCTACTCTTTCCCTCTTGAGAAGGAAGGTGCAAGTGGGAGGTATCTCCAGATTGTGCTGCACTGTGCTTGGTACTGGGAGAACCTATGGTATGCAAATGTAATGGACTTTCTCACCTGCTTCAAATCAGCTCTTCTTGCTTCTACGTTCACCTGGGGTACTGCAACTTTTAAACTGATTTCTGAAAAATTCTCACAAAGGCAGTTTGGTCCGTATATTGTTAAGTCAGTGTCTCTATGGGAGAATGAGGGCCTGGGGCTTATTTATTTTTTTATTTTTTGAGATGGAATCTTGCTCTGTCGCCCAGGCTGGAGTGCAGTGGTGCGACCTTGACTCACTGCAACCTCTGCCTGCCGGGTTCAAGCAATTCTCCTGCCTCAGCCTCCTGAGTAGCTGGGATTACAGGCATGTGCCACCACGCCCGGCTAATTTTTGTATTTTTAGTAGAGATGGGGTTTCACCATGTTGGCCAGGCTAGTCTCAAACTTCTGACCTCATGATCCACCACCTCAGCCTCTCAAAGTGCTGGGATTACAGGTGTGAGCCACCACGCCCAGCAGGGCTTACTATTAATATTTTGCCATCTTGCTGATGTCACTCACCACTGTTTTTTGATCACTTTACTTTCTGTTACTACAAGATGTTTCAGATTCATATCGTACATTCCCAGCTCCAGCTCTAGAAGCAGCCATTTTTTTCCCAGGGAAACCTAGTTCCCTTCATGGGAGAATGGTTTTAGGAACCACGACCTCAGTGGGGTTGCTGCAGCTTGGTAGAGTACACTACCAATAACTCCCTGAGAAAGAGTACATGGGAGATAATTTTTTTTTGAGACCTAACTCATGTCTGAAAATGTCTTTATTCTACCTTCATACTTGTTTGATAATTTGGTTGGGTACAATATAGTTAGAAAACTTTCCCCAAAGAATTGGGGAGATTCTCTTCTTACTGTGTTGCTGAGAAATCAAATCCTTACTAAATTGTTCTGTGCTCCCAGAGGTTGAAAAGAAAAATCCTTACTAACTGCTAATCTTTTGTATATCCCTTTTGCTTTTTTCTTTCTAGAAACTTAGTCTTTTCTTTATGTTCTGAAATTTCTGTTATGTGCCTTGGAAGTGAGTCTATTTTCATGCATTGTGCTAGACATTTGAAGATATCTTTTTTTTTTTTGAGGCGGAGTCACGCTCTGTCACCCAGGCTGGAGTGCAGTGGCACGACCTCAGCTCACTGCAAGCTCCGCCTCCCAGGTTCACGCCAGTCTCCTGCCCCAGCCTCCCGAGTAGCTGGGACTACGGGCGCCTGCCACCACGCCCGGCTAAATGTTTTGTATTTTTAGTAGAGACAAGGTTTCACCATGTTAGCCAGGATGGTCTTGATCTCCTGTCCTCGTGATCCGTCCACCTCGGCCTCCCAAAGTGCTGGGATTACAGGCATGAGCCACCGTGTTCGGCCAAAGATATCTTTCAATCTGGCTGTAGGTTCTGCAAAATTTGTTTACATTAATTATAATTTTCTGACCTTATTTTTCTTCTTTCTGGAATTCCTACAATTTGGATACTGGAACTCCTGGACTCTAACTTATGTATAATATCTCTTTTCTCCCACCTTAAATATTTATTGTTAATCTATCTAGTGTCTGGAAAATTTCACACTATTTTCCAATGATTTTTTTTCTTTTCTATTAAGTCTTATATTAACAGGAACATTTTTTTCTCCTCTTGAGATTTTCATGTTTTGTAGCATCGTTATTTTACAGATGTAGTATCTTATAACTCTAAGGATATTAACACATTTGGCAGGGGGAATTTTCTTCTCACTGCATTGCTTGATTCCTCAAAGTTGTTTTGGTACTCTCTTTTGGTTTTGGATTAGAGGCTTTCACTAGATCTCTCGTAATTCTAGATGGAAGTCTCATGAATAAGAGTTGGGGGCTAAAACACTGACCTGAGTATGGACTTCTCAACTTCAAAGTTAATTGTTCAGAGTGAGCCTTTTTCCCAGCCAATACTTGGTGTCAATCTTTTATATTCTTCTTTGGTATAGTGGACAGTATACATAAAGCCACTTAATCTTGTTTCCAGTACAGTACTCTGTATAAAGGAATTTGGCCTTGCCCTTGGATGTTATGCTACATAGGAATGCCTCTGTTTACCTGGGGATCTTGAATCATACTGAATAGCCTTGACAGTATGATTTATGGCTGGGGTGGGACAAATCTATACAGTCTTATGGTGGGGGGGGTGTACAACACATCAGAAATACCAACAATGTGATTTAGGGTGGAGGTTTTGGGTCATGCACGAGCAGCTGACCTAGAGACTGCGATTAACCACATGGACAATCAATCATGGATATGTAAAGCAGCCTCAGTAAACACTCTGGGTTCCAAGGCTTGGGTGAGCTTCCCTGGCTGGCAATACTCTGTGCATACTGTCACACACTGATGCCAGTAGAGTAATGCTTGCTGACTTCAGAGAGACAGGACAAGAGCTGTGTTTGGTACTTCTCCCGGGCTCTGCCCTCTCCTCTTCCTTTGGCTGATTTTGATCTTTAACATTTCCCTGTCATTAACTGTAACCACGAATACAATAGCTTTCATTGAGTTCTGAGTCTTTCTAGCAAATTATCTAAGCTGAGGGTTGGTTTTAGGAATCCTCCAGGCTTACAAGTACTCTTGTCTTCCATTCACTCCGACTTCTACCAACCAGTCACTTTTTACCTTCCAGATGCCAACTGTGGGGGGAATAAAGTTGCTTAGCAACGTGGAAATGGGAGAAGCTATAAGGCTTCCCAGTGTTCACGCAATCGTCCCTATTTCTGTGCCTCTTCTACCTTTCATCCCAGAGGTTAACTGGTGCTGTGAATTCTGAAATGTAAGTAAGTTTATCAGTTCCTCCATTGATTTAGAATTGGGGTTTCCTGGGTCTACCAAGTTAGTTAACACCGTCTATCTGCTTTCCAATTCCCCAAGTTCTGGTTGTTTCCTCTATTTTCTCCAACTTGTGGGTTTTTGTGTGAATGCATCTGTTGTAGTAGCCATAGGGATGTATCATTCAGATCTCCCTTCAAAAGAATCTGACATGAGGAGTGTAGTTGGTACTTTCAGATCCATCAAGGCATTTGTGCGAAGGCCACGCTCCCCTTGGTCTCCTCCCAGAAACTGACTTGAGGAAGTCAGAGAAACAAAGCCAGGCTATTTCTGCCCAATTCTGAACTCTACTAAAAGGAATCCTTGCTTGGGAACTCTCCATTGGCCTGACCAAGACTTCATCTTAGAGTTGCACTGCAGTCTAAGTTTTTGCTAATCAATCTTCATTTTCTCTTTTTACAGGTGTCAGACCCACACTGCAGTCTGAAGGCTCTCTCGACCTACGCTTGCTCCATCTCCCGTTTATCCTCCATTTATGTTTCCTCTAATAAATTCTTGCACATCTAACTTTGTCATGTCATCTGCTTCTCTGAGGACTCAAATTATCACCTGGGATTTTGGAAAGAAGTTTTATTAGATGTCTAGTCCACTGTCTTAATAAGAAACCACCATGAAGTTTTTATGTTCTTCAAAGTTTACACATTTCAAGTTTCATTTATCTATGGGAGAATGAATTACTTTCAACACATTTATATCTGAGTTTGTTTATTGTTCTGATTTACTGAAACTTAAAATATTCCATCAAATTATCCAGGAAAATCCAGGTGGCAGAAATATATAATATGTCCATTTCATCAAGAGGTC
This sequence comes from Homo sapiens, assembly GCF_000001405.40. Classification (NCBI taxonomy): domain Eukaryota; kingdom Metazoa; phylum Chordata; class Mammalia; order Primates; family Hominidae; genus Homo; species Homo sapiens. The sequence continues at coordinate 45,185 of NW_025791788.1, forward strand.
TCAAATAAATTTTAAAAGGCCAGAAAATGATATATATACTATGCCATTTAAATCACTTCTATCTTCTGTACTTAAGAACTCAAGTATAGAAATAAACTGTGGGCTGAAGTAACATTGTAACCTGCTCCCAACATGACTGCATAGGTGTCTAAGGTTAAGTGTGAAGATTACTGTGAGGTCTCAAGTTACTTGACTAATCAATCCCATTTGAATTTCAATCCAAGCAGCATATTTTACACACACCTGAAGGAAATATCTTCAGTGTGTTCATGTGTGTGTCTATGTGCATGTATGTGTAGGGGATAGGTGTAATTAGGGAAGGGCTGACCGAACAACATTGATAAGTACATGCTAGAAGTCTGCTGTTGTTGGTAACACAGAAACATACACAGTCTTCATATTCAAAGTCTTCACGGGGATGTCTTCTGTAATTTCTAGAATGGAAAGAAAAAGTTGAAAAAAAATCAGTATTTTACCTATTGGGGGTGAATATTTAAAAAAATGTTAACTGCTTGTGTAGTAAGGAATTTGGCCTTATCCTAAGAGTTCTGCCTTTTGTCCCAGCTCCTGAGGTGAACCTCTAAATCCTTGGAATTTCCTGGTAGGAATCTTTGTTTCTCATGGTGGGTATGTTCACCAAACCTGACAGTTGTTGCTAATGAGACAATTCAGGGTAGTGCTGGCCAGGACAGAAAGACCAAGTATATGATTTAGGATGGGGACTTTGGGTCACATGGTATATCAGTTGAGAAAGACAGCAATCATGCCTACAGAATGAAACCTCAACAGAAACTGGACACCAAGGCTCGAGTGAGCTTCCCTGGTTGGTAATATAGTCTCTGTGTTGTCAGATGTAAGGGATGAGAGGAAGAAACATTATCCATGACTCCAGGGTCTCTCTCTCTCTCTCACTCTCGCTGGTTCTAACGTGTATCCTTTCCCTACCCTAATTCAAACCATGAGTGTAATACCTTTTAGTGAGTCTGAGTCCTCCTAGCAGGTTACTGAACCTGAGGGTGGTTTAGGAAAATCCCTGGAACTTGCAGTTGGTGCCAGCAGTGATGGGGGTCTTGTGTGGATCTTTCCCTGAGTAGAATCCTCACTCCTTGCAGGTGGAGTTAGATATCGGGCAGACTCCTGGAGCCTTCTGGAGGACTATGCCATCACTTCACAGTTTGGCTAACTCTGGGTACTGCCAAGATGGTTATTTTTCCTCATACACAGATACTTCCTATGTCTACAAAAAAAGCCTAGAGGCTGTGCCAACTCAGTATCCCAGATATGTGGTTTCAAAATATGATTCTCTATAATTTGAAGAACAGCTATTTTCTACGTCTGGAGAAGTAAAAGTACATAATAAGCCTAGGACATGTTGCTACGTGAGAAAGCAAGAATTTACCAAAGACAAAGGATCATGTTAAAGAATACAGGATCCAATATGGCCAATGACGAAAACTCTGAGCATCCAAAAATATAACCCAAATGCAATTGATTGAAATATACTGAATATACAACTCAAAAACAAAAAAAAAGAAAATTTAAAGTTATCTGCCTACTGTGGAGCATTTTGCTTCTAGTCAGATCTGAATTTAAAGCAAACAGATGAGCTTCCTTTAAAAATAGCTCTTGTCCTACCTAGCAGCAATCCTAGATGTGAGAATACTCTCAAAGCTACTTCCTTAATAGATAATTACAGGACCTGGAGATGATGTTTAGAGTTTAGTGGAGCAAGCAAGAAGACATCTAAGGGTTTCTAAAATGGTCAACATTTTGTGGCTCTTCTAATTTACCAAGTTATTGATACTTTATGAAAGACAATTCTGAGAGAAAAGGCATAATGAAAACGAAGCTATAGATACTAGATTGGAAAGATACTGAATTAGAAAAAGTTCCAACTTTGTGGTAATCTTAGATAAATCACTAAACATTTAAAAGTTCTCACCCACTAAACTTTTGCCTAACTAACGTCACAGAGTAAAGAGAATACAGAAAGGCAGCACAGGTTAAGAATGGTTCTGTGAATTGCAGGTAGTATTATAAATACATAATTCATACAGACATGGTTCTACCCCTGACCAGGTTCAATCATGCCACTGCATTTGCTTGCAAGAACAAGTGAGAGATAAATGTCATCTTCAGCTCCACTGCACAACAGTACTTGGTGACCAAAGGATTTGAGGGACAAGAAGAGTTAAGAATTATCTCTAAAGTTTTATATAAGCTTATCAAAATAGAAAGCTACATTATTAGATGATCTTTACTACCATACCACAATGAAAGAGCCAAGTGTGTTCGAGGGAGAGTGAAAAAAGCCTTTGATAGAGTGAAAGACTCATGGACAGAATTAGCAAGACAGGGAAGGCCCAGAGCAGGAAGGATCTTGTGTGGAAGGGAAGATTCTGAGGCATAAGAGAATAAGGAGCTTTGGGGGCTCTAAGCAAGGGAACAAAATCAAGGCAGGAATGTTCATGAAGATAGCTCTGGTGAAGAGTACAGACTGCAGACTGGTGACTTAGATGGATGATGAGGCCCAATGATGAGATGAGAGGGAAAACGACAAAGGAGAGTCACTGAAAATAAACCCAGGGAGGGAAGGAGGAACCCAAGAAGAAATAGAGCTTTAGTATTTAACATCATGACAGAAAATTTAAAAGTACGATATGCAACTAAATTTAAAAAAAAAAGCTGCACAGGAAGAAAACGGGAGAATTACACAGAGGCCAAAAATAATGACTCCCATGGGGTCTGGTGGCTTAATGCTTTTGGCACTAAAGAGCTAGGAAAGCAGGGAAAGAAAAGCCTCCGGTATATACAAACCGGGAAGTCCAACAAATCTCTGCTGAAGAAACTGGAACTTCAAATAAGAAACCCATAGCAAAAGGGTTAATTTGAGTAAGTTCCTTCACCACAAGAGAAAAAGTGAAGAGAATGTAATCGGTTAATAATGGCCTTCCAAAGATATGCCCAGGTTCTAAATTCCCAGGAGCTGTGAATGTTCACTTTATTTGGAAAAAGAGGAAACAGAAGAGAAGGAGGCAATGTGACCACGGAGTCAGAGACTGAAGTGATGTGGCCACAAGTCAAGGGATGCCTGGCGCCACCATAAGCTAGAAGAAGTATATAAGGAATTCTCCCACAGAGCCTTCAGAGAGACTGTGGCCTTTCTGACACCCTAATTTCAGTGTCTGGCCTCCAGAGCTGTGAGATGACTTGAGCCATCCCATTTGTGGAAATTTGTTGCAGCAGCCACAGAAACCAATACAGAGAAAATCACCTCACTTAGCTTTGTTTTGGAGTAGGGATAGACAGATCCTGTCTCCATCACAACTCCTGGCCTTTGTGTATGACTGGGAATGCCATAGATTTTTTTTCTGAGATGGAGTTTAACTCTTGTCGCCCAGGCTGGAGTGCAGTGATGCAATCTCAGCACACTGCAACCTCTGCCTCCCAGGTTCAAGAGATTCTCCTGCCTCAGCCTCCCAAGTAGCTGGGATTACAGGCATGTGCCACCATGTCCAGCTAATTTTAGTAGAGATGGGGTTTCACCATATTGGCCATGCTGGTCTTGAACTCTGCCCACCTCAGCCTCCCAAAGTGCTGGGATTACACGAGTGAGCCACCACGCAGACCCAGTCACAGCTTTCTTAACATTCTCCCTATGGTCCAAAATGATTGAGTTTAAAGTGTGTCTGGGTTGTCAGTGTCTCCAAGGAACTAGACGTATGCTTCTTAAAACTGGGCTTCAACAGAAACATAACAGAACAAGCAGAGCAGACGGGCAATGTAAACAGAAAGACGGAAACTCAAAGAATAGAATGGTCTGGGTGTGGTGGCTCACCCCCGTAATCCCAGCACTTTGGGAGGCCCAAGTGGGTGGATCACCTGAGGTCAGGAGTTTGAGACCAGCCTGGCCAACATGGTGAAACCCTGTCTCTACTAAAATTACAAAAATTGGGGGAGGAGCCAAGATGGCCAAATAGGAACAGCTCCGGTCTACAACTCCCAGGGTGAGCGATGCAGAAGACAGTGATTTCTGAATTTCCATCTGAGGTACCGGGTTCATCTCACTAGGGAGTGCCAGACAGTGGGCGCAGGTCAGTGGGTGCACGCACCGTGCGCGAGCCGAAGCAGGGCGAGGCATTGCCTCACTTGGGAAGTGCAAGGGGTCAGGGAGTTCCCTTTCCGAGTCAAAGAAAGGGGTGACGGACGGCACCTGGAAAATTGGGTCACTCCCACCCGAATACTGCGCTTTTCCGATGGGCTTAAAAAACGGCGCACCACGAGATTATACCCCGCACCTAGCTCGGAGGGTCCTACGCCCACGGAGTCTCGCTGATTGCTAGCATAGCAGTCTGAGATCAAACTGCAAGGCGGCAGCAAGGCTGGGGGAGGGGCGCCCGCCATTGCCCAGGCTTGCTTAGGTAAACAAAGCAGCCGGGAAGCTCGAATTGGGTGGAGCCCACCACAGCTCAAGGAGGCCTGCATGCCTCTGTAGGCTCCACCTCTGGGGGCAGGGCACAGACAAACAAAAAGACAGCAGTAACCTCTGCAGACTTAAATGTCCCTGTCTGACAGCTTTGAAGAGAGCAGTGGTTCTCCCAGCATGCAGCTGGAGATCTGAGAACGGGCAGACTGCCTCCTCAAGTGGGTCCCTGACCCCTGACCCCCGAGCAGCCTATCTGGGAGGCACCCCCCAGCAGGGGCACACTGATACCTCACACGGCAGGGTATTCCAACAGACTTGCAGTTGAGGGTCCTGTCTGTCAGAAGGAAAACTAACAAACAGAAAGGACATCCACACCAAAAACCCATCTGTACGTCACCATCATCAAAGACCAAAAGTAGATAAAACCACAAAGATGGGGAAAAAACAGAACAGAAAAACTGGAAACTCTAAAAAGCAGAGTGCCTCTCCTCCTCCAAAGGAACACAGTTCCTCACCAGCAACGGAACAAAGCTGGATGGAGAATGACTTTGACGAGCTGAGAGAAGAGGGCTTCAGACGATCAAATTACTCTGAGCTATGGGAGGACATACAAACCAAAGGCAAAGAAGTTGAAAACTTTGAAAAAAATTTAGAAGAATGTATAACTAGAATAACCAATACAGAGAAGTGCTTAAAGGAGCTGATGGAGCTGAAAACCAAGGCTCGAGAACTACGTGAAGAATGCAGAAGCCTCAGGAGCCGATGCGATCAACTGGAAGAAAGAATATCAGCGATGGAAGATGAAATGAATGAAATGAAGCGAGAAGGGAAGTTTAGAGAAAAAAGAATAAAACGAAATGAGTAAAGCCTCCAAGAAATATGGGACTATGTGAAAAGACCAAATCTACGTCTGACTGGTGTACCTGAAAGTGATGGGGAGAATGGAACCAAGTTGGAAAACACTCTGCAGGATATTATCCAGGAGAACTTCCCCTATCTAGCGAGGCAGGCCAACGTTCAGATTCAGGAAATACAGAGAACGCCACAAAGATACTCCTCGAGAAGAGCAACTCCAAGACACATAATTGTCAGATTCACCAAAGTTGAAATGAAGGAAAAAATGTTAAGGGCAGCCAGAGAGAAAGGTCGGGTTACCCACAAAGGGAAGCCCATCAGACTAACAGCAGATCTCTCGGCAGAAACCCTACAAGCCAGAAGAGAGTGGGGGCCAATATTCAACATTCTTAAAGAAAAGAATTTTCAACCCAGAATTTCATATCCAGCCAAACTAAGCTTCATAAGAGAAGGAGAAATAAAATACTTTACAGACAAGCAAATGCTGAGAGATTTTGTCACCACCAGGCCTGCCCTAAAAGAGCTCCTGAAGGAAGCGCTAAACATGGAAAGGAACAACCGGTACCAGCTGCTGCAAAATCATGCCAAAATGTAAAGACCATCGAGACTAGGAAGAAACTACATCAACTAACGAGCAAAATAAACAGCTAACATCATAATGACAGGATCAAATTCACACATAACAATATTAACTTTAAATGTAAATGGACTAAATGCTCCAATTAAAAGACACAGACTGGCAAATTGGATAAAGAGTCAAGACCCATCAGTGTGCTGTATTCAGGAAACCCATCTCATGTGCAGAGACACACATAGGCTCAAAATAAAAGGATGGAGGAAGATCTACCAAGCAAATGGAAAACAAAAAAAGGCAGGGGTTGCAATCCTAGTCTCGGATAAAACAGACTTTAAACCAACAAAGATCAAAAGAGACAAAGAAGGCCATTACATAATGGTAAAGGGATCAATTCAACAAGAAGAGCTAACTATCCTAAATATATATGCACCCAATACAGGAGCACCCAGATTCATAAAGCAAGTCCTGAGTGACCTACAAAGAGACTTAGACTCCCACACATTAATAATGGGAGACTTTAACACCCCACTGTCAACATTAGACAGATCAACGAGACAGAAAGTCAACAAGGATACCCAGGAATTGAACTCAGCTCTGCACCAAGCGGACCTAGTAGACATCTACAGAACTCTCCACCCCAAATTAACAGAATATACATTTTTTTCAGCACCACACCACACCTATTCCAAAATTGACCACATACTTGGAAGTAAAGCTCTCCTCAGCAAATGTAAAAGAACAGAAATTATAACAAACTGTCTCTCAGACCACAGTGCAATCAAACTAGAACTCAGGATTAAGAATCTCACTCAAAACCGCTCAACTACATGGAAACTGAACAACCTGCTCCTGAATGACTAATGGGTACATAACAAAATGAAGGCAGAAATAAAGATGTTCTTTGAAACCAATGAGAACAAAGACACAACATACCAGAATCTCTGAGACGCATTCAAAGCAGTGTGTAGAGGGAAATTTATAGCACTAAATGCCCACAAGAGAAAGCAGGAAAGATCCAAAATTGACACCCTAACATCACAATTAAAAGAACTAGAAAAGCAAGAGCAAACACATTCAAAAGCTAGCAGAAGGCAAGAAATAACTAAAATCAGAGCAGAACTGAAGGAAATAGAGACACAAAAAACCCTTCAAAAAATTAATGAATCCAGGAGCTGGTTTTTTGAAAGGATCAACAAAATTGACAGACCACTAGCAAGACTAATAAAGAAAAAAAGAGAGCAGAATCAAATAGACGCAATACAAAATGATAAAGGGGATATCACCACCGATCCCACAGAAATACAAACTACCATCAGAGAATACTACAAACACCTCTACGCAAATAAACTAGAAAATCTAGAAGAAATGGATAAATTCCTCGACACATACATTCTCCCAAGACTAAACCAGGAAGAAGTTGAATCTCTGAATAGACCAATAACAGACTCTGAAATTGTGGCAATAATCAATAGCTTACCAACCAAAAAGAGTCCAGGACCAGATGGATTCACAGCCGAATTCTACCAGAGGTACAAGGAGGAACTGGTACCATTCCTTCTGAAACTATTCCAATCAACAGAAAAAGAGGGAATCCTCCCTAACTCCTTTTATGAGGCCAGCATCATTCTGATACCAAAGCCAGGCAGAGACACAACCAAAAAAGAGAATTTTAGACCAATATCCTTGATGAACATTGATGCAAAAATCCTCAATAAAATACTGGCAAAACGAATCCAGCAGCACATTAAAAAGCTTATCCACCATGATCAAGTGGGCTTCATCCCTGGGATGCAAGGCTGGTTCAATATACGCAAATCAGTAAATGTAATCCAGCATATAAACAGAGCCAAAGACAAAAACCACATGATTATCTCAATAGATGCAGAAAAAGCCTTTGACAAAATTCAACAACCCTTCATGCTAAAAACTCTCAATAAATTAGGTATTGATGGGACATATTTCAAAATAATAAGAGCTATCTATGACAAACCCACAGCCAATATCATACTGAATGGGCAAAAACTGGAAGCATTCCCTTGGAAAACTGGCACAAGACAGGGATGCCCTCTCTCACCACTCCTATTCAACATAGTGTTGGAAGTTCTGGCCAGGGCAATTAGGCAGGAGAAGGAAATAAAGGGTATTCAATTAGGAAAAGAGGAAGTCAAATTGTCCCTGTTTGCAGATGACATGATTGTATATCTAGAAAACCCCATTGTCTCAGCCCAAAATCTCCTTAAGCTGATAAGCAACTTCAGCAAAGTCTCAGGATACAAAATCAATGTACAAAAATCACAAGCATTCTTATACACCAATAACAGACAAACAGCCAAATCATGAGTGAACTCCCATTCACAATTGCTTCAAAGAGAATAAAATACCTAGGAATCCAACTTACAAGGGATGTGAAGGACCTCTTCAAGGAGAACTACAAACCACTGCTCAAGGAAATAAAAGAGGATACAAACAAATGGAAGAACATTCCATGCTCATGGGTAGGAAGAATCAATATCGTGAAAATGGTCATACTGCCCAAGGTAATTTATAGATTCAATGCCATCCCCATCAAGCTACCAATGCCTTTCTTCACAGAATTGGAAAAAACTACTTTAAAGTTCATATGGAACCAAAAAGGAGCCCGCAACGCCAAGTCAATCCTAAGCCAAAAGAACAAGGCTGGAGGCATCACACTACCTGACTTCAAACTATACTACAAGGCTACAGTAACCAAAACAGCATGGTACTGGTACCAAAATAGAGATATAGATCAATGGAACAGAACAGAGCCCCTCAGAAATAACGCCACGTATCTACAACTATCTGATCTTTGACAAACCTGAGAAAAACAAGCAATGGGGAAAGGATTCCCTATTTAATAAATGGTGCTGGGAAAACTGGCTAGCCGTATGTAGAAAGCTGAAACTGGATCCCTTCCTTACACCTTATACAAAAATCAAGATGGATTAAAGACTTAAACATTAGACCTAAAACCATAAAAACCCTAGAAGAAAACCTAGGCATTACCATTCAGGACATAGGCATGGGCAAGGACTTCATGTCTAAAACACCAAAAGCAATGGCAACAAAAGACAAAATTGACAAATGGGATCTAATTAAACTAAAGAGCTTCTGCACAGCAAAAGAAACTACCATCAGAGTGAACAGGCAACCTACAGAATGGGAGAAAATTTTCGCAACCTACTCATCTGACAAAGGGCTAATATCCAGAATCTACAATGAACTCAAACAAATTTACAAGAAAAAACAAACAACCCCATCAAAAAGTGGGCAAAGGACATGAACAGACACTTCTCAAAAGAAGACATGTATGCAGCCAAAAAACACATGAAAAAATGCTCATCATCACTGGCCATCAGAGAAATGCAAATCAAAACCACAATGAGATACCATCTCACACCAGTTAGAATGGCAATCATTCAAAAGTCAGGAAACAACAGGTGCTGGAGAGGATGTGGAGAAATAGGAACACTTTTACACTGTTGGTGGGACTGTAAACTAGTTCAACCATTGTGGAAGTCAGTGTGGCGATTCCTCAGGGATCTAGAACTGGAAATACCATTTGACCTAGCCATCCCATTACTGGGTACATACCCAAAGGACTATAAATCATGCTGCTATAAAGACACATGCACACGTATGTTTATTGCGGCATTATTCACAATAGCAAAGACTTGGAACCAACCCAAATGTCCAACAATGATAGACTGGATTAAGAAAATGTGGCACATATACAACATGGAATACTATGCAGCCATAAAAAATGATGAGTTCATGTCCTTTGTAGGGACATGGATGAAATTGGAAATCATCATTCTCAGTAAACTATCGCAAGAACAAAAAACCAAACACTGCATATTCTCACTCATAGGTGGGAAATGAACAATGAGATCACATGGACACAGGAAGGGGAATATCACACTCTGGGGACTGTTGTGGGGTGGGGGGAGGGGGAGGGATAGCATTGGGAGATATACCTAATGCTAGATGACGAGTTAGTGGGTGCAGCGCACCAGCATGGCACATGTATACATATGTAACTAACCTGCACAATGTGCACATGTACCCTAAAACTTAAAGTATAATAATAATAAAAATAATAATCATAAAAAAATAATAAAATAAAATTACAAAAATTATCTGCACATGGTGGCACATGCCTGTAATTCCAGCTACTCGGGAGGCTGAGGCAGGAGAATCGCTTGAACCCAGGAGGTGGAGGTTGCAACGAGCTGGGATATCGTGCCACTGCACTCCAGCCTGGGCAACAAGAGTGAAACTCTGTCTCAAAACAAACAAACAAACAAACAAACAAACAAAAAACACGAATAGAATGAAAATGGTAGAAATTAGGCAGGGTGTGGTGGTTCTTGCTTGTAATCCCAATGCTTTGGGAGGCCAAGGTGGGAGGATCACTTGAAGGCAGGAGTTCAAGACCAGCCTTGACCTTATAGCAAGACCCTGTCCCTACAAAAAAATTTTAAAATTAGCTGGGCATGGTGGCGCGTGCCTGTAGTCCTAGCTAGGGAGGCTGAGGTGGGAGGATCGCTGGATCCCAGGAGTTTGAGGCTGCAGTGAGCTGTGATTGAGCCACTGCACTGCAGCCTGCGTGACAGAACAAGACCAAGTCTCAAAAACAAAACAAAACAAAACAAAAAAACCAAAACACTGTAACAGAAATAAACACTGCCTTATACCAAAAAATGTACACCTAGGGAAATCATAAACTGCAGAAAGTAAAAGACAAAGGGAAAATCTTCAAGGAAGCAGAGAAAAGCAGCACCTTACCTGCAGAGGAACAAGGGTAAGATAAAAAAGCCAAAATTATCCAGAATGTAGTATATAAGGACAAAAGGAGGGAAAATAGGAAAAGAGAATAAGAGGTAGGATAGAGTGAGAAAGTCCATCTAAAATATGTCTAAACAAGGTGTCAGAAGGAGAGAATACCAGAGAGAATGAATAAGAGGTAAGTTGGACAAGATAATGTCTGGCAATTTTCCACAAGTGCCGAAAGACACAAATACTGACACAGAAAGCCCAATAAATCCCAGGCTATCAGGTGTTACAAATAAAAGGATGGGATGGTAAAAGTCTTGAATTGAGATGTCAAGAATGGGTATAAATAGAAAAAAACAGATCCCACAAAGGGAAGCTGTCTGGGGAAGTGATTGCAGTGGCAGCAATATTAAAGTGAACATGTCTGATGTGTAGCAGGATTACAGAACGAAACTCAGAGGGTAGGGTGAGGATGTCAACAGAGAAGTTGACAGAGCAGCCACAGAAGCTGAAATCTCAGAAGTGAATAGTGCTAAGTGGGAGAACGGGAGGAGGAGAAAATAAGCTGCCTGACACCAGCAAGTAAGTGCAGGTCGCCATCCTTAATTTCTATTTTCTAGATAATAGAATGTGGAATATGTCAACTGATGATCTAGCTCTTCACAGTGTTACGTGTCTCAAGGAAAAAATGCAGGTAAGCATGTTTTATAAACTGTAAAGGGAGGTATAATGTCAGCTGTAAGGCTGTAATGTCAGGCTATTTTACAACCCTGTGATAATTTTGACTTTTGGGGGAAAGAACAATTTTAGGGTCAGCAAATATGCTGATTTACCTAGAAGCATGTATTTTTAATAACATACCAATGTAGTTTTTAGATTTAGCAAAAAGTAATTATACTTTTAATTGCTATTAAAAAATTATATTATTGACCGGGCATCACGGCTCACGCCTGTAATCCCAGCACTTTGGGAGGCCGAGGTGGGCGGATCACCTGAGGTCAGGAGTTTGAGACCAGCCTGGCCAACATGGTGAAACCCCGTCTCTACTAAAATCCAAAAATGAGCCAGCCATGGTGGCAGGCGCCCGTAGTCCCAGCTACTCGGAAGTCTGAGGCAGGAGAATCCTTGTTCCTGGGTTGAAGCCCCAGGCCTGAACCCAGGAGGCGGAGGTTGCAGTAAGCCAAGATCGTGCCACTGCACTCCAGCCTGGGAGACAAAGTGAGACTCAGTCTCAAAAAAAAAAAAAAAAAAAAAAAAAGAAAAGAAAATTATATTATGGTAAATTTCTGGGGAAAGAATAACAAAACAGGATAACAATAGTACTATCTTACATGTATATGCTACAAATGGTTAATGGCATCAAAATCTACTTTCAACAAAAATAAAAAACTTACGGTCCACAATCTCCTTACCCTGCGTTTGGGTCTCATTCAGAAACAGCTTTAGCTTCCTGCTCCGAAGGCCAAACACCTTGGCTGCTTCATACAGAAGACCTTGGTGGGTGAGTCCATTCTGCCCAAGTGGGTTTTCAAGCAGGAGAGTGCCCACTGTCCCCATTAAACACTCTGTGGAAGACAGAACAAACTGGATTAAATCTCGAGAGTTCACCCTCTAGCTCCAAAAGAGGTGGCCACTGCGGACAGCTCTAACAGGCAGTGCTGAGGCCAGCAGTGCGTCCAGGAGCGTGAGTGTGACCGCTGAAGATGCAGTCCATGCAGAAACAGCTCTCAACATTTCATAGAGGTGAAGGGGAAGGGGAAAAAGAAAAAAAAAAAACTTATATAAAAGCCCAGCAGCTTGGGGAGCAGATACTCAGTACACAGTGAAGTGAGGAGCCCGAAGACTTCAGTACAAATGTGCACAATGAGGATCCTAAAATATCAGGAAAAAAATCACTATCAATCTAGTCTGTTGATTAAGGCATGGAGGTATAGAAGTTTTCAGAACATTTTTCCTCAGAAAAGAAAGTAAAATTTGAGATTAAAATGTTTTGGCACTCAAACAATTTAGTTGTAATTTTTACCTAACCAATTTTTTCATTTCCTAACCATGCCAGATGGATGAGGGTCTCTATAACACACCAAAAGAAAAGCCTGTGGTTGCTCCCCAAAGTTGCGTGAGAGCCCACACTTTAAAGCAATACTTTGAAGCCGACTAGAAATACACACATATTTGAATATTAAAGACAACTTCAATGCCCAGCACCCCACAGTCTGCCTGCTGTGGGGAGGCACATACCTTGTGGCTTTGCATTCAGGAGCTGTAGGTTGATATACTGACAAAGAAGAGTACTAGAACTGTTGATCAGAGAGGGAGCCGATCCTGCAGTCACACAAAGTGTTTTTCCACTAAGACTCAGTAAGTCAGTTTGGTTTTGTATTTCTAAAAATAACAACAACAATTCTTTCAGGGTTAACGAACAAATTCAAAACTGAAGTCATTCAATTTTTCCTATTTAACTATCATGTATCTTTTTACGATAATGCTTTCCACTTAATTTCTGTTTATCAAGAGACATTGCCTTTTCTATAAAACCAGCCTTTAATGACATGTAATGGTAGGAAATCTCAATGTTGCAAAACAAACATCATAATATTCATAATCTGAAATATAGGGCTAATTGTTTTCTCTATTTTAGTATTTTCTCTGTATAATACAGCTCCTCTTAAAATTTCCTCCTATATCAGAATCTCAAGCTTCACCATGAAAAACTTACATTAAAAAGTGCTAATTACAGTCAGAAGATGTTATTTGACTCAGGAGCAGATGTGAAAAAAAGCATGATACACAGAACATATGCAGTGTAATTTCATTTAGAGAACATTAAACGTTGCTTGGGGATGCATGCGCAGGCAGATGACTGGTAATGGTTGTGATATAGGACAGGCCCACAGGGCAGCCTCCAAATATTGAGTGGAAATGGTAGGTATGAGACTAGGCTGGGGCACTGGCTCAGGGAACAAGGAAACTGCTGCACCAGTGGCTAGATGCTCATGCTCAGCCTAGGCCCACATGGTCTCTTCTCTCAACCACAGGTGTGGCCTTGTAGGAAGTCTTCCAGGACTGGCTGGCAGAGAAAGAAAACATTTTAGGGCTTGCTGTGTAGGGCTTTACTGCACAATACGCTGTATCATCCAAAGTAGACAATTACAGTCTTAACGGCCCTGTTCTGACTCTGGGTAGCCCTGAAGAATAGTGATGGGTGGAAATCCTCCCAATGGGCACAGCTTCTTTCAGTGCAGCCGGCTGGTCATTTTGCTCAGCAGAAATAGCTAGGAGTAGATCTACACTGATTCATGGACACTGGCCAATAGCTGGACTAAACGAGAACAGCCAGGGACTCAAAGAACAGAATTAGAAAACTGGTGACAAGGAAGTTAGGGCAAGAGGTATGTGGACAGATCTCTACAAATGGGCAGACTATGAATGAGGATCTAAAAATGGGTGAGGCTGGGCACAGTGGCTCACACCTGTAATCCTATCACTCTGGGAGGCAGAAAGGGGAGGACTGCTTGAGGCCAGGAGACTGAGCCTGGGCAATACAGCAAGACCTCCTCTCTACAAAAAAGAAAAGAATTAGCCAGGCATGGTGGCATGTGTCTGTACTCCTAGTTACTTTGGAGGCTGAGGTGGGAGGATTGCTTGAGCCCAGAAGTTTGAGGTTACACTGAACTATGATTGAGCCACTGCACTCCAGCCTGAGTGATCGAGTGAGACCCTGTCTCAAAAAATAAAAAATAAAAAATAAATAATAATAATCAGTGGACATGTTCTATTCTGCCGCCAGCCACTCCTGCCCTTGCCCAATGGATTGATGAACAAAGGGGCCACCCAGACTGGGAGGAAGAATAACCACGGGCTCCACAACATTACTTCCACTCCCTAAGGCTGATTTTGCTACAGCTGCTACTGCGTATCCCACCTACCAACAGCGGGAACCATTACTTGAGCTTTCGATACAGTGTTATTGCCAGGAAAGACAAGCCAGACTCCTGATGGCAGCTTGGTTGTACTGCACTGTTTCCATTATGGGAAAAGGCAGTGCTTTGGTCTTACTGGAACACACACTCCTTTTGGACAAGGATTTGCCACTGTCACCTATAATGCTTCTGGCAAACCCACCATCCATGGAGGTAGAGAATGTCTTATTTACCAACACAGCATTCCACATAGCATCGCTTGACCAGAGAACTCATTTTTCAGCAAATGAAGTGTGGCATTATGTATTAATATATATTAGCCAATTCTTATTTTTCCACTCTCTTATTTCCTTACCATATAACATGAAATATTTTAACGGGTTAACCTTATACCTCAGTGAAGTTAAAGAACAGCAAAAGAGGGATGTATGGCTCAGCTAGAAGAGAAATCAACATCACCCAAAGAAGGATAAGGTAACTTTCTATCTCGTTTTGGGTAATGAAGTTAGCATCTTTGAAGCAGTACAAGAAAGAGTTAAAAGTGTGATTTTTTTTTTTTTTTTAATCTACTAGGGTCTTTATTTGGAAGTTACATATGATTTAAAGAGCCATGTATAGATGTCAAGATCACAATGGGGTGAACTATGGTGGTTTCATCCTGTGTCAATGCAGCTAAGCTAAAACTATTTCCCAGGTTCTCTGTCTGACCTGGTTCTGGGTAATGGCTTGATCACAGACAAATCTACACAGGATTTAGAAGGTAGAAGTTTAGTAACAGTCATTATGCTAAACAGGCTAACATGGGGCCCGTGCCCTTGGCTTTCTCAGGTTGCTGTGAATCTGCCAACTTGTTGGGTTAAGTGGGACAGTGAGCAGCCCACGCTCCTGCCTCTGCTCTTCCAACTTCCAGGCCAGGAATGTGTGCAACTCTCTGGAAAAGTGTACCAGCAGTTTCTTCTGCAAGGCACCTGTCAGTGTGGGATGAGGTCAGATAGATGTGCACTCTAGCCTGTTTTTGCTCGTTTCTACTTCTCATCCTACCGTGACTTTAGGCAGAGATCCAGCTTTCCACTGACTTATCCACCACCTTGGTGGAACCTGGTTAGAGATTTTTCTCAGACCTCTAACTTGCTACCTTCTTGTAGAATTTTACTTGGTTTCTCCCACATTGCTTTTGCTTCTCCTATCCAACCTTTAATGGATACAATAGCAAACAGTTTTCCAGTGGTTCCAACAATTCATAATCCAGCAGTGAATGAGAGTTCCCATTATGCAATATCCCTGACAACATTTGAGTCTGCCAGATTCTTCTAGTTTTTGCCAATCTGGTGGCAGTTAATAGTACCTCACTGTGGTACTATCTTGCAAGTTCCTGATTACCATTAAGATGCACCAGTTGTTCCTTAGTTGGCCATTTGCATTTCTTCTTTTAAGTTATTTAAAAGTTTCTGAAAATGAGCATTCAGATTCATAAAATGAGTATTAGTTTTCTGAGGCTGCCATAGTAAAGTCCCATAAACTGCAGGGGGCTAGGGAATAAAAATAAAAGAAATGTACTGTCTCAAAGTTCTGGAGGTCAGAAGTCCAAAATTAAAGTGTTGGCAGATGTGCTCCCTCTGAAACCTGTAGGCGAATTCTTTTTTGCCTCTTCCTAGCTTCTGGAGGCTCCCGGCAATCTTGGTTGTTTCTTGGCTTGCAGCTGTGTGTAACTCCAATCTCTGCCTTTGTCACCACATGGCATTTTCTCCGTGTGTTTCTATGTCTTCACATGGCCACCTTCTTTTTTTTTTTTTTTTTATTGATCATTCTTGGGTGTTTCTCGCAGAGGGGGATTTGGCAGGGTCACAGGACAATAGTGGAGGGAAGGTCAGCAGATAAACAAGTGAACAAAGGTCTCTGGTTTTCCTAGGCAGAGGACCCTGCGGCCTTCCGCAGTGTTTGTGTCCCTGGGTACTTGAGATTAGGGAGTGGTGATGACTCTTAACGAGCATGCTGCCTTCAAGCATCTGTTTAACAAAGCACATCTTGCACCGCCCTTAATCCATTCAACCCTGAGTGGACACAGCACATGTTTCAGAGAGCACAGGGTTGGGGGTAAGGTCACAGATCAACAGGATCCCAAGGCAGAAGAATTTTTCTTAGTACAGAACAAAATGAAAAGTCTCCCATGTCTACCTCTTTCTACACAGACACGGCAACCATCCGATTTCTCAATCTTTTCCCCACCTTTCCCCCCTTTCTATTCCACAAAACCGCCATTGTCATCATGGCCCGTTCTCAATGAGCTGTTGGGTACACCTCCCAGACGGGGTGGTGGCCGGGCAGAGGTGCTCCTCACTTCCCAGTAGGGGCGGCCGGGCAGAGGCGCCCCTCACCTCCCGGACAGGGCGGCTGGCCGGGCGGGGGGCTGACCCCCCCACCTCCCTCCCGGACGGGGCGGCTGGCCAGGCAGAGAGGCTCCTCACTTCCCAGTAGGGGCAGCCGGGCAGAGGCGCCCCTCACCTCCCGGACGGGGCGGCTGGCCAGGCGGAGGGGCTCCTCACTTCTCAGACGGGGCGGCTGCCGGGCGGAGGGGCTCCTCACTTCTCAGACGGGGCGGTTGCCAGGCAGAGGGTCTCCTCACTTCTCAGACGGGGCGGCCGGGCAGAGACGCTCCTCACATCCTGGACGAGGCAGCAGGGCAGAGGCGCTCCCCACATCTCAGACGATGGGCGGCCGGGCAGAGACGCTCCTCACTTCCTAGATGGGATGGCGGCCGGGAAGAGGCGCTCCTCACTTCCTAGATGGGATGGCGGCCGGGCAGAGACGCTCCTCACTTTCCAGACTGGGCAGCCAGGCAGAGGGGCTCCTCACATCCCAGACGATTGGCAGCCAGGCAGAGATGCTCCTCACTTCCCAGACGGGGTGGCGGCCGGGCAGAGGCTGCAATCTCGGCACTTTGGGAGGCCAAGGCAGGCGGCTGGGAGATGGAGGTTGTAGCGAGCTGAGATCACGCCACTGCACTCCAGCCTGGGCACCATTGAGCACTGAGTGAACGAGACTCCGTCTGCAATCCCGGCACCTCAGGAGGCCAAGGCTGGCGGATCACTGGCGGTTAGGAGCTGGAGACCAGCCCGATGGCCACCTTCTTATAATGACAACAGTCATACTGGATTAGGGGCCCACGCTACTCCAGTATGACCTCATCCTAACTAGTTACATCTGCGATAATCCTATTTCCACAGGTCACATTTAGAGATACAAGGGGTTAGGACATAATCTTTTTTTTTTCAGAGGTCACAATTCAATACGTAACAGCGGGAGAATGCATCTATAATTCTTTAAAAATTTTTCAGGTTTGCTTTATTGAGAATCCAGACTTAGTGAGATCCAGGCATTGTGTTTAATAAAGTTAAAACTCACGGTTGGGTGTGGTAGCTCACACCTGGAATCTCGGCACTTTGGGAGGCCAAGGCAGGGGGACTGCTTAAGGCCCTGGGTTCAAGACCAGACTGGGCAATATACTGACTTGGTCTCTCCAAAAAAATTAAATAAAATTAGCCAAGCATGGTGGTGGCATGCCTGTAGTCCCAGTTACTTGGGAGGTCAAGGCAGGAGGATTACTTGAGCCCAGGAGGCCGAGGGTGCAGTGAGCCATGACTGCATCACTGTACTCCAGCATGGGTGACAGAGTGAGACCCTGTCTCAAAAACAAAAACAACCTCACAACAGAGGACTCTGAAGCCTGAAGTCCACCAGCTAGCTAACAGGTGAGAGGGAAAGATTAGATCCATTAAGCCCAGGGTTTTCAGTCACATGACACAATGAGGAGGCATGAATAGACACTGCAGGCAGGCACTGCTGAAGAGTTGGGCCCTGACTCAAGAGAGTTAGGAAAAATGCAAAAGTTGTATAGTACAACTGACAGCAAATTAAGACCTTCACCAATCCATCTTGAGTCAAAGGACGTAGGCTCCTCTCACTTTCCACATACCTGTTTCATCATGGAAGACAGCCAGCTCTGTATTTTTCACACCAAAAATGCTAGTGACAACACTCTTCAGCTTTAAAAGGTCCAACCTATTGTCACCTTTTGGATTTTCCAGGAGCAATACTCCACCTAAAAAGCCACAAAAATAACACCTCAATCAGACAAATAAAACTAAAAAGAAAATGTTACATTTGGAGGAAAAGGGATACAAAGGGGTTCAAGCCCTAATATTTTTCCTTTTCCCCCAACTATACACTATATATATGTGTATATATAGCTTATTATATACATATAAAAGCATACCAAGGATGGATATATATACATATATATACATATATAGTGTATATGCAATATATACACTACACACACACACACACACACACACACACACATCTCCATCCTTGGCATGTGTTTTGGCAATCCTTGGTAGCTATGGTCCAGGCATAGAACTCTACCAGGCAATCTGTTCTTGTCTTTTTCTAGATTTAAACCTTTGTATTCATGATTCTTATTTATGATTGTCATTTTTCATTTTGTGCCATATGTATATTCCCACAGGTCACGATGGTTAAAAATACTATCTGACCCCTGATGTTGATTTATTCTGCACCTTAGATTCATGTACGGATATTTACTTTATTAATATATTTGAACATTTTGAGTTAATTGTAGAGCCAAATGCACGTAGTGAGATACCACAGGCCCCTTACCCAGTTTCCCCTAATGGTGACATTTTACAAAACTACAGTGTATACCACAACCAGCATATTGACACTGATGCAATCCACTGATCCTATTCAGATTGCCTCAGTTTTACTTTTACTCACTGGGGCATGTGTACACGTGGGTATGTTTAGTTCTATGCAATTTTATCACTCGTGTAAAATCCTGTACCCATCACCATCATTAAGATACAGAGTAGTTCTGCCACCATGAGAATCCTCGTGTTGCCTTTTAATATCCATACCCAATTCCCTCCCAGGCCCATTCCCTCCTTAATCCCTGGCAAACAGTCTCCATTTCTATAATCTTATCATTTAAAACATGTTATGTGAATGCAATCATACAGTATGGAACCTTTTGGGACTTTTTTTATTTGGCAACAATTTCTTTTCTTTTCTTTTTTTTTTTGAGATGGAGTTTAGCTTTGTCGCTCAGGCTAGAATGCAGTAGTGCGATTTCGGCTCACCGCAACCTCTGCCTCCTGGATTCAAGAGATTCTCCTGTTTCAACCTCCCAAGTAGCTGGGATTACAAGCACCCACAACCACGCCTGGCTAATTTTTGTATTTTTTCAGTAGAGACGGGGTTTCACCATGTTGGCCAGGCTGGTCTCAAACTCCTGACCTCAGGTGATCTGCCTGCCTCGGCTTCCCAAAGTGCTGGGATTACAGGCATGAGCAACTGTGCCTGGCCTCAGTTGGCATCAATTTCTAAGGATTAAAATAAGTTACTGTGCTGATAGTTGTTCCTTTTTATTACTGTGTAATGTTCTATGATATGTACCCCAGTTTGCTTAGCCATTTATCTGCTGAAGAATATCTGGGTCATCTATAGTTTGGTGCTATTATGAATATAAGTACTATATACATTCATGTGGTGGTGAACATAGTTTTCAGTTCTCTGGGATAAACACCTAGGAGTGCAACTGCGAGTCATTATAGAAAGCACATATTTAGTTTTCTGATACTGCCGAACTATTTTCCAGAGTGATCATACCATTCTATATTCTCACCAGCAATGTATGAGATACAGCATTTGGTGCTGTCACTACTTGCAATTTTAGTCATTGTGATAGCTGTGTATTAAGACCTCAATGTGATTTCAACTTGAATTTTCCTAACGGCTAATGACGTTAAATGTTGTCATGGACATTTCTGTCATTTGTATATTCCCTTTGGTAAATGTCTGTTCATATCTCTACCCCATTTTCTAACTGGATTTTTCTTTACTGTTGAGATTTAAAAGATCTTTACGTATTCTAGATATGTCTTTTGTCAAATATGTTGTTTTATAAAGATTTTCTCCCAGTCTGTAGCTTGTCTTTCATCCTTTTATAGGATGTTCAAAGCAAAACCTAAATTTTCATTTAGTTCAATATATCACTTTTCCCTTTTAAGGACAGTGTTTTGTGTCAAGGCTTTAAAACTCTTTGTTTAATGTTTAAATGAAAAATCTTAAGACTTTTCCAAAAATACTAGTAGAGCACTTTGGCCACCTAAGTAAGTAACCTTAATTTATTCCATCTGCTGGGAATATACTTTTGATCCAGCTATTGTTTCATAAACTAGTGTGTTTTATATTATAGTACCTAGCACATGGCTACAGTTTTCAAATGAAAGCTAAGAAATCTGCTTATCTGTATGCTTATACATGCCTGTGCATGTAGGTATGTTACGTATATGTGTTATTTTTTTCTTTTTTTTTTTTTTTTGAGACGGAGTTTTGCTCTTGTTGCCCAGGCTGGAGTGCAATGGCATGATCTTGGCTCACAGCAACCTCCACTTCCCGGGTTCAAGTGATTCTCCTACTTCAGCCTCTCGAGTAGCTGGGATTACAGACATGTGCCACCATGCCCAGCTAATTTTGTATTTGTTTTTTTTTTTTTTTTAGTAGAGATGGAGTTTCTCCATGTTAGTCAGGCTGGTCTTGAACTCCTGACCTCAGGTGATCTGCCTGCATCGGCCTCCAAAAGGGCTAGGATTACAGGCGTGAGCCACCGCACCCAGCCATGAGATGTTTTTCTACCTCCAGATGGTATGGTCAAAAATTAATTCATAAAAGATTTCTATTTAATTGATTTAAAGAAAAATAAGCATTTCACATAAATTAAGTATTCTCTCAGCAATATAGAAACCAACACACATGCTTTTCAAGTTCATGTGACTTGGGTAAGAATATATAATGCAGATATACAACTTTTAAATCCTACCAGGATTTATTATCAAATAAGTTTATGTTACCTCCACTACATATTTATAATTATACAACTATGAGTTCAACCTATGAACAATGTGCAAGTGGGTGCCAGTATCCATTACTTCACGTTTTTCGAGTGCAGCAAAAAAACAAAAAATCTCATCTATTAAACTTTTTAGGATTCTTGTTTTTGTGAAGACTGCCGAACATGCACATGCTGTAAAAGTAGCTAACAGAGAAATAACTTAATGATAGCTAGCTTTGTTTGTGTTATGTCTACTCAAAAATAGCTCCCCACTGGTAATTTACAGCCTAGGGGTTTTGTTAATTTAAATGATGAATATTCATTGGATATGTAGATATTTTCCAAATAAAATACTGAAGCATTAATAGTGGAACATAAATTATACTACAAGGAAGCATATGTTTCTACAAATTTGATTCATAGATTTGCCAATCTATAGAATGCTGATGTGACAGTTATAACTAGAATAAGAGAAATGATTCTGTATGTGAGGAAAAGACATGGTTTTGGTAAGGTGAAGCTATGAAGTATGAAGGATGTGTGTTCGTTAAGAGAAAAAGACTAACTTTTGCCTTATAGTAGAATGACTTGTTTCACAGTAAGAGGAAGAATTTAATCCAAAACAGAAGGGTATGAGAAAGTTGTAGTAGGTTTGTGGAAGAGGAATCTTGGAAAAGGAATTTTATGTGTGGTCAACCTGGGTAAGTTCTGAATGAATTTATTTATAAATTATCAAATTAATAAGCCTTAATAATACCAGCACTTTGGGAGGCTGAGGTAGGAGGATTGCTTGAGTCCAGGAGTTCAAGACCAGACTGGGCAGTGTAGTGAGACACTGTCTCTACAGAAAAGAAAACAGAGAAACAGAGTCCTCTCTATTAAAACTGCTCAGGTCTTTTTATAACTTTGTGACTTTCTATATTTGCCTTTGATATTTTTAATTATCACTCTGGTTAAATGAGTGACTGTAGCTTCAGTGACCTGCAATCCTATTAATCAAGTGTTTTAAGCCTTTGATATTTTTTACTAGCTTCCCAAAATCAAACTCTAAACTTAAGTCTTTCTGACCTCAAGCTAACTTTGGGAGCTTTCAGAGGCCCCCTGAAATATCTCAAGAGAATTTTCTTTCATTATGAAGAGAAACAGTAAACAAGTTAGACTTATTTGACTACGTTAGATCTGCATGGGAAGCGCTGTCAAATAAGAAATGTTGTTTAACCTTCTTTAACTTGTACAAATAATGTGTTCCAGAAATTGTGTGAAATTCTTAGAAATCTGATAGCCTGGTCTAATGTTATCAGTCATAATTCTAGTTACCTTAAAATGCTGTATACCACAGAAATAACTAAACTTCCTTGTCAATTGCAACATTAGTATAATGAACTCTCATTAGATATTTAACCATGGCCATTTAAAGTCTTGTCATCCAACGATAGTTAATTGTTTTACTCTGGCACTTTCCTGAAAACTATTGTAAGCAACAGTGAATCTAAAGTGTTTCATCTTTGAGGAGATGCAATGGAAAGGACTCTGACAAGTACAGGTTTCTGATGTTAAGATCACACCATTGGACTGGGTAAGAATTATCATAACTCTTGTGAAGTAATTAACTAATTCATGATGCTGTCACAATGGCAATGACATTTTAACCTGAGTTTTGGAGGACACACTCAAACCACAGCAGGATAGAAGATACATTTTTACTATATTGAATCTTCTAATCCATACACGTCTCTCCACTTACTTAGATTTTGTCTGATTTTTTTCATCACTATTTTGAAGTTTTCAGTATACAAGTCCCAACATGTTTTATTAGGTTTACATCTGAATATTTTTTTGGAGACAAGGTCTCACTGTGTGGCCCAGGCTGGAGTATAGTGGCATGATCATGGCTCACTGCAGCCTCCATCTCCCAGGCTCAAGCAATCCTCCAACCTCAGCCTCCCAAGTAGCTGGGACTAAAGGCGAACACCACCACACTTGCCTAGTTTTTTATTTCTTGTAGAGACGGGGTCTCACTTTGTTGCCGAGGCTGGTCTCGAACTCCCAGGCTAAAGTAATCCTCCTGCCTAAGCCTCCCAAAATGCTGGGAATACATGCGTGAACCACCACGCCTGACCTAGCATCTTTTTTTAAGTGACTGTAAATGATACCACATTTTTAATTTCATTGCCCACTTGTTCATTGCTAGTATAGATTGCTATTATGAAATAAAATTCATTTTTGTATGTTTATCTTACATCCTGTGACTCAAAAGTTTTTTTCTTTTTTATAAGCAATATGATTTCTATTCAATTACTTTGGAAACCCAATTAATGCTTGAATCCAAAGGGTATAGAAAAAGGCCAAACATTTAAAAATAACAGATTTAGCGATGATTTGTATGGTTTTTTCCCTCATAATATGAATGCTTTCAGCAGGACAGTAAATTGCAAAACATATCAAATCATATTAAGGCAGACGACCAAGCTGTGGCTGCATTTAAAGCTATTACTAAGAAAATAATCTTGGAGTTGAGAGCTCTTCTTTCCAGGTGTCTGGTCAACTGACCCAGGAATGGCCAGTCCTGGAGTTGGTAGATGGGAAAATAGGCCCTACCTGTCTTATCACTGCTCATGCTGCTGGCCCTCTGTACAAGAACACTGTTCTTGTTTACATTACTGATGCACACCACTGACCATCCGATTCCTTCTACAGGGTAACCTGAGACAGCCAGGATGTTGGCAGTGATGGACCAGCTCAATGCCATACAACATCACTGAAGTTGCAAAGCAGTTCAGGGAACCATGTACTGTCTGAGACATCATCACAGGTCTAAATAAACACACAACCATCATGGGAGCAGCTGGCATGGGAAGATCAATATGGTGATCCCAGGCCACATCTTAAAACCAGGCAATATGAGCTTTTTTTTTTTTTTTGAGATGGAGTTCGTTCTTGTTGCCCAAACTACAGTACAATGGCGCGATCTCGGCTCACTGCAACCTCCGCTTCCCAGGTTCAAGTGATTCTCCTGCCTCAGCCTCCTGAGTAGCTGGGAGTACAGGTGACCGCCATCACACCTAATTCTTTATATTTTTTCGACAGGGTTTCACCATGTTGGCCGGGCTGGTCTTGAACTCCTGACCTCAGGTGATCTGCCTGCCTTAGCTCCCAAAGTGGGATTACAGGCGTGAGCCACCAAGCCTGGCTTATTTTTTCAGGTGTTTGTATGTATGTTCCTTATGATTTTCTATAGAGTCAGCTTTATTCCTTTCTTTATCTGCATGACTTTTATTTCCTCGTCATGCCGTGGTCCACTGGCTAGAACTTCCAGTACAATGTCGAATATGAGTTGTGATTGCCTTGTTCCTGATTTTAGGTAGAAAGAATTCAGGCTTTCCCCATTAGGTATAATGGTAGCTGTAGGATTTTTGCAAAATGCTCATTATCCAGTCCACAAAGGTCTCATCTCTTCCTATTTTTGTGAGGATTTTCATCATGAATGGGTGTTGAATTTGATCAAATGCTTTTTATGAATCAACTGCTATACTCATGTAATCTTTTAGTCTGACAATACGATAATTACATTGATTTTTTTTTTTTTTTTTTTTTTGAGATGGAGTCTCCCTCTGTCGCCCAGGCTGGAGCACAGTGGTGCGATCTTGGCTCACTGCAACCTCTGCCTCCCAGGTTCAAGCAATTCTCCTGCCTCAATAATCCTACTCTCCTGAGTAGCTGGGATTACAGGCACGCGCCACCATGCCCGGCTAATTTTTGTATTTTTAGTAGAGACAGGGTTTCACCATGTTGGTCAGGCTGGTCTTGAACTCCTGACCTTGTGATCCACCCGCCTCAGCCTCCCAAAGTGCTGGGATTACAGGCGTGACCCACCTCGCCTGGACTAGATTGATTTTTAAATATTGAATCAGCCTTGCATCCCTGGAATAAATCCCACTTGGTGATGGTGCATAATTCTTTGTATACATAGCTGAATTCTATTTAATAATTTATTGGGAAGAATTTTACATTTATATTCATGTGGAATATCTGTTTTCTATCTTTTTTTTTTCTTTTTTGAGACAGAGTCTCGCTGTTGTCGGCCTGGGCTGGAGTGCAATGGCACGATCTCAGCTCACTGCAACCTCTGCCTCCCAGGTTACAGCAATTCTCCTGCCTCAGCCTCCCGAGTAGGCTGAGATTACAGGCGCCCGCCACCAGGCTTGGCTAATTTTTGTATTTTTAGTAGAGATGGTGTTTCACCATGTTGGCCAGGCTGGTCTCCAACTCCTGACCTCAGGTGACCCACCCGCCTTGGCCTCCCAAAGTGCTGAGATTACAGGCATAAGCCACCGTGCCCAGCCTATCTTTTTTGTTAATACTGTCTTTATCTGGTTTTGGTAGCAGGTTAATAACCACATAAAATGAGTGAAATGTTCCTTCCTCTTCTATTTTCTGGAAGAGTCTGTGTACAACTGGTGTTAATTCTGGTAAGAATTCTCCAGTGAAACTGGGCCTGGAGATTAGTTCAGAGATTTTAAATTACAAATTCATCTCCTTAATAATTATAGGGCCATTAAAATTATCTGTTTGATATTGTGTGAGTTGTAGTAGTTTGTGTTTTTTAGAAACAGGGTTCACTTCAGGCCAGGAACAGTGGCTCAAACCTGTAATCCCAGCATTTTGGGAGGCCAAAGAAGGCCAGACCACTTGAGGCCAGGAGTTTGAGACCAGACTGGCCAACAGGGTGAAACCCCGTCTCTACAAAAAAATACAAAAATTCATCAGGCGTGGTGTGGCACACCTGGAATCCCAGCTACTCGGGAGGCTGAGGCATGAGAATCACTTGAACCCAGGAGGTGGAGGTTGCAGTGAGCTGAGTTGGCATCACTGCACTGTCCAGCCTGGGCGACAAGCATCCAAGTTGTCAAACTTACATATGGAGATTTATTCATAGTATTTGCGTTTTTGATTTTGGCAATCTGTATCAATAATTCTTTTTATTCCTGATATGCAACTGTGTCTTCTTTTTCTTTATTAGTCTCACTAGAGGTTTATTAATTTTGCTGAATTTTTGGGTAAGAACCAGATTTCTGTATCATTAATTTTCTCTATCGTTTTTGTTTTCAATTGCACTGATCTCTTATTTTTATGTTTTTCCTTCTTCTTACTTTGCATTTATTCTGCCTTTTTTTCCTATCTAGTTTCTTGAGTTTAGACCTTAGGTTATGACTTGAAACCATCTTTCTTTCAGTTTTTAGTGCAACAGATTTCCGTCTCAGGACTGCTTTAGCCACATTCCACATATTTTGATGTCGTATTTTCCTTTACACTCAGTTCTATGTTTCTTTCCCTCTTGAGACTTCTTCCCTAATCATGGATAATTTAAAAGCATGTTGTTTATTTTTAAGAGTGTGGAGATTTTCATTATTATATTACTAATTAATAGTTTGATTCTACTGTGGTCAGAGAGCACACTCTGGTTTCAACTGTATTAATTGGTTGAGGTTTGTTTTATGGCCCAGGTTATAATGTATCTCAGCAAAGTTCTGTGAGAGCTCAAAAATAATTTATATTCTGCTATTTTTGGCTGAGGTGTTCTAACTGGTCTATTGATTACTGAAAAAGGTACTTTGAAGTCTCCAACTATAGTTGTAGATTTGTCTATTTCTCCTTTAATGTCTGTATCTTTTTATTTCATGTATTTTGTAACTCTTTTGTTAGACGCATATAAATTTAGGATCACTGTTTTCTTTGTGTACTGACACTTCTATCATTATTTAATGCCCCTGGTAATTTTCTTTGCTCTGAAGTCTGTTTCATCTAATACAAACATGACCATTCCTGCTTCTTTTGATTAATGTTTGCATAGTATATATTTTTCTACCCTTTTACTTTCAACTCACCTGTATCATTATATTAGAAGTTTGTTATAGACAGCATATACTTGGCTAATGTGTTTTTAACAATATGCCAATCTTTCATTTGTTCTGCTTGTTTTTTTGAGACAGAGTCTCGCTCTGTCACCCAGTATAGAGTATAGGAGCGTGATCTTGGCTCACTGCAACCTCCGCCTCCCGGGTTCAAGCGATTCTCCTGTCTCAGCCTCCTGAGTAGCTGGGACTATAGGCGCCCGCCACCAAGCCTGGCTAATTTTTGTATTTTTAGTAGAGGTGGGGTTTCATTATGTTGGCCAGGCTGGTCTTGAACTCTTGACCTCAGGTGATCCGCCTGCCTTGGCCTTCCAGTGTTGGGATTACAGGCGTGAGCCACTGTGCCTGGCATATTTGTTCTGATTTTCTCTCCTAGCTTCTTGTGGGTTACTGATATAGTTTGGATATTTGTCTCCTCCAACTCTCATGTTGAAATGTGATCCTCAATGTGGGAAAGTGGGGCTTAGTGGGAGGTGTTTGGGTCACTGGTGCCGATCCCTCATGAATGGCTTGGTACCCTTGTTGCAGTAATGAGTGAGTTCTCACTCTGTTCGTTCATGCGATAGCTGGTTATTTAAAAGAGCCTGGCTTCTATCTTGCTCCCTCTCTTCATCATGTGATACACTTGCTCCCACTTCATCTTCTGTAAAGCAGAGTAAAAGCTTCTTGAGGCCCTCAACAGAAGCAGATGCTTGTGCCGTGCTTCTCATACAGCCTGCAGAGCTGTGAGCCAAATAAACCTTCTTTATAAACTAGCCAGCCTCAGGTATTCCTTTATAGCAATGAAAAATGGACTAATACAGTTACTTAAAACATATTTTAGAGTTCCATTTTTTATTTTTCTAGGGTTTTATATGTATCCTGTGGTATAGTCTTTTCTTAGTGGTAACTCCAAGTAGTACCTAACATAAACATAACTTCCTAAGGTCCACTGGTGTCAATATTTTACCGGTTTGTGACAAATGTAGAAACCTCGCTCCTTTGTAATTGTCTTAACTATTATTTCTTGTTCAGTAAATCCTTAATGTTGCTGGTAGGTTCTTGGAAACTGTGACTTCAAGCAGAATGATGTACTATATAATAAACCAACTTTACCACAGGAGTTAAGTTCCCATGGCACACAGTACATCACTTCACTTAAAGTTGCAGGACCCAAGAACTCACTGATGATGTTGAGGCCTTAGTGTATATACACAGAGAACCACATCGAACAATGATATAGTGCTTGCTGGACCCATGAGAGTAATGAAAGTCTATTGAATTACCCTCCATTTTGATTTTCCATTTTTCTTTTTTCCTTCCTGATGTTTCTGGATTCCCTCTTTCATTATTTCCTTTCTGTGGTAAGAACATCCTTTAGCTACTCTTTTAGGACTGGTCTGCTGGGAACGGATTCTTTTAGTTTTCTTTCACTTGAGAATGTCTTTATTTTCCCATCATCCTGAAGGGTATTTCTGATTGATATGGAATTCTTGGTAGACAATACTTATCTTTCAGCACTTGAAAAATGCTGCCTTTTCATTTTCTGGCCTCTGTAGTTCCTGATGAAAAATCCAATATCATTTGTTCTTCCCCTGTAAGTTAGGTGTTATATCTTTTTCACTGCACACAAGACTTTTTTTGTCTTTGGTTTTCAAAAGTTTGATTATGATATATGTAGATGTGGATTCTTTTGGGTTTATCCTGTTTGGGTTTCACGCATACCTTAACTGACACTACAGAGGAGTTGCTCGTGGTGTGTGGCCTCACTGCTGCCATGCATTTGTAAATGGGAGGGATGCCTTGTTACTGCCCAGAAGGGATGGAAATCTAGGCTTTCCATGTGGCCTCCACTGATGCCACCGGGCAGAGGGGCTCATTACTGCCCCCCACTAGGATGAAAGTCCCAGCTTCCTACTTTGTCTTCTCTGATACCCCTGTGACAGGGGAGGGGTCTTCAGCTTGGCAAGGGTGAAGTCCAGGCTCCCCACTTGGCCTTTGCTAATGTGGGTGGTGGTGGGGCCATAGTTTTTTCTATGGTGTCTGGCTAGAGTAGAGCAGTTACTGTTTCAAAATTTTCTGTCTTGCTAGGCTGCCCATCTCTTGATCCTTTGTCAAGGGAGCAGAATTTTTGTTGAGGCTTTCTTTGGTCTGTACTTGACATTTCCAGGTTGCCAGCTTCTTCAGTTCCAACTTTGGGTATACGAGGCAGAAAAGAAAACCCTGAACTTACTACTTTTAGGTCACTTGGTTACAAGGTCCTTAGGTGGTCTGCTTTCTTCCTTACATCTTTGAGAGTCTTCTTATGCTTGTTTTTACATGTAATATCCAGGGTGTTTAGATGTATTTAGCAGGAGGAATAGGGAAAACTGTATCTGCTTCATGCTTCCACAAGCATAAGTCCAATCATTTACTTTAGTGGATTCATTTTTCTTTTCTTTTTTTTTTTGGTGAGACAGTCTTGCTTTGTCACCCAGGCTGGAGTGCAATGGTGCAATCTCAGCTCACTGCAACCTCCACCTCCCGGGTTCAAGAAATTCTCATGCCTCAGCCTCCTGAGTAGCTGGGATTATAGGTACCTGCCACCATGCCTGGCTAATTTTGGTATTTTTAGTAGAGACAGGGTTTCACCATGTTTATCAGGTCTTGAACTCCTGACCTCAAGTAATCCACCAGCCTCCGCCTTCCAAAGTGCTGGGATTACAGGTGTGAGCTACCATGCCTGGCCCTTTTTTTTTTTTTAATTGAGGCAGGATCTTATTATGTTGGCAAGGTTAGTCTTGAACTCTTGGCCTCAAGCAATCCTCTCACCTTGGCTTCCAAAAGTGGTAGATTTCAGGAATGATCCACTGCATCTCGCCTAGTGAATTCATTTTGATGACAAGAAGAAAAAGTTATCTATTAAACATGATTAAATAATTATTCCAATTCTCTTAAAAACATCCATAAGTTTTTTTGGTTGTTTTTTCACATCCATAAGTATAACTAAAAAAAAGTCACACAAATCATGGAATTTACTCTTACCTTGTTCACTGCCATTTGCACAAATGTTAAGATTGACATATGCACAAGCAGGACCAGGAAGGGAAGATCCTCTGGTGAGTGTAATTTCCAGTTCAGATCCCTTCAACTGAGCACATGAGAACGTATGACTGAGTAACTGTGGCACCTGACTGCAATGTGCCACACCATCGTGTAACACAGTGACTTCTCAGTAACAACAAGAGCTGTACACAATTGATAACATATTCAATCTCATTACTCAAAGTATCAAAAGCTACAATTTATATCCCATTTTTCTTCTCTTCTTATCCTGGTTTCTTAAAAATATATGCTCACTTAAAAAAAGTCAAATAATTACACAATATGCAAAATACAAAATGAAACTACACTGCAACTCGCCTCACTGAAAAAATAAACAGCCATCATCAGCCCCTCCTTGTCTTGTCCTACTTGTCTCATAGAATGAGACCGGAGCAAATGATTAAGCAAGTGACTGAGGTATATTTTAAATGATCAACTTTTTTTTTTTGAGACAGGGTCTTGCTCTGTCGCCCAGGATCGAGTGCAGTGATGCAATCTCGGCTCACTGCAACCTCCACCTCCTGTGTTCAAGCGATTCTTCTGCCTCAGCCTCCCGAGTAGCTGGGATTACAGGCGTGTACCACCATGCCCAGCTAATTTTCGTATTTTTAGTAGAGATGGGGTTTCACCAGCCCAGGCTGGTCTCGCACTCTTGACCTCAAGCGATCTGCTCGCCTTGGCCTCCCAAAGTGCTGGGATTACAGGTGTGAGCCACTGTGCCCAGTCTAAATGATCTACTTCTAAGTTATAAGCCAATATCTTCCCTACCTTAATATCATACTTTCATAAGTATATCTAAAATTCCTAGATGTAACAACAGAAATGCTATTGTAATCTTTCTTTTTTTGTACTGTACTTTTATGGAGAACCCACTACCAGAAGAGTTAAATGTTTTTCAAGCCAATTGCTATTTACTTTTAATGATAATTACCAGAATCCACACACTGCCTTTTCTAGTTTTAGAAAAAACAGGCCATTTTATTTCCGGGCAAAGCTCATGTACCCTCCTGGCTACCTTCCTCAAGAGAACTGTTGTGAAAACAGTTCCATCTTCCCTCCCTGCTCCATCTTTTCTGAGCTTCCACTCTCTGACTCTACCCACTACTGTCCAGAGCAATACTTCAAGACAGAGTGCTGTGCCGATCTCTACTGTGGGACAGAATATCAACACGTGAGTACACAAAGTCAAACCTAATCTGAAACCCTTTAGTAGTAGTTCAGTGGAACTCAGGACTCACCTGTGTTTTTTCTTGAATAAGGACTTTATCCGATGGAGAAACTGGATATGGTTTCAAGGGAGCCTTTATGGTGGTAAATATGAACTCTGTGTGGCTTTCAATAACACTATTCAGATATGTTCCTTCAGACTTTGCTTTATAGTACACTGTGATTTCATCAGTTGGAACCAGATTGCACTGAAAACACACACAGAAAAATTTAAAAGGGAAGTACATTCTATTAATCAGAACTGAAGGAAGGTACTGTTGAACAAGGGCTACAGATCCCATGCTGAATCATCACAGAAGGGCAGTCACCCTTCCCTCCCTGCTGGGTGATCCGTAAGACTAACTGCACTCAGTACATGATTAACTTTGTGTCTTTTTCACCACTCTTTGGGGGATAGGGCATGTTTCTTTTCCTAGAACAATCAGTACCTCATGAATGTTGAAACCAAGAAATTACTTAGAACCCACTTACAAAGCTCTGAACTGATTCAGAGGTCACAAGCACCCACTCATCTGCTGGAACAGCCTCCTCAGACCTTGAACCGTCTGGGAAGAAAGATGTATGTTAGCTGTCACTGCCCTCTACAGGGCAAGAAATTCCTGATTCTCTCACTAGCAGGGGCTTTGCAGCCCCTCTGCGCTCCAGGATGAGCTCCCTGCATATTCCTCAGCTCTCTAATAAGGAAAAACTACCCAACTCTGTCCAAATCCGGGAATCTCCCCTAAGCTAGAAGCCTGTCTATGCTGACTGCACCTCTGCCCTTCTGCAAAGACACTATCAGCTCTGATTACCTTCTGCTCCAGTCACAGGGGATATTCTGTAGAAGCCCAACGGAGCTAAAAAAAAGGATGGGAAAAGGCACAGGCTGGCTGAAAGCTACGACTTGGGAGTGAACACGTGGGGAGAGGAAGAGGAGTGACTTTTCTGCAGAATACATTCCAAATGGACTATGGATTAGTGATTGTTATGCATTGATCACTATGGTTTATATTACCTGCCTCTCCTATCTTCTCCAAACAACCAAAACAAACAAAAAGCCAAAACAGTAGCTTATTCTTAACTGACAAACTAACCTTTTTGCGAAGTTTCTGTATGCGATTGATGACTTCCCGAGCCATTCCTTCATCTACCATTGACTGGTCAGGAGTGACATCTAAGAGGACCAAAGCCTGTGGGAATGAACAGTGCACACCATGACAATCAAATAAGGAGAAACACTTCTTCCCAACTCAGCAAAATGTTATTTAAATCTGGAGAGTCTATAATGCAGCACTATTTTTTCACACAAATGAGCAAAAGCAATAAAATTAATCTAGTTTATCATTCAGGTACTTCTTCATAATCAGCTAGTCCTCTGTCTCTGGAGAAAGGTGTGCAGGTTTTTGTTTCTTGTTTTTTTGTAGGGTGCTGCTCACAGGAGATGCCCTGGGACCACCTCTTATCAGAGTCCCTCACATGACTCTGCTTTTTGGCCATCTAAGAAGTAATATCAACTCTTCTAATAAGTAAGATCAATAATCATGAAGCCCTTGGAGCAGCACAGCTTTTCAGGCCACAACAAGTGGATCAACGGCCTCAGCGCAGTCAACTCCAAGTGACTTTCCTATACCATGACCCCTGTGATCTTCAGGTTTGTCAGAACGACTCAAGACAAATTCTACAATGGACCACAAAACTTTCTGTGACTTAAACTGCCATATTTTTGCTAAGGTTAATGTTTCTATCTCATCTATTCTGAAGGTTGCTGATTATGATGTAGCAATAATGACACTATCGCTTCTGTTACACAGCATGTTGCAGAGTAAAATATACTCTACAAAAGACTTGTACATTAGGCATCATCTCATTTACCTTTGAGTAAACAGAGAAGTTAAGAAATGACTCACTTCATAAAGGCATCAGAGGTAGTGAAATGCATGATAAACTCAAAATTCCAGTCAGTGCAGGGCCACTACAACATGTAAGCCATGTCAAGAAACTCAGAAGCATCACATGACACTTTTGTAAGGTGGACAACTTTTCAGGCCCCTAACATCTGCTGTAATGAGGAAGAACTGCCCACTGTCAGTGTTTAGAAACCTCCTCCCTGCCTTCTTTCCCAGCTACGATACCTCCGACTCCTTGCCACTGTCTTCCCACGTAGAGTTCTGTACACATCTAACTTAAGCGCCTGGGTAAAGGACTGAGGAGGTCGACCTTCCTTTCATGGAGGTGCTGCTCTACCTTCCCCTGCACATGGTATGCTAAGCACAGAGGGACCCCTGCAATATCCCCAAACCCACATGCGAGATCTTACAACTATGCTGACTGGGGATGTCTGGTCAGGACTGCAAAGAGATAGTCTCTTCTCCAATATGGCAAAAAATATTGATCCTGGAATCTAAAACAGTTTGTATATTCTCTTGAAAAGAGTGTTCCCTGACCACTTTTCACCCTACACCTATTTTTGGATAGGAGCCCTCTGTGTACTTATTTCTACCAGATAACTTATCAGGTAGAATACTAAGAACTGGCTTAATTTCAGGTGTCCTTGACTGACTCATTCCTTGAAGGGTTCATTTTTGTGCAACCCCACACTTGGGACAATGACTGACATGTAGAAATCACAAAATGCTTACTTATGTATTCACTAAACAAATGCATATGTTAAGGGCATAATAATATATTAGTTTAATAAAGCCAATCTAAACCAAGTAACTGGTTTATTTTACCCTGAGACAAGCTGTCAACATTATCAGGAAAGGCACAGGCAAATACTTTCTCCTCTTATGCTCTCATCTCTTGGTAAAGAAATGTTCTAGGAAACAGAAAAATACCTGAGCATCTGAGTGTGCTTCAAATTGCGCAGTCCCACCTGTGGCCTGATCAAAGGTGTACATGAGGCGGATGTCTTCATCGTGCAATTCATGGCCTTCCACAACAATGGTCCCTATGGAGAAGCAGCTACACTGTTAATCAGCTTCCCCTCCTCTTCAAGCTGCCCCACTACCCGTGTATTATGCCCCTTCTTGATTAAAATTTCACAATAACAAAGCCACAGAGGCTTCAAGAGATCATTTCCCTCTGACTCATGTCATGGTTGTAGCCAAGACATGACAAACTTTCTTTAGATTACACTATGCTACCTTGAAGACAGTTAAGTCATCACCAGTATCTACTGTTTTATATAAACTCTCAGGTCCAAAGACATGACAAAGCTAAGGGAAGGCACCAAGAGGCAACAAATGCTCACCATAAACACAGAGCAGCAGGATGTCATGAAGAAAATACAGTCTTTAAAGAGAAAGTGAACTTAGGTCCACTATTTGCTGGTTGTATGACATGGTGTTCTGCTACCTGCTGAGCAAGGTGTGGTGAGGCTAAAATGAGACGGGCAGTGTGTAGTACTGAGCATCATGCCTGTTCAGGGGAGGCAGAAATGTGAACAGCTGCTGATGTTAACACCCCCGCTGATAGGGAGGCCCACTGTTGTCACTGATGATGACCTTCTTGGGCTCTGAGCACCCGGGTGTCATTTTTATGTTTACTTTGTCTCTGTGTTCTGAAGATGATCTTGTTTTCCATCAGTGCAGAACAGTACGCTCAGAAACTAGGCTTTCAATTTCAAATAAGGTTTAGCCCAGGAATTTTTTTTTTTTTTTTGAGACAGAGTCTTGCTTTGTCACCCAGGCTGCAGTGCAGTGGCAGGATCTCGGCTCACTGCAAGCTCTGCCTCCTGGGTTCACGCCATTCCCCGGCCTCAGTCTCCTGAGTAGCTGGAACTACAGGCGCCTGCCACCACACCTGGCTAATTTTGTGTGTGTGTGTGTGTTTTTAGCAGAGACGGGGTTTCACCGTGTTAGCCAGGACAGTCTCAATCTCCTGATTTCGTGATCTGCCCGCCTCGGCCTCCCAAAGTGCTGGGATTACAGGCATGAGTCACCACCCCCAGCCATCTCAGGAATTTTTGATGCTTTGGCTATCTGGCGAACAATTTAGATTTGTGGCTTGAAGGCTCGTAACACTTTGTTATTTTAATATTTTGAGTTGATTAGTAATTAGTAATAACTTGAGGTTTAGCTGCTGATGTCTTATGTTTTATTAATTCTATCTAAATATTTGGAGAATCTTAGGGACAGTTCCCCCATCTGATTTATGAATCCTCAAATCTCTCTTCTCAAGACATCTCCTAGCTTATGATTTTCAACTTCAGAGGAAGCCGTAACAATAAACAGCTTGTGCCCCAGGATAGTTACAGGATGTCAGACAGCCACACTCAGACCATGTATGATTCTAATCATGGCAGAGCTGCAAATTTCTGGGCACCCTGAAATGCTCTGTATAGGGGTAGCAAGATGGGGCTGATTTCCCTTTCCTAATCCCATCATTTGGTTAGGTACCCCCACATGTTTTTATGTTACCCTACACCTTCCCTTTATAACACTTATCAAAACCATAATTATTTTCCCAAATCTTCAATGTCAGCAAGCACCATGAAAGTAAGGACAAAATCACCCTAGGCTCCAGGGATCCTCCCACCTCAGCCTCCAGAGTAACTGGGATGGCAGGCACATACCACCACATCTGGCTAAGTGTGGTAGTATGTGCCTGTAGTGATCTCAAGTGATCTATCCAACTGGGCCTCCCAAAATGCTGGGATTACAGATGTGAGCCGCTGGGATTACAGATGTGAGCCTCTGTGCCCAGCTATTTTCTTTCTAAACTGTAAGAATTATTTATAATAAACATTTTTATCAACAGGAAAAAAAGTTTTACTTAAGAAAAGGATGGACCGGTGCAGTGGCACACACCTGTAATCCCAGCAATTTGGGGGACCGAAGGCGGGTGGATCACCTGAGGTCAGGAGTTAGAGACCAGCCTGGCCAACATGGTGAAACCCTGTTTCTACCAAAAATACAAAAATTAGCCAGGCATGGTACTACGTGCCTGTAATCCCAGCTACTTGGGAGGCTGAGGCAGGAGAATCACTTGAACCTGGGAGGCAGAGGTTGCAGTGAGCCAAGATCGCGCCACTGTGCTCCAGGATGGATGACAGAGCGAGATTCTGTCAAGAAAAGAGAAGAGAGAAGAGAGAAAAGAGAAGAGAGTAAGGAAAGGAAAGGAAAGGACAGGACACGACGGGACACGACAGGACAGGAAAGGAAAGGATGTGATATTAAAAGTCAAACAGTAGCCTAAAAAGTATCCCTCAGACTCAGGACATAAATGGTGCCCTTGTCTGTGTAGACACCTACCAGTCTTCTGGAACTGCTCCAGCTCCTCACTGCTCAACTGCTTGATGGACGTCATCACTGCCTTAAAGGCTCCCTTCAGACGCTTCCCCAGGACCATGTGATCTGGTTCTGCCCTTAGCCGAATGCCATACTTGTTTTTATCTGTAGACAGTGTAACTTTTCGAACATTGAGTTCCTACAGTTAATGCACAAGAGGAAACAAAAATGAGAAATGAAAACATATGTTCACACAAAAATGTAGGTCCACAGCAGCATTATTCCTAACTGCCAGAAAGCAAGAACACTTCAAGTGTCCATCAACTGTGAATGGATAAACAAAATGCAGCATACACATGCAATAGAGTATTTGGCAATATGAAGGACTGAAGCACTCATATGTGCTACAACATAAATTAATGTGAAACATTATGCTAGGTGAAACACGCCAGACATAAAGATTACAAATTGTATGATTCCACTTATATGAAATGTCCAGAGAAGGCAAATCCAGAGATAGCAAATAGGTTCGTGGATGCCAGGAAATGGTCAGATATTGAGGGGAAAATGGTTTGTGAATGTTAATGAATACTGGCTTTCTTTCTGGGACGAGGAAAATGTTCTAAAACTATGGTGATAGTTGTACCATTCTATAAATATGCTTAAAAACCAGTGATTTGTATGGTAAGAAGAAAATGCTTGTTATGAAGATCTATCAAGACAGTTGAGCATAACAGAAAAAGGACTCCAGACCCAGAAATATAAACCTCATCCCTCAGAGGTAACCTTTGTGCAAGCAATTGCAGAGTACCACAAGGTTAACTATTAACTAAGCAGAAGATCAGTTAAACAGAACACTTCATGCTTCAGTCATGCTACTGAGGATTACTGATGCGGCAGGGATGGTGATGGCACAGTAGCGGATGGGAAAATGAGAACAGCTTGAAGCAAATAATACGGAATGTTTAGTTTTGCCATTATATTTAGCTACATTAATTAATCTCATTTTAAGTGAAGTAGTTAATTTCAAAATTTTTCAGCTGGGTGTGGTGGCGCAAACTTGTAATCTTAGCACTTCGGGAGATCGAGGTGGGAGGATCACTTGAGCTCAGGAGTTAGAGACCAGCCCGGGCAACATGGCAAAACCCCATCTCTACAAAAGCCTGTACTACTATGCCTAATCTCCGCCACTTGGGAGGCTGAGGTGGGAGGATTGCCCGAGCCCAGGAGATGGAGGCTGTAGTGAGCCAAGATCACATCACTGCACTCCAGCCTGGGTGACAGAGCGAGACCCTGTCACAAA
Organism: Homo sapiens; assembly: GCF_000001405.40. NCBI lineage: Eukaryota > Metazoa > Chordata > Mammalia > Primates > Hominidae > Homo > Homo sapiens. The sequence goes on from NW_025791788.1 coordinate 83,385, forward strand.
AAAAAAAAAAAAAAAAAAAAAAATTTCTATTTTATGCATAGCCACAGGTACTAATGTCAGAATTTAAAATCTAACTTTTGGTTTCTAATATTTCTCTGCAACTTTCAAGCAACTGAAAACCAAATATAGAAATTAACATTTTCTATAATAATGATTTTAAATATCACCTGTGAAAAGAATAAACAATGAAATTTTAAAAAATATTTGTTTTCTATCATCACAAAGAAGATGAGGTAAAACATATGCGTTTTTAAAACATCATGGAATAAAGATGTTTTAAAATATCATGGAATAAAAATGTTTAGGAAGACAACTGACACTATAAACTTTGACCCCAAAACTCCACTTCTGGAATCTATCCAATATCCATACACTGATATATGCATATATGTACACACAAAGCTTTTGTTTGTAATCAGAAACCTAAATGTCAAACAACGGGACAGTAATTAAATAAATTATGAAGCAGCCAGGAAGTGAGACTCCAGGGAGAAATGGGGTGGAGAGAGGCTCCCTATGCTATTGCTTCGACTTTTTACATGCGAGGGTACTTGTCACTTGCATAATTTGGAGGAACAAAGTTTCTTTGGTAGTTATCAAAAAGTACTTCAGAAGGCCAGGCACAGTGGCTCATGCCTGTAATCCCAGCACTTTGGGAGGCCAAGGCGGGCAGATCACTTGAGGTCAGGAGTTTGAGACCAACCTGGCCAACATGATGAAACCCCATTCTCTACTAAAAATACAAAAGTTAGCTGGGCATGGTGGCGGGTGCCTGTAATCCCAGCTACTCGGGAGGCTGAGACAGGAGAATCGCTTGAACCCAGGAGGTGGAGGTTGTGGTAAGGCACTACTGCACTCTAGCCTGGATGACAGAGTGAGAGACTCTGTCGAAAGAAAAGAAAGAAAAGTAAAGTAAGGGAAAAGGAAAAGGAAAGGACAGGACAGAAAAGAACAGAACTTCAGGGAAGTGAATGAAGATGATAGATGATAGGTAAAGAAATTCATTGATCTTGAAATATTTTTAAAAGAATTACAACAAATTTATGTTGATTCCAAGCACAGTGTAAAATATGGATTATTACATTTGTTATGACTATACTAATAAAAATAAATTATAGAGTCAATATGTACTTTGAGGATTATTCATCAAAATAATGTTCTAAGTCTATCTGTACCAAAAACAGACAAATCATCTACCTTACCTCAATGATATACTTCTCCAAAGACTTGATATCTTTAAGAGCTTCTGGATCTTGATGGATAACCACAATTTCTTTCAAAGGATACTAGGAGGAAAAGGGAGGGGAAAGTTCACTCAGCAGCCAGTCCTCTAAAACTGCAGAAAAATGGAATATTAAATGTTTATTTGAATCTCAAGCTCTAGTCAGGCTGGACTAGTACTAAGTCATTCACACCCTCACTGCAGAAAAGGAAAAAGGCCATTGGTGGAAGCTCTCTATATTAAAAAAGCATTCCAAACACTTAATTAATTTAGGTCTGTGCCATGTAAAATAGAAGTAAAATTTCAAACCTTTATGGGAATAGTTTTTCGGTCTCTGATCACTCTTCCAAGTTCAATCACAGACTGCATCTGAGATACTGCACTCTCTGTTTTCTTGTCAATCAATTCTTCTCTGAGTGGTAGAGGTAGGAATATGAAAGAGTTTAGATTTAAGAGGAGAAAATTGAAGGCACTAGGCATGCATAAGCGAGGAAGAGGGTCAGGCTAGAGAAGTGTGGCTAGGCCCTCCTGGTGAAGCACTGGGGAAGGGCAGCGCAGTGCCTACCACTCAGCACCCGGCATCTCCCCAAGGAGCCCCCATGGGGCATGCCCACACCCCACCTGCCACAGCTCTACAAAGGGGTTCCACACCAAGCATCCTTGCTACCGTGTACCAAAGTGGGCCCCATCCTGCAGCCTGAGGAGTTCATGTCAGCTGGGGCGGGAGGCAAGGCACAGATGGAGCTGGAGCAGGGAAATCCCTCCTCTTCCCCACATGCTTGAGCAACTCTCCCCTCCTTGGCACAGGTGAGGCTTATTTCTATTTGAGTCCTACCGAACACGGGGCAGCATGAGGTAGTGAATGCTGAGTGTGTCCTTGTCCTGAACAGAAACAGGGTCAATCAGCACCTTTAGATTCTGGTACATCAATTCAGTGAGAAAAGGTGTGTAGGGAGCCTGTATGAAGACACAGGACATCATGTCAGTTATATGCAGTCATCAACAACTGATCTCATTTATACTGAGAAACAACTAAACATGTTAGAGAATGACACAGTAATAGGCACCAAAATGAGCATGAGGTTACAAAACATGCCCTGTGAATGAGAAATGGCCTCATATCCCTGAAGCATAGCTGCAGGACTGTAGATAGAAAAACCCAAAGCACCTCTAGAATTCTGAAGGATGTCTAAAATAGAAACAGGAGCACCTAATGATGTATCAGCCAAGTCAATATGCACAGAAGACTGACTGTCCCACACCTCAGAAACCTCATCTGTAAACTGGGGAAAATACCCCCTGCTTCACAGGATGGAGGTGATGAGATCAGGCATGGAGAGCACCAGGCACAGCACCTTGTACAAAGCAGATTTTCCTTCGGTTAAGGAATAAATAGGAGCCTTATAACATATGGAGTAAAGGAAACAGGATAAAAAGAATTAAAGTTGGAGCCGTTCCACTTTTATATTATTTAACTAATATCTGAACTGATAAGAACATATATCAAACAATTACTTGCACGTTTTCCTCTCAATGCTAAGTTAAAGTATTTTTTGTGATATATATATATTTACTCAGACAGGTATTAGCTGAAGAACCTCCCCCATTACTCACAATTATGGCAATCCACATTAAGATGAGGTATGTCTTACTTTGAACTGTAGATCCTCATTCTAGAGCCAAGGGCCCTGACATATATTGTACTGCCAGAGACTGTAAGAAAGAATCTAGTATTTCTTAGTCCTTACTTAACATGTATAAGCTAACAAGATTTCTGATAAGGAACTAGAGCTATAAGGTGTTATAAAACTTCTATATCTATTTTTGGCAGAATAATACAGAATGGATATAAATGGAGGATGCTGCAGCAAGTAGGTGCTGAAGGCAGCCCATAGGCCAAAGGGTACTAGAAAGAAGCCAATCATCTTACCATAAGTCTGCAAAGAGAAAGCAGAACACTAAACAAGGTTTCTAGGGCCATGACACAATCCTCCATCCCATTTTCACCCTAATGAGTAAAAAGGAAACATAAACATTAAACTGTTAAATAAGTGTTTATCATTAAAAAAATAAGTTTATTAAAAAGAGGCAATCTTCAAAGAACATGCAGCATACAGACAAGACATGAGACAGAGAAAGGAGAAAGGGCCACGACCACAGGCCATCCACGGTCAGTGCCACCAGGGTGGCCCTTCAGGGCAGTGCAGGAGGCCTGGCCAGGATGTGCACCTGCTGTCCCACTGACTATCCCCACCTGAGGCGAGCTGACAGGGAAGTAGAGCCTAACTGTAGGACCCGAAGGCTGAAGGTAGAATGGATCTACCCACAACAGACAAAAACAGTTGCTAACCAAAAACTTTAAAGTACCTTTAAATAAGATTTATGTTAAAAAAGTATATAATGTGTATTAAAAAAAATACCAATTCATTGAAATTTTTTCATTATCTTTGTTTTTCCTACAATCATAATTAATTTATCCAGAGACAACTACTGTAAGCATCTTAGCATATGTCCTTCTAGATACGTGTGTGTGAGATACATCTGCACAAAAATGAAATTACAGTTGTGTTGCAGGCTTTTATTATTAATGCCTTTTAAGACATGACTGGCCAGGCACGGTGGTTCACACCTGTAACACCACTGCTTTGAGAGGCTGAGGCCAGTGGATCACCTGAGGTCAGGAGTTTGAGACCAGCCTGGCCAACGTGGTGAAACCCTGTCTCTGCCAAAAATACAAAAATTGGCCAGGCGTGGTGGTGCACACTTGTAATCCCAGCTACTGGGGAGGTTGAGGGAGAACTGCTTGAACCTGGGAGGCAAAGGTTGTAGTGAGCCAAGATCATGCCACTGCACTCCAGCCTGGGTGACAAGAGTGAAACTCCTTCTCAAAAAAAAAAAAAAAAAAAAAAAAAAAAAAAAAGACATGACTAATGGGTAGTGGGAGCCTTCATTGGGCCTGCAGTAAAGAGACCTCGCTCTCTCTATTAAGCATCATTGTTATTTATGTACCTGGCTTAAGTCCTGAGACCAGGACCTATGCTCTGCTCATCCTAAACCCCCAACAGCTACAGAGGAGTTCTGTCCACAGTAAATAATATCTGACTCCCTTGTGGTAGAAGGAAGTACCCCTCTCAATATTAATGCCATATCTACCAGTATTTTTATAAAATATTTGCATGATTTTATTTTGAATTTTAAGAGGTCTGCTCAGTGTAGTCCTGTTTGTGCCTTGACATTCTCCCTCCAATATGACATGTACATAATTGTGTTGTGAAAATAATGCAAAATGACTTTTAGAACTTATAGATCCCTATCCCTCAAATGACAAATATAGTTAAAATGCAATGTAAAAGGAAAAGAAAAACAAAGCTTCAAAAACGGAGAGCAACTGAAAATGTTCCTCTCCCTTCTGGCTATTCTCATATTTCTTCTACTTTCAAACTTCATACACTTTTTGCTTTTCCCAACAGCAGTCTGCACTTACCTTTAATCTTCTGCGGTTCATTCTAACATACCAATTGGTCAGAATATCTACAAACTTGACCAGGCGAGGCACCACAGTATAAAGCCTATAAGCTAAAAGTAAGACAAGTCAATCAGGCAGCAAGTGGGTTACCAGGCATCTGGGGTGGGGAGAGGGTTGGATACAACAAAGAAGGGGCAGCTCCTTCCATCCAAGTGCCTCCACTTACTAAGGAGAAAAGAACCAAAATGAATCAATCACATAATGACTGTTTGTTGAGGATGTGCTACATGGCAGTCAGAGTGTTTAGGGGTGCACACAAAAAAATCACCATGTGAGCCACATGCGAATTCCCATTGGTCAGTGAGAAAAGCCAAAAACTCCAGTATGTGTGGATCAAAGTCCAAGACTGCCCACTACACAACTGTAGGAAGTGCCATTTACACGGAGCTGTGCAATTTGACAGCATCAACAATGCCCAACTTCTTTCCATTGTATTACACTGTACTTCAACTAAAAGACAAAAAGCACAATTCAGATGCTAAGAGGCACAGCATAGGCCAGTGATTCTCAAACAAAAGCAATTTTATCCCATGGGAAACATTTGTCAACGTTTGGAGAAACATTTTGCTTGTCACAACTTGGAGGGTAGCACGGTGCTACTGGAATCTAATGGGTAGACCCAGAGATGCTGCTCAGTTATAAAGCACAGCACAGCCCCACCACAGAGGATGACCTGGCCCAAACTGCCCATAGTGCTGCAGTTAAGAAACTCTGGCACAGGCTATGAATAAAATAGAACTGGCCTTCTAAACATTAAAACAGTCGAGTAAAAACAGCATCAGAGGTAGTGAAGGTCTTGAGGAATTAGGAGGATTTGAAGAGTTCCCTGAGAAACTCAGAGATCAAGTAGGAAAGAAAGGGTGTTTAGCCAATTGTCTGAGGCAAGGCTTATTTTAAGGATTCTCATTCACCTCCCATTTAATTAATACTCTTTGTTACATAAAAACAAACACAAAAAACAAAAAGAATAAGACCGATACTTAGAAACAAATACAATTTATAATAATGAAAAGAGTCCAGGGACTGTTAATGAGGCTTCTGGTCTAAGCTAAGAGACGAGAAGTTGCAACCGGCAGAGCTGCTCTCTGCTGCTTTTCACAAAGACCAGAACTCAGATGTCAGTGGGCTGAGCCCCAGGCCAGAGTCGTTAGCTGGTCACACTTTCTTAGACATGTGATTTCAGTAACTGAGACCTGTCTAAATGATTTCTAGGGTTCACGGCACTTTTTACCTTCCAGGAAGCTCAGGTTTTCTATGTTCTGGTTTCAACTCTGAGGGAGTAAATGAACCCAAATAGAACTCCACATACAATGGATAAACATACAACACACAGGGGCAGCAGCAGCAGCCACTACCCAGGCCACCACCACCCTGTGAGGCAGGTCCTCTCATACCCACAGTGCTCCTGAGGGAGTGGAGGACATGAAGCTGACAGGCCGGCAGAACCGGGACTTAAACACGGCCCACAAAACGTGGCTGCCGATCTCCAGTTTCCAGGCAGACCAGGCTCCAGCCAGAATGCGCATCTCCAGACCCAGCTTCACAGGAGGTCATGGCAGCTGGTGCCCAAATATTGAAGGGGGTCCGGGCAACAATCCCCACGTTTCCCACCCACTTGTATCACTCAGGAGGGAAAAGCAGACACAGGTGTGAGCATGTCTGGGGAGTGTGCTGGGCTCCCAGTGCTGCCCTCGCCAGGGCAGCACTCAGCCTCACACTCACTTCCATCTTCATCTGTGTCTATCTGAGCAACAGCTGGACTGTCGTGATCCTTCTACATGTTTAACAAGGTGGACAAATCCTGTAGCAGTCCTTCTGTGCTAAATGGGGCAGCAGCGCCTACTCCAGGGAGCAGCATGTGCCCGTATCTAGGCTAATGGTGAATCCCAGGTCTGTGGCGGCCGCTGCTCCTGCCCAACAGCAGCAGGAACCGCAGAGCCCTGTGAGGGTGGATTTGCCTTGCCCTCTTTTGCCCTCACTGTGACCCAGGGCCTCTGTCCACCCACTTTAACTGACTGTCTGAGGTGTCCCAGATTTCTCACCTGGACCTACAGTTGTGATTATCTCAAACCTTAAGGAAGCCAACATAATGTACTTTTTGAATCTCTGTAAAATTACCCAACGAACTCACTGTTGTTAGTTAATAGAAATAACAGCAAAATGTCCATTTCATTATTGCTCTTCTGACTTTTCTAATTTTTCTGGAAAAGAAGGGGACTATTTAGTAATGAAAATAGAACTAAAAATAAGTTATAAATGCATTAATAACAAGTATTATTTATTGAGTACCTATCATCTGCCAGCTACTTTATGTAAATCGTCTCTACTTAAGCCTTACAAACACTACTGGGCATTCTGCAGATAAAGAAACTGAAGGTCAAGATAGGCTGAATAAGAGTGGCATCTGATGGCACAATGGGGTGATTTCAGTCAACAATAATTTCTTGTACATTTAAAAACAAGAAAAAGGGTATAACCGAGATGTTTGCAACACAAAGATATGATAAATGCTTGAGGTGATGGATATCCCATTTACCCTGATATGACTATTACACACTGTATGCCTATATAAAAATATCTCCTGTACCCCATAAATATATACATCTACTATGTACCCATAAAAAAAAAAAAGGAAATTGACGGTCAGACTTCAGGCAACTCTCTGGATTGGGAACAAGTGGTAGAGTTGGGCTCTGAACCCATGGCTATCCAGCTCTAAAGCTCTTCTGTGGAGCATTGAGACCACGAGGACACCCCCTAAAGACAGAATTCCCCAGGGCTTTTTTTTTTTTTTTAAGATGGAGTTTCGCTCTTATTGCCCAGGCAGTGGTGCAATCTCAACTTACTGCAGCCTCCGCCTCCCAGGTTCAAGCAATTCTCCTGCCTCAGTCTCCTGAATAGCTGGGATTACAGGCGCCCGCCTCCATGGCCAGCTAACTTTTTTTTTTTTTTTAAATATATTTTTAGTAGAGACAGGGTTTCGCCATGTTGGCCAGGCTGGTCTCGAACTCCTGACCTAAGGTGACCTGCCTGCCTTGGTCTCCCAAAATGCTGGGGATTACAGGCGTGAGCCACCACACCAGGCCAGAAGTCCCCAGGGTCTTGAAACAAAGATATCACGACAATTAACAAGCCTTAACAAAACTATATGAGAGGTAAAAGGAAACAATTATTTAATTTTCTGTATCTCTCAATATTTCCACTATTAAATATCAAAAGGGCAGTTACAAAGAGAATAGTCCTTATTCCTGGGAGGACAGACCAAGAGAGACTCACCTGCCATTTCAGTCTCAAAGAAGCCAATGAGAGACTGCATGAAGGACAGGATCCACCGGTCTGTAATGTTGGGGCTTTCTCTAACCGTGTTCTCATTGTAGAGAAATTCTATTTCTTCCTCCTAGGAAGGAACAATTAATGAAACACTGGCACACTTGGGAAGAAAGTTACTATGAGGAAATAAACTTCTTAAATCACTTAAACAAAAACAAAAAGAAAAAATCCCAGACCCTACTGGCAATGTGAATTTCTGATTTTCAGCAATATTTTCAAGATAAGCACCAACGTGGCACATTAAGTCCTCAATTAATTTATTATGTTTTTGAGTAAACTGAAGAGAGTTTAGGAAAACATTACTTCTCTGCACCAAAGAGTAATTATGAATTGAAAGATATTCTAAAATCTTGTCAGAAAAGTGTAGGGTTTAGTTACTTTAAACCTCAGGAAGGAAGGACAGTAGAACTGTCTAGGATTGAATGATTGTCCACAAACTGAAAATGAGTACTGGGAAATAATTTCCATGCTAAGGCTGTTCATTTTACCCAGAAAGTTCTATCCCACTCTTTTTGCTTTGCAAAATCCTCCTTGATCTTAAGTCCTTGCTCTACAAACAGAACTCATGTCCTGCTTTGTTTCTCTGGCAGCACCACAACCAGGCTAGCGGGGCAGTGATAATGTGACTCTTCCTCTGTGTTTAAGGCCCTGATCATGGAGTCTGTGTCTTGCTGGTATATTCAGATGGGCCCTGGCTGTGGGGAGCTTTGACCCCGCCTGTATTCCTGAGTCCCACACCAGTGGAGACCTGCAGAGTGCACCTGCCCAAGGACTGTTTGCCCTACTTGGCAGAGAACCACATGCAGGACAGGTGGCAGGCTGCAGAGAGGAGGAATGCTGGGAGCCTGGGGAAGATGACTGCCCTTCTCAATTCCTGGGGAAAGGCTACTCTGAGAGCCTCAGGTGAACATGATGTGTCCTCATTAGCAGAACAACCAGAGCCCAAGGGGAGCAGAAGTAATTGACCTGCCTGCTGGAGTGGGATAACAAGAGTTCATTTTTCCAACCAGCTTTTTCATCTGCTCAAGCAGGAATAATATCTCATTTTCATTCAACAGTTATTTACTTACAAGCAATTTTACTTGTAAGGTGCTGGAGATCAGATGTGCAGTATCGGAACTCTGACCCCAAATCAGGTCTTGAAAGCCCATACAGGAACATGTTCAATGAAGGTGATGGACGCTGACAATGGTCAGTTGTGGGGCATGGAAGGTGGCTCTAGAGCAAGGGCTTCTCAGGTGAGAAAGTAACTCCTGGGCGTGGAGGTAACTGCCATTGAAGTACACTTCCACATACATCACAACTATTATATGTGACCCTAACAACCCACTGAAAACTCCATCGAGAACTGCTGTCACTCTCAGATTAGCCCAAATGCCACCCCACTGAGGGGCCTTCTCTGACCACCCATCTCAAGTGGCCAGCCCTAGCTTGCCTGTGACTCCGCCTTCACTGGGTGCTCTCTCTAAAAGTTGCTGACTCTTTACTGTATCTCCCAATTCCCACTCCATTGGTTCCATAAGGGGAGGGGTGTCTCACTCAACATGGTGTTCCTGGTACCAAGAACTGGCTGACGAAGCTGGGTGCCGTGGCTCATGCCTGTAATCCCAGCACTTTTGGGAGGCCAAGAAGGGCGGATCACCTGAGGTCTGGAGTTCAAGATCAGCCTGACCAACATGATGAAACCAAGTCTCCACTAAAAATATAAAACAATTAGCCAGGCATGGTGGTGGGTGCCTGTAATCCCAGCTACTGGGGAGGCTGAGGCAGTGCCTCAACCCAGGAGGCAGAGGTTACAGTGAGCCGAGATCGTGCTATTGCAATCCAGTCTGGGTGACAAGACTGAGACTCCACCTCAAAAACAAAAACAACAACTGGCGACTAAACAACTATATGACATAACTCTTTTGCAGGCTAGGGCCCATGGTCTTGGCATAGCCCGGACCCTAGATACCTTCCGCACCTGCATGTATGGCCTCCCCATGGCTCTAAGTTACCCCAGCATCAGGCAGCAGAGAACAGCAGCCCTAAAGTCTCACACAGAGCTCCACCTCACAGCTTGGTGAAGGGAGCGCTGTGGAGACACGGCAGGTACATGTGCAGCCCCCTACAGCCCATACCTTCTGGAGCCTCAGAACGTTCTGGATTAAGAAGCGATAGGCATTGTACCATGGGAGCAGTACATCCTTAAGGACGTCCCGCACACCCTCTTCTTTAAAGCGGAGGTTTTCTGCTCTCACCACAGGGGAGTTAATCAGATATAATCTGGAAGAGGGAGAAAAATTAGACAGAAAAGGTACTTAGACAGTAAACCAATTATTACTACTCGACATATTGAGAGAGCAAGATGAAAATCAGTCCTATTTTCTACAAAAGGGGGTAATTATGAATACTCTTTGAGTGGTCAATTTAAAACTCACAAAACTCACTCTCACTTTCTATAAGAGACTTAGCAAATTATAAAAGACGTATATAATCTGACACCAAAATATGGCACTGTATAGCACAGAAATGCATCTTATGCCACTCTCACTGCAGGACCAATGGGGTACACCAGCACTAAGAGAAAGGCTGGCCTGGTCCTCGTCAAGAGCCACTGTGTCCTTCCCACGGACACGACCTGCATCTGCTGCTTGCAGAGAGAGGGACTCACAAGGAAGAGCCTTCACAGAGCAGAGTCTTGACATCTGGTGGGCAGAGGTTAGGGATGCTGCTAAACATCCTACAAAGAACTACCACCACAAAGAATTACACAGCCCAAATGGGCAGCAGTGCCAAGGGTGAGTCTAAGAGACAGTGGAGAATTGGGGGAGAGCCCCACTAATGGCTCCTGGTCAACAGAGGTACTGTGTGAAGGTGCTGAGTCACAGGCCTGGGCACTGGTCTCATGCCTAGGACACAGGGATGCTGAACAAGATCTCTAGGTCCCTTTCAACTTGAACACTGTGTGGTTTCATGATTACAGCTACCTCAAGCAGTGGCTCAAATTTCTCCAAAAGCTTTTCAATATGAGTTTTTTTATCACCTCTAGCATAGATATATCTCACATGGCTCTGTAAGTACAAAATTAAAACAAATGATGAAAGAGAATTCTAATACCAACAAGACAGGGAACCTAGAAAGGAAGTAAGGCAGAGGCAATCAGCATCTAGCCTGGGGAGGACTTGGACAGCTCAACAACACCCAACACAGGTCCTCTTCCTCAAACAGACCTCTAGGTTTAAAAATGCCTTTATTATTTAGAAAACTATTTTGGGGGTTTAAAATCAACAACCATACCAACATAACATCCAAATAACAGAGATATGTTGCTAAAAACCTAACTATAAACCAAATCTAAGAATACTGATTAATAGTATAGGAGATGCTTACATAAAAAAACAATAGATACACACAAGGCAAAGCACTGGTTTGTACCTGAGGGCATCAGCACCATACTTCTGGATGATGGAAACTGGATCTGGATAATTCTTTTTCCGTTTGCTCATTTTTTGGCCATCACTTGTAAAACAAAAGGGAGATGCCAATTAAGTAAGTCAATATCACAGATGATCTTGTTTTAAGGATACAAATCATTTGCAAACAGGAATATACAAAATGAAATGGGAAGGAGTAACTTAGATAGAAGTTAGTGCTAATAGGCCGGGCGCGGTGGCTCACTCCTGTAATCCCAGCACTTTGGGAGGCTGAGGCAGGCAGATCACCTGAGGTCAGGAGTTCAAGACCAGCCTGGCCAAAATGGTGAAACCTGTTTCTACTAAAAATACAAAAATTAGCTGGGCGTGGGGGCGCACACTTGTAATCCCCACTACTGGGGAGGCTGAGGCAGGAGAATTGCCTGAACCTGAGAGGCAGAGATTGAAGTGAGCCAAGATCGCGCCACTACACTCTAGCCTGGGCAGCAGAGCAAGACTCTGTCTCAAAAAAGAAACAAACAGTGTTAAGGTACAATGGTAAGATATTTTGTTAATATTTGCAAACTTCTTTTTGAATATCATACTAAGTCCATGAGGAAGCTTCAGGGTAGACTGAAGAAGAAAGATGTGTCAGAATATATCCCAAAGAAATGAAAACTTACATTATCATAAAAACCTATTATCAATTGTTCACAACAGCTTTATTCACAATTGCCAAATGTTAGAAGCAACCCAGATGTCCTTCAAGAGGTGGATGATCAAACAAACCATGGCATACCCATAATACAGAATGCTATTTATCCATGGAAAGGAAGGAACTATTGGTAGGTGCAGTCATCTAAAATCTCAATGGAATTATGTGGATTTAAAAAAAGCCAGCTGGGTGCGGTGGCTCATGCCTGTAATACTAGCACTTTGGGAGGCCGAGGCAGGTGGATCGCCTGAGCTCAGGAGCTCGAGACCAGCCTGTCAACATGGTGAAACCCTGTCTCTACCAAAAATACAAAATATTAGCTGGGTGTGGTGGTTCATGCCTGTGGTCCCAGCTACTCGGGAGGCTGAGATGGGAGAATCGCTTGAGCCCAGGAGGTGGAGGCTGCAGTGAGCCGAGATCACGCCACTACACTCCAGCCTGGGTGATAGAGTGAGACTCTGTCTCAAAAAAAAGAAAAAAAAAGCCAATTCCCCCAAGTTAGTTACTGTATAATTCTATTTATATAACATTCTGGAAACGACAAAATTACAGAGATGGAGAAAAAACCAGTGGTTGCCAGGGATTGGGGATGACAGTGGGAAGGCAGGAGGGGAAGGCAATGCAGGAAGGGAGCCTTTGATGTTGAATTCATTCAGTAACCTGACTGTGCTGCTGGATACAGGATCCTACACACGATAGCCGTATACAGGTAAATGCGTATAAGCAAATAAGTATATGTAAAACTAGAGAAATCTGAATACGATTAGTGGGCTATATCAATATCCTGGTTGTGATATATACTGTAGTTTTGCAAAATGTGACCACTGGGGGAAACTGGGCAAAGAATTTAAGGGATCTCTATTATTTTTCACAATTGCATGCAAATCTACAATGATCTCAATACAATTTCCCCCTTTTTTTTTTTGAGATGGAGCCTCACTCTATTACCCAGGCTGGAGTGCAGTGGCATGATCTTGGCTCACTCCAACCTCTGCCTCCCAGGTTCAAGCGATTCTTGTGCCTCAGCCTCCCAGGTAGCTGGGGTTACAGGTGTGTGCCACTGCACCCACTAATTTTGTATTTTTAGTAGAGACGGGGGTTTTATCAAGTTGGCCAGGCTGGTCTCCAACTCCTGACCTCAGGAGATCCGCCCACCATGGCCTCCCAAATGGCTGGGATTACAAGCATGAGCCATAGCACCCAGCCCTCAATAAAATTTTCAATTAAAAAAAAAAAAAAAGTAGTACACATACTACAGAGGCAGACTGCCTGGGTTCAAAATTTGCATTTACCACTCATTTGCTGTGTGTCCTTTGGCAAGTCACTTTTTCCTGTCCCTCAGATTCCTCAAAGGTCACAAAGGGATTATAGGACCCATCTCAAATGGTTCTGGGGATTAAATGAGTTAAAATGTGAAAATGCACACAGTGGGGCCTGGCAAAAAATAAGGATGCACAAAATGTTAGGTGACATCCTCTTCCTCCTCACACAGCATATAAAGTAGGATTTCTGTGTGGGTACTCAGCACAAATTCTATTTTAAAATATTTCATTTTAAAATTTTCATTTATGTTTATTTTTATTCTTAATGACTAGAGGTAATAAAGTAAAGGAAAAATGAGACTTCCTTATAATAGCAAAATGTGGGAAATAATGCCCATTGGGAGGAAGTTTCAGATGAGGGGAAGAATGGGATCTGGTGGCAGAGTACCTCGGTCAAGCCCAGTGTGGCTGTCACTAGCTTTGATCCTGGGCACCTGTGGTCTCTAGAACCCACAGCTTCCTCGTGTGTTAAAAAAAGGACAACAAAATCTACATGAAAGGACTGATGTACAGATTAAATAAGATCTATAAGCAAAAGTATTTCATAAAGTGCTAAGTTTAGTAAATGCTATTTTATTACTAGTAATATCACTAGTAGCATTATGTTACTAGCAGTAGCACAATCTGAAAGTCCTCCCCTTCCTCCTCCTCCATCAGGCTTAGCTGTCACACACTCCTTCTTGAGAAACAGTGGAGACAAAGCTCCACCTGTCACTACAACAAAGTTGACCGCTCTCACGCACTCCTTCTTAAGAAACAGTGGAGACAAAGTTCCACCCGTCACTACAACAAAGTTGACCTACCTTGCCAGGACAAGCCCATTCACAATTACGTTCTTGAAAGGCGGTTGTCCAAAGAGGGCCGTGGCCAGCACCAGCAGGGTATAAAACCTGAAAAAAAACCCCAAACAGTTCAATAAAAATAGAAATGAAGTCCAAGCATAAGAAAGAAACTGTATTTATTCATTGAATTTCTATTTTTGATAAGTCACACTTCTTGAGAATCACTTAAAGCAATGATTCTTAATCCTGGTTACTGGAGACCAATCAAATTACTGTCTAAGATTTGAAAGAAGCATTGAAATAAACGTCTGGAATGATTTACTGACCATTTCTCTGTTACCAGAGCTCCCAGGAAGTCTGTGTGGAGAGCCACATGGCAGCACTGGGTGGCCTCTCAGGACCACCCAGAAGCACCTAGCTGAAGATGAAGGATGGGTTTTGAATTTGGCACAAGATCATATGGAAAAGACAATTTGATGACAAAAGATGCAAAATGCACTCTCACCCAAAAGTGATAAGGCAGACTAGAAAATGCTTTTATTCTGTAAAATGTTATGTACCTCATTTATGTGCTACCTAGCTTGTTTCCCAAATGAACTCATATCCCTGACCACTGTCCTGGGGGTGATGCTTTCCTGCCTCTCTTACCTAGTCCTGCACTCTGAGAACATCAAGGGACATGAGCTGAGGAGACCAGACCCCATAGTTAACATAAACACTGATCCAGATATCCCTCCCACTTCTAAAGGAGAGTTGGGAGGAGCCCTGGTGCCCAGGAGAGGTAGCCCAGGCCTCAGGAATGGAGAAGGAGGCAGGCACCAAGGACACGGGATCCACATGAGGACTGTTACCAGCTAACAGACTTTGCTACTCCTCAAAGGAACAAGCTCATTGGTAAGGCATCTACCCCTTTCTAAAAACAGAATTTGTGCTGGGTAGCTGTTCCTATAGACAAAAAGGACTGGAATCTGAAGACAGCACATTCCAGAACATGAAGACTTGAATTCAATGATTACCCAAAGCTGTCAAAGAGAGAAAATGACACCAACAATTCCTTTAACACACCCCTGCAGAAACATTACTGTGAATGTATAATTAAAACCTGGGCTGGGCGCAATGGCTCACGCCTGTAATCCCAGCACTTTGGGAGGCTGAGACGGGTGGGTCACTTGAGGTCAGGAGTTCGAGACCAGCCTGGCCAACATGGTGAAACCCAGTCTCTACTAAAACTACAAAAATTAGCTGGGCATGGTGGTGCATGCCTGTAGACCCAGCTACTTAGGAGGGTGAGGCAGAAGAATTGCTTGAACCCAGGAGGCGAAGGGTGCAGTGAGCCGAGATCACACCCCTGCACTCCAGCCTGGGCAGCAGAGTGCAAGATTCTGTCTCAAAAAAAAAAAAAAAAGTAAATAAAGCCTGGGCCAGCAAAGCCAATCCATGGAAAGAAAGTAATTCACCTTCTTCCAATTAAGGAACTGTTTTACATAAGGCACCAGATAAAAATCAATGCCCAAATCCTCTCTCATATGTATATTTTTTAAAAATCTGGATTTTTTTAGAATGTTGATTTATAAGGCTAGCCTCAATATCTGAGCACATTACCAACTATCCCTCAAATTTCTAGCACCCAAACTACTGTCTTTTATGCAAATACTCAAACATTTGAGTAAATGATCTGACGTAAGCTAAGAACACATAACTTTTTTTATCATTTTAACATCCAGTGTAACACATATATTCCAAAATGCCAGTGAGATCATTGAAATTGTAAAACTACAGCCCTATTGTAGTGGGAGAGTCCTACTCAAAAGGCACTTTAATGTCCGTGCTTGGTGGTGGAGGGGAGAGGGCAGGAATGTAGCCTGTCTTATTTGCCACAATCTCTCCATCACCCAGTAGATAAATGGCAGTGACTTAGTAAAATACTCCCTAAATAAAATAAAATCAATAAAACACGTGATGAAAGAACAAGGAGGCATACCATCCTCTGGTTTGGTCGATGCCCTCGGCAATGAAATCTGCAGGAAAAGCATCCTCAAACTCCCTCTTGTTTTCAAACGGGTAATGAACCTGAGCATAGGGCATGCTGCCACTCTCAAACCAACAGTCAAACACTTCAGAGATGCGGTGCAAGGATCCCTTCCCACAGCGTGAAGGAATGGTCAGGTGGTCAACACTAACAAACAGAAAAGTAGTCATTTCTATTAACTGTAAGCATAACAGAACTTGCAGTTTAATTGCTAATAGGAAACACAAAACCCTGACAAGATATTATACACATTTGCAAACAGAAATATCAGCAATTCTCAAAGGCTTTCAGAGAGCACCATGAATCCTCCATCTGAAAGGTTATGCACCATTCACCTCACATTTCACAAGGACAGAGGCCACAATACTGCAATATGACATGAGTCATCAGCAAAGTAATTCAGCAAGCTAGTCACTTCCATGTGTGGCTCTGTAATCTGCTAGAGACCAGGTCTTAATAGGAGAATCGTAAAACTGAAGTGAATCGAACATTTAGAAACTGACCTCTCTCTGTGGAGATCTGAGATCTTTGCTCCTGACAGTTCTTCAAGTTCCGCCACTGACCCAATGCATACCACCTGTCAAAAACAAAGTTCAATAGCAGGAGCTCCTTAGAGCCAAACAGAGCATACTGAGTTAATTTATATAGCATGCATGTTTACTTTGAGAGACTGATGATTTTCTTTTTCCTTTTTTTTTGAGATAGGGTCTCACTACCATTGCCCAGGCTGGAGTGCAGTGGCACAATCACAGCTCACTGCAGCCTCAGCTTCCTGGGCTCAGGTGATCCTCTCACCTAAGCCTCCCAAGTACCTGGGGCTACAGGCAGGCACCACCTCACCCAGCTAATTTTTTGTATTTTTAGTAAAGACAGGGTTTCGCCATGCTGCCCAGGCTGGTCTCAAACTCTTGGACTCGAGCTATCAGCCACCCTCAGCCTCCCAAAGTGCTGCGATTACAGGCGTGAGCCACCCAGCCTGAGACTGATGATTTAAAGGCACATTAACACACCAATCTGGGCCGAAGGATAGTATTTGCTAATGTGGCTTCTCTCTCATGAAAGACACAGCCTACTCTTAGTCTCTGAAGAGGCCAGGGTTGCCACTGCTCCTCTGTTTCCACCCCAGTATCAGAGGGAGTCCCTACCTAGAGAGAATCTTAAACATTCATAGCCATACTCTCAATGGATATTAAGGGTTTATTATGTGCAAATTGTCAAAGTAACTGGCATAAGTGAAACATCTTAGATTATTTCTCTAAGGCATTTTAGTTTCCTCCTGGCACCTGAATCTGGCTCATTAATCTAGAATCTTCCCAAGAAAAAGCTAGAGCTAAATTATAGTCATACAGTGCTTAATGGTGGGAATACATTCTGAGAAATGCATTGTTAGGGTGATTTCCTTAGGCAAACATCACAGACCTAGATGGGATGGCCTAAAACACAGCTAGGCTATATGGTGGAGCCTATTACTTCTAAGCTACAAACCTGTACAGCATGTGGCTGTACTGAATTCTGCAGGCAACTGTAACACAATGGTAAATGCTCTAGTTTTCATATGGTTTGTCCCCAGCAAATCTCAAGTTGAAATTTAATCCCCAGTGTGGCAGTATTGACAGATGGAGCCCGATGGGAGGCATCTGGGTCACAGGGTGGATCCCTCGTGAAGAGACCAATGCTCTCCTTCTGCAGTGAGTTAGTTCTCTCTCTATTAGCTCCTGTGAGAGCTGACTGTTGAAAAGAGCCTGCCCCCACCCCACCGCCCGTTTCTTCTCTTGCCATGTGATTTCTGCATACTCTGGCTCCTGTCCAGCCTTCCATCATAAGTGGATGTAGCCTGAGGTCCTCCCCACATGCAGATGTCTAGTCTTCAACTTTCCAGTCATGCAGAATCATAAGCCAAATAAACTACTTTTCTTTATAAATTATCCAGCCTCAGGTATTCCTTTGTAGCTACACTAAACAGACTAAAACAGGAAGTATTTGAGTTTCTAAACATTACAAAACACAGAAAAGGCACAGTAACCATATGGTATCATAATCTTGTGGGACCACTGTCGTATATGCGGTCTGTCATTGACTGAATGACATTATGTGGTGCATGACTATATTATGCTTGGACCCGATTAAAGCAATCAGACAAAGCCACAGGATGCTAGGATTATATCCAGGTAAAGAGCTGAGAGATGGGGCTAGCTGGGGCACTCAGAATGGAGGGATCATCTGACAAGGGCCACACCAGTAGGAACTGCTGTGCGTTCTCACCCAGGGAGCTTCTGATCCTAGTGAACACTGGTGGCCTCTTTCTCTGCCCTTCCTGTTCAGTCCTGAAAAGTCTTCTGATTCAGCTACTTCACTGTTGCCTTTCAGGTCCCTATGGGAGATTCACCAAGGTCCCCAGGGTGCTGCCGCTCATCACTGCAACAATGCTGTCAGCTTTGGACAGAAGGCCAAACACACAGATCTATCTGTATAGTAAGTCCTCGCCTGATGTCATTGAGAGGTCCCAGTAGCTGGAACTAAGTGGCGTGCACCACCATGCCTGTCTAATTTAACAAACATTTTTGTAGAGATGGAACCTCATTATGTTGCCTAGGCTGGTCTCAAATATCTGGTCTCAAGCGATCCTCCTGCCTTGGCCTCCCTAAGTGCTGCGATTACATGTGGGAGCCATCACACCCGGCCTAAAGTCAGTTATCAAGAACCTCTGTATGACATTAAGTGAGGACATAGTATATCCACATACATCTATATATCTACACACATCCTCTTATTCATTTGATTTTAGAAGTTAAAGGTCTGTAATGCTTTGGTAAATTTCTTTTCAAGTTTTCTTTTTTCATCATCTATAAAGTCAGTTTAACCATAAGCTAATAGTATACCTTAATGTAGGGGGAAGAAAAGACATCGGGGAAACACACAAAAAAAACATTTAAAGTGTGTATTTCCCTGAGAAAACTGTATCCTTTTATTTTTACAGAGGAAAGTTTTATAAATTGTATTTAATTCAAGGAAAAAAAGTTAAAAACCCCAGAAACAGATTATCTTATGTCATGATTCTAGAAAGGAATAAAGAGGAAAAAAGATGAAATAAGAAAGGGGCAAAGAAAAAAACACCCTATTCTTTTAAACCACATTCAGATTTCATGAACAAAATGCTTTAGCAAAAATCAACACAAGGAAATACTGCCATGCCTCACCTCCTCAAAGTCATCGCTGACCCACAGTGGGATGGGGGTGCCCCAGTATCTGTTTCTGGAAATTGTCCAGTCACGTGCATCTTTCAGCCAATTTCCAAATCGTTTTTCTCGTACCAACTCTGGGACCCTGCAATAAACAGATCACATAACCAATCACATAAAAATATGGAAAAATTCAACATGTAAATAATACCCACAGGAGCCTTTGTATAACGCTTTGTGGACCAAACACTCTGGAAACGTGGCGCTCACTGCAAAGAGAATGTCTTCTAAATGGACAGCATAGCACACACAACAGTTTGTGCTGCCATCAATGACCTACATCCAATAGATTACCCCACAGCACACAGGCCTCCCATGTCCTCCTCTTCAACTGGAGTACAGCTGCCACATACCTCTAACCAGTCACCTTAGCTTTAGCCAGCCTCATCCCATACAACTCTAGTCTTCACATTATCCTCACCATAGCAGTTTTTCTGAACTCATTAAGCAAAGGCCAACAGGCCAGGGGATTGGTAGCTGCTCTAGCAGCCCTCTCTATAGTCACCTCTCTGGTCATCCTTGGTCTTGAATTTCAGGCTCTGGCAATGAGGCAAGTTCCCTAGAATCCTTCTCACTTAACTGGCTTTGCCCATGCCTGCCCTCTGACACGCAGCCTGCCTGCCCTCTGACACGCAGCTTCCCTCCCTTCTGCATCCATCCTCTTGCATCCCTCCCACTCCCAGTACTCTTTATTCCTTGAGGTTCAGCTTTGCAGAAATCCTTTTCAAGCACAAGGCTGAGTCAGGGTAGGCTACCAGACCTCCCCTTCTTCTCTTGGGCACTGCAGTTACTGCCCTGTACTTCAAAGATCAGTTTATATGCCTGCACCCCCTCGAGGCTATCTTACTAATATTCTATATCTAGTATCTTACACATTAGGGGAACTAATTAGCTTACTAGCTCTAAAAATGAAAAGCTGTCTTTTGAGAAATCAGGACCACTCTGCTAAGAAATATTAGAAAGCTACAGTTTATAACTATTTCCTTTGCTGCCCTGAGATTCTCCCCATTCTCCTAAACTCAGATACAGTTTTCTAGAGTCTAGTTGGGTCCTTGTGAGAAGTTAAGAGTGGTGATTACTTTTCAAACTTGTAGTGAAAAACATTCATCTGAAATACACAGGTTCAAGCCTTGTTTCATTTTGTACCCAGAGGCTGAAATGATACTTCTTGGGCTATCACCTGCAGGACACATATCAGCTATGGAAAGCAAAGGCTTCTGTGCTTGGAGCTTATCCATACAGCCAAGCACAGGGTACATCATCCACTGCAGGACCAACAAGAGTAAGTACAAATGGCTTTTGCAGGTATATCTGAAAATAATGTTTACTCTGAAAATGACTATTATTGAAGGCTAGCAAACTCTGGCAGTACAGCCATATTTTTCCAAGGTCATTTCATTCCCTAAATCGAATAAATGGTGGTTTATCATTTCCAATGAGTTTAAAAAGAAAAATACTCCCTTACATACTTTATCACAAGAAGGATGTTACTTCTGTTCTGTAACATTATTTGAATTATTTTGTGCTCCTAAACACACAGAAGAAAAGATAGCTATTACAATACCCAATAAAAGATGGGTTATTAAAATTATAACTTGGGGGAAGTGTAAACCATACTTACTAACCACATGACAAAAGACACTATGAAGAAACACATCTTACTGCTCACCAGTAGCACAGGTCATTGTTCCTTAGGAGCTGGTCCACCATGTTCTCCACTCGCACAAACCAGCTGGGCACTGCTTTGTAAATTAGAGGAGTGTCTGATCTGGGGAAGCAGAAACACACACATAGCTGCTCAGGCTGAGACTAGTAGGCACTACGGTAAGACTGACTTTTCATGTCTTATTGACAGCATCATCACTTACTTGGCCTTCTGCTAATATTCATTTTTATTATAGATAAAAACATCTAAGACTTCAAAATTGGTCATATCTTTCCACAATAGTAAGAAAGGCAAAAACTAATACAAGAACAAGAGTAGAAAAAAATAGTTCTGCTAGTGACAATTATCTAAGAAACAATGTCAACTTCAACTTCAACACAGAAGAGGCAATGTGGAAACCAAACACGATGCAACTGAACATTTCATTTTCACCCATACTTTTACAGCATGGTCTTATATTAAAGGTTAAAATCATATTAAATTTTTCAATAAACTCTATTACAAAATTTTAGAGATGCTTCTCATCCTAAAAAAAATGTGGCCACAATACAAAACAGATTTGTACAGGTCTATTTTTCTCTCACAGTTCCTTAGGAAAGCAACATTTTTAGCCATTCATAAAACTCTCCTAGACCAGGCGCTGTGGCTCATGCCTGTAATCTCAGCACTTTGGGAGGACAAGGTGGGAGGATTATTTGAGCCCAGTAGTTTGAGACCAGCCTGGACAACATGGCGAAACCTCATTTCTATAAGAAATGCAAAAATCAGCCGGGTGTGATGGCACCACCTACATAGTTCCAGCTACTCCAGAAGCTGAGGTGGGAGGATTGCTTAAGCCGGGGAGGTGGAGGGTGCAGTGAGCTGTGATTGCACCACTGCATTCCAGCCTGGGCGTCAGAGTGAGACCCTATCTCAAAACAACAACAAAAAAACAAACAAAAAACCCAACTCTCCTAAAAATGAAGTAAGAAGGTGGCTTCCCAAACCAACTCTAAAGGATACAAGTGAGATGAACACCACAAATAAGATGGAATGGGCACATATAGTAAGTGTAAGCACAGACTGGAAGCTCTAGCTACAACACAGTCTTTGTTTCTTCTGACCTCCAGCAAAAAGGGTAGCTGTGAGTGAAGGTGGTGGCAACCAGAAGTCGGCCTTGTTCCTTCAAAGTCCTGATGATACTTTTGTCAGCATCCTATTAAAAAAAATTAAAATTTAGCCATTAAAACATACTATAATACTTAGGAACAATATATTACTAGAATCTGATACCTTGTTATGAATAAAAGGCACAAATAACAAATATTATTTATTATTTTTAGTCACTAACTTTAAGTAATTTTCAAGTACATTCCACAACATTTAAGGTCATAAAGTTTTTCGATCTGAAATGACAACCCCAAGGTCACAAAGGTGCTTCATGAGGCATGAACTGGAGTTTTTCTGATCTTTCCCCATGAAATTTCAGCATGCATCCTCTAAAGATATGAGACCCTCTGAACGTAACTGATAACATCTGTCTTTACGGATTTCATGCGATGACAAAACCAAATAAAAACAACTTCCTAGAAGAATTACAATACAATTATAAATGATGGTAGAGACTAATCAGAAGTAACAGTCACCCTTCTATGCTATATGGATTACAGACCTTCACATACTGTCCTGCGAAATCTGTCACCTCCGTTGTGAAGCAGCCTGAAGCATCCACAGGGCAAACAGGGAGTGAGTCTTTCCGAATAATGTTAAAGTCCATACAGACCCGATAGTCCTCCTGAGAAAAGGCAAAAGAGAGGGAAGAATAAAACAGTCTATGTATGGGTGTGAGCATGAGGTAATAGATTCCCAAGATAATTGTTCTATATTGTAACATATACATTTCATCAACTTTGTCCTGTAAACTGAAGGTAACTCAAGACCATTCGGAGAATCAGACCCTCACAGTTGGACAGGGGTTAGGTCACCCAGTCTAGTCTTCTCAAATATTATTTCCCAGACCTCCATATGTAGCAGAGTATCCACTAAATGAGAAGATAGATGACATACATCAATTTTTTAAGTGAAAGGAATTAAGAAAGTAAAGCAATAAAGAATGGCTACTCCATAAGCAGAGCAGCCACACAGGAATGTTTTAAAACTAAATCAAATTTGATTTATAACAGCAGCACACACATCTGAAAAACCAAAAATTTCCTATTTTACAGATAGGAAAGTCGAGGTACCAAGAAGTAACTCAGCTATGAAGCAGCAATGCTAGGATTCAAAACCAAACAGCCTGGCTCCAGAGTCTATAGTCTTCATCACTGTGTTATGATGCCTAAATATAAAATTAAAGAGATTGCCTTATGTTGGTGAAACCACACTCTGGGTTGACTCCAAGACAAGCTGGAAAGCTGACATGCTTCCACCTGGATCTGTGTTCACCTCTCCCTGTGCTGAGGCTGACTGGTGTGGTGTCATGTGGGTAGACAGGAAAAGCCCCTAAGTGCAGCAATTTGAACCACTGAGTGTGGAGCAAGTAACTTTACCCAGTGCATTAAGCTAAGAGCAGCATTCCTGAATGCATCCAGAACCAGTGATGTTCAACAGGATGACGCACAAGTGCACAGACTCTGCGAAGATCAAACACTACCCTTGCCTGGTGAAGACAAGTGCAACGGAAGGCCTCTCAGAAAATGTTTACCAAGGCCGGGTGCAGTGGCTCACGCCTGTAACCCCAGCACTTTGGGAGGCCAAGGCGGTCAGATCACCTGAGGTCAGAAGTTTGAGACCAGCCTGGCCAACATGGTGAAACCCTGTCTCTACTAAATTTACAAAAAATAAGCCAGGCATGGTGGCAGGTGCCTATAATCCCAGCTACTTGGCAGGCTGAGGCAGGAGAATCGCTTGAACCTGGGAGGCAGAGGTTGCCGTGAGCCAAGATTGCACCATTGCACTACAGCCTGGGCAACAGAGGGAGACTCTGTCTCAAACAAAACAAAACAAAAAAAAAAAAAAAAAAAAAAATTTACCAAATGGTGTTAAAAGCTATAGTTTAAAGAATGAATCTTCTATAACATTAACATGCACAGCATTGAGAATAGATATATGAGATATAACTCTAGAGTTAATGACAAACACCCACATTTAAAAAAGAAAACCTCAGGAGGCTGAGGCAGGAGAATCGCTTGAACCCAGGAGACGGAGATTGCAGTGAGCCGAGATCCTGCCACTGCACTCCAGCCTGGGTGACAGAGCGAGACTCCCATCTCAAAAAAAAAAAAAAAAACCCCTACACTACAATTCAAAACCAAGAAGTTACCTTTTTATTATCTACTAAGAGTGGGGTAACCATACCAGTTAATTGACCCTAAAATGATTATGAACAATATTTGACTAGTTCCTAAAACTCTTAAGTAGTATTATCAAGAATGCTTCCTTCCATCAAAATGGACCAGGTATTAGGTGATTATTAAGGAATTGCTGACTTTATTGGATATTTATACTGAAAATAAAAGTCCTTATCAGTCAGAGATGCAGCTAGAATTACTTAGACACGAAAGACATGAGGATGAGGATTTGCTTTTAAATCCTCCAGCCAAAATAAAAAAGTGTGCTACTGTACAGAGGAAGAAAACGAGAGATTGCCAAAACATTGAGAGTTAATGCAGCTGGATGATGTGAAAAAAAGAATCTATTATCATATTTTCTTCTGTGTATGTTTCAAGATTTCCATAATAAAAATTCAAGTGATGGTTACACTAAAAGCCCAGATTTTACTACTATACAACATATCAATGTAAAAAAATTGCACCCGTACCCTCTACATCTATAAAAGTAAAAAATCCCAGAGATTAAGCATGAAAGCAAAATGGCAGATGAGGGCAGACTACTGCCACTGCCTTTTAGAACAAAGTCACATTTCCAATCCCTCTCACTGACAAAACGATCAAGCCTAGAGGAATGTGTATGTAGGTGCTACACCATGCTACACCATGCTACAGAGGAGGCAAAAGAAGTCCAGATAGGCCAGGCAACTTACCCAGGAACTGCCCGTTAGTGGCAGTGCCATGATTTAAGGTGAGAGGTGGTTTACTGTAAAGCATGTGCCTTTATGTTATTCTGTTTTTATTCATACACAAATTACATAAAAAGGAATGTGTTTTTAGAAAAATTATTCTAGTCAAAATATAAAATTAACTGTAGAGTACTGTTTTGAGGGGAGAGGTCAGATTCCCCCTTCTGAACATTTAATTAAGAACACAGCAGAGGTGATGGGAATGGTCTGTATCTTGGTGGCTGAGGCACCTGCACGTCTCTAGATGCCTGTCAAAACTCACGGAACTGCACACCAAAAAGAGTTTACTGGATTTGGCCCACTCTTTCCAGAAATCAGCTTAGGATGAAAGGGAATTGCAGATGCAAATTTTACAAGCCATCTTGCAGGCAGTGAGCCAGAAAAGAGGCCAACCTGGTAACCCAACATGATGAGACACAGGACTCCGCATCTATGAAAAGTGGCTACCGACATACTCAAATACATTTGCCAGACTTATGCTACTCACAGCACCGAAGTAAGGAGCTTGGTGGACAACCCCTGTGCCTTCTTCTTCCTTCACATAGTTGTCAACAAGCACAGTGAAAGCGCCATTCTCTTTACACTGGAAAGAAAGGACAGCAGGCTTCAGGGATGAAACATTACTGTGTTACAACGTTAACTTTGTAACAGTTTTTCCTAAGAACCTGAAAATGCTTTTAACCGGTAAAATTATTTTCAGAAATAGAAAAGAAAGAATAATGCAGGCTGGGAAGAAACATGCTAATTCAATACATTTTTCCCATAAATAAAAAGTTACCACTTATAAACGAAATAATTATCTGGAGAATGGCAGATAAAAATTTCTAATTTCCTTGGTTACAAACGTGTTTTTCATTAGTTCTCCCTCCCCCAACTTTTTGTCCCTATGCAGTTTAGGATACAGTCTCAGAAAGCATGCTCCCTAAATTGTTCACTTCCTGGTACATTTTCAATCACTGCATATGTTTTGCTTCTCTTTCTCCTTTCAACTCAGCTCAAGTTATTCAGTCATAAAGGCAAATCTTGAAAGGAACAGGTGGGAGCCACGAGTAGTAAGTTCTACTTACAGGTACTCCACCACCTTAATACTCAGGGGAAATGTGTTCAATTTCATTTTCTTTGCAACAGCAATATCATCATGTTAATACATATAATGCTAACAGACCTACTCTACTTTCATCTTTTTACATTTCTTTCCACAAACCCTTGTTTCTGCCAAACTGGCCCTTTGATGTCCTTCCTTTTTGCATTGGTAAAAAGTACTTTCACAAGTGATTTTCACATTTAACTCCTATAATTCTGTGAACAAGCTATTAGTAGTCCCATGTCTTAAAAATATTCTGGCTGTATTTGCATTTCACAGATGAGCAAGCTCAGAACAAAGATTAAACTTAGTCTTATCCAAATCACACAACCAGCAATGATGAAGCCAGGACATGGAACAGGTCTTCTGGTTGCAAATACAATGTTATTTTCAATTACATCACAGCACTCGGTTTCTTTGGAACTTAAAACTAAACTTGAAAAATAACCATAAAATTTTAATTGTTGTAACCTAAATCACCTTGAAACATTTTAGAAGTTATAGTATGATAGGTGCTAAAACTTCGATAGTTTAAACAGAAAGACAGAATACATGGGTCCTTAGAATTACATGTATACTTAGTTACATGTTCTATACTTAGAAGCAGTATAGACAAAGTCACTGCATCTTGTCTCTCAGGGTCTACTTTGGGCCTACCCAGGCCATGGCTGGGCTGCTTCCACCCAGGTCAGTAGATACCAACCACCAGGAGCAGCAGTGCTGCTCCATAGGCAGTGTCCGCTGACTCAGCTTCCCTCGATATTTCACAACAGGTATATTTCAGTGAACATCAGATGATTCCGTCCTGGGTCAAACGATTTATAGTACTTGCCTAAAGTCACCGAAGGTTTCAGGTAGTTTAAGAAGCTTATTTAATGAGTAGGTGTTATTCAACTTAATACCTACCAAGTGCATATTCCAGACAGACCTCTACTTAACCTAAAGTTCCTGTCTAGTGTATCCATGTGCATTCTTTCAGGGGGTTGAGTTTTTGGGTTCTCAATAGGTTTTGTGATTCAGAAAGGTGAGAGTCACTGATCCAGTGGAAGAGATTTCAGATAATAAAAAAAATACAACATAAAACAAAGTATGTTAAGCTATATGATAGGAGAATGGAATGAAGTAATGACATTTTTCCAAGGGAGAAACCAAAGATGCATTTCAGAAAACTTTCAGAGGACATCTGAGTTCAGACCTGAAGGGTGAGTTAACTCAGCAGATATCAACATAAGAAAAAAATAAAGACTTTTAAGACAGTAGGAAAACTTAATTAAAGAAAGGCAGGGAAGCAGGAAAGGGAAGAGCCAGTTTGACTGAATAAAGGATATGTCTAAAGTAATGTGGGAGGATGTGGTCAGGAAGCAGCTCTGCCACATACCGACTGGGGAGGGCACGTCCTAATTGCTGGTAAATAACTAACGCCTGTAGGGAGGAATGGGATGAGGGCAGAACATATGGAAATCCACTGGGCAGCAACGTGGGAGGAGGAAGAAGGCTATCAAGTAGGCAACGAGAAATGTGGGAAAACACTCAAGAGGCACAAAAGTGAAAAGGCAGGTAACAGACACACCATGGATAGGGCCCAAACCACAGAGGTCTCCTTAATCAACCAGACTCTCCCCACACGGAACAGAAACAACTGAGGGTTCAGCGAACATTTTTTTCTGGGATGGGACGTAAGTGATATGTCCAGTTGATTATTATTTCCACATAAGGCCAGGTCTGCTCATTATCTCATTTCAAGACCTTTAAATAAGGACGGAGAAATTCCTCTTTGACACTATTCTTTCGGTGAGAGAGTGTGGGAGTGGGGACAGCAGGGTTTGCAACTGTAGCTGTGGATTCTCCACTGTCAGAAAATAAAACCACATAAAACAACTTTATGACTCTGAAGAAACTAAGGTGCTAAATGTATGAGCTCTGTCGTGGTGCCTAGATTTAAAACACCTGCCTCATTAACCTCCTTGAAATAAAATTGTGTTTACCTTTCCACATGATGTTTTACTGTGATTACTATCTTAACTTTGTCAAAACAAACAAACAAACAAAAACCTCAATAAATACCCTGGGTGATATGTAGACTACATGCAATAAAAATATACACCTAAAAATCCAATCAAATGTAAAATGATTCCTCATACAATTTGAGAAAAATATTCAAATAAAAAATCCCAGCTTGGCCAGGCACGGTGGCTCACAAGGTCAGGAGTTCAAAACCAGCCTGGCCAAGATGGTGAAACCCCATCTCTACTAAAAAGTACAAAAATTACAGCATGCCTGTAATCCCAGCTGCTCGGGAGGCTGAGGCAGGAGAATTGCTTGAACCTGGGGGGCAGAGGTTGCAGTCAGCCAAGATCGCGCTATTGCACGATATTTGCACTCCATCTCAAAAACAACAACAACAAAAAATCCCAGCCAGGTGCAGTGGCTCATGCTTGCAATTCCAGGAGTTCAAGACCAGCCTGGGCAGCATAGCGAGATTCTGTCTCTACAAAAAACTAAAAACTTAGCCCGGTGTGGTGCTGTGTGCCAGTAGTCCCAGCTACTCGGGATGGGGCAGGGGAATCACTTGAGCCCAAGAGGTCGAGGTTGCAGTGAGCTGTGATTGTGCCACTGCACTCCAGCCTGGGGGACAGAGGAAACCCTGTTTTTAAAAAAAAAAAAAAAAATCCTCTAAGACAAGAAAGCTACACAAACAATTTAATTTTGTTGGTACTAAAGCAGACTTTCTGGATTCAGGTACACTCATAAAAGTAATGTCAATTCCACTTCTCACAACACCCCAGCTATCAAATAATCAGATTGTGGAGAGCGCCCACAGTAGCGGTCCCTAAGCTTACCTTCAGGAAATAGTCAAACAGGGGCCTGTACTTCTTGCCTTTAAGATAGGCACCAGGAAATCTAGAAAAGGAGAAAGGCAAACTCACAATTAGATTAAAATCAAATATGAGGCTGCAGCCACATCAAGCTACCACTCCCCTCTGGTTTACTGGCTTCTTAGCCCTAGCCATTCATGCTGTAATGTGTGACTGCAAAGTACTTAGTATAGTATTAGTACTTAAAACTAAATTTGAATAATGCAAGCTTTTGGATAACAAAGTTTATTTCTTTTTAAAACTAAAGACACACATACAGACACATGCACACAAACACAGAGCAACTATTTGAATATTCACCTTTCAAGGATCTCATAGTCACTCTCCAATTTATAGAGGGCTGACAATCTGGCTTCCATTAAAATGAGTAATCGTCCTCTGGCAACATCTACGAGAAAAAGGAAAAACATGGACTTGGGTTATATTCTGAACTTGGCTGATTCCAAAGACATGCATCAAGCATACTTTTGTCCTGAGGAGCTCCTGTACCATGTGCCTCTACTGTACCCAGTACTCACAGAGAAATACTGCAAAGAACACTATGGTATACTGCTTCCCAAACATGAAAATGACAAAAACATCAAATGCACTTAGGCAGTTGGTAGTTATTATTTATCGCTCAGATATCCATTTTAAGTAAATCTTTATTTTTTCCTTCATAAGGTAAACATGTCAATGTTTAAAAATAACATTGACAAAGTAGCTCACAAATTAAGTGCCACATATCACCCCCTCTCAGACATTCTCATTTGGGTGTCTATGGATCCGGATATTTTTCTATGTATATACAAACAAACATATAGGTAAATGTGTAAGTTCTTTTTATTTTTCTAATTGAGGTAATATTCTATCTGATTTTGTAGCTTTTCACTTAATATACTGTCAACATACTTCCATGTATTAGCACATACAGACTTTTCTCATCCTTTTAAAGAGCTCTATGGGACGCTATTTTATAGAGGTACGAATTATTTCTAACAAGTTGACAGACACTTAAATTGCTTTCAAATTTTCACTACTATGAACACTGGCATGATGAATGTCCTTGATGCATCTGTGTACCCTTATTGTAAGTGTTTCTGGAGGATACCTGGGGCATCCTAGGAAAAGAAAAGCTGGAGCAAATGTATGAACAGTTAAAACTTTGATACTGAAAATCTAGGCCAATTTAAACTCTCATCATAAGCTATGATATTACACATCTGAGATTTACTAGAGCCTATGTCATATATTTAGTTCACTATAAGAAAAATGAGTATCTATGGGTCATTGTAAAAGCCTTTCCAATTTATTGAAAAACTGCTATGAATAAGGCTGCCACTCCCTAGCTCTGACCTCACAGGAACTTCATTGTAAGTGGGGACCACAGTTTCTGATAAAGCTCAGATACAAAGTCTGCCAAGCACAAGAGTTATACACAGGTAGATGGGTGATGTGTTTTGAGATCTCAGTCAGGTGGCTGCTGAGATTGTCAAGCTCACCACAGAATGGCTAGTGACCCACCAGTGACATAGGGAAATTGTGCAGATGGGACTGTCCTTGCTCCAGAGAAGCAGCTGCAGACACCTGAGCCAGGCCTCTTTGTGGCCAACAGCTTTCCAGTAGGTCAACTCTTAGTCCTATTTGCTCCCAGGAAAGAACAAATAAAAAACTCCCTCCGTACCTTTTTTCTGGCACCCAATCTTTCCCCATTCCTTTCTCAATATTTTTCCCTTGCCAACACAAGCTATTGTTCAATCAAGTTGACTGTTTTAATACAACTATTTTTAAAAATCATGGTAACCATTCTTACACAGAATTAAATACATCTACAATGTTGTGTAATCATTACCATTATCAATACCCTAAACCTTTTCATTTTCCTATACTGAAACTCTGTACTCATTAAACAATAACTCCCCCTTCCCTCCCAGCCTCTGTCAACCACCATTCTACTAGTCTTTGCTCTCTGAAGTTCACTTCTCGATACCTCATATAAATAGAATCATGTAGTATCTGTCTTTTGGTGACTGGCTCATTTTAATTAGCATAATGTCCTCCAGGTTCATTCAAGGCATAGCCTGTATCAGAATTTCCTTTCTTTTTTAGGCTGAATAATATTCCACTGTACGTAAATACCCTATTTGGTTTATTCATTTATCCAATGATAGACACTTGGGTTGCTTCTATCTTTTGACTACTGTGAATAATGCTCCTATGAACACGGGTGTACAAGTAACTGTTCAAGACTGCTTTCAATTCTTTGGGGAAAACACTCAGAAGTGAAATTGCTGGGCCATAGTGTCATCTCATTCAGCTTTTTGAAGAAATGTCACTGCCTTCCACAGCAGCTGTGCCATAGCTTTTTTCATGGCAATGAGTTTTTCTCTTTTTCTTTTACCGCCACAAAACTACCAAACCTGAAGGTATATTTGTTCACAAAGTACCAATCTTCTTTTTAAATCTCGGAAAGGCCCTCGTTGAGACTGGTAACTCTCTACCAGGGGACATTTGAAAGGCAAAAAGTTCTCAAGTTCTGGTATCAATTGCTAGTAACGACGTGATGCCACATCGCTGAATCTTAGATTCTTCATCTGTCACAGGGGCATGGTGTGGAAAAATGTACTATAAACTGGAAATTATAAGAAAATTTTATGTTCTACTTTTTATATCTCTGTACTATTTTAATTGTTTTGTTAGTTTTCAATTAGAAATGAAAACAAATGTTTAAAGTTATTTTTCTAATTAAGTCAGATTGTTTTCAAATAATTCTATTCTTCATGCAAAAAGAAAGGTAAGCTTTCATATTTTCCAAAATATAAAATTATCTTATCCATATTAATCATAAGTAACCAGCCTCCCACTTACCTTTAATTTTCACATATTGCATTTCTGGATTAACACACACAGCAAGGTTACTAGGTAGAGTCCAGGGAGTGGTTGTCCAAGCAACTAAAGATACAGTTTCATCTTCTTCCAAAGGGAAAGTTACAAATACTGAAGGATCTTGAACATCCTGAAATAAATTGAGGTAAAGTATTGTTTTAGAAATCCACAATAACAGACACCTAAGAAAAAGGAACTACTCCTAAAGAGGAATAAAATAAATCTTCAGGGTAAACCGAAGAAACCACTTACCAGACTTACAAACAGAAAATAGCAAGAAATTCCAAGTAAAAAAATTTTTAAATACTTTAAAAAATGTTTTAATCATCACCTTAGTAGTCTCAAAAATAATGTCTTTTGACACCTGGTGACTTTTTTTTTTTTTTTTTTAGATGGAGTCTCACTGTGTCACTAGGCTGGAGTGCTGTGGTACAATCTTGGCTCACTGCAGCCCCTGCCTCCTGGGTTCAAGTGATTCTTGTGCCTCAGCCTCCCGAGTAGCTGGGATTATAGGTGCGTGTCACCACACGTGGCTAATTTTTGTATTTTTAGTAGAGATGGGGTTATTCCATGTTGGTTAGGCTGGTCTCAAACTCCTGACCGCAGGTGATCCTCCCACCTCAGCCTCCCAAAGTGCTGGGATTACAGGCGTGAGTCACCATGCCTGGCCTCTGGTAACTTTTTAAAGTAATGTCTAAGTAGGAACATATGATGGAGGTTTCAGTATTATGATTATCTATTTTGTAAGTCCATCAAGAGTTAGATCAAAAAGATAACTGTTCTGGAATATGGTTATCTTTTTGCCCAAAATACCAAAAAGATCCTACTGAAGCAACACATACTTGAAATTGTAACAGACCCATATAAATTCAGCTCATTAAATAAGAACAAGATTGTCTCCAACTTTACGGAAATGTTTCAACACAAAAATATCAAGGATTTAAAAATAAATAGCTCTAAGGTAGGAAAAAAAAAATCAATCCCCAACAAAAACCAACTGCAATTTAAATAAAGTGACACGAGAGCCATTAGTCACATGTAAAACATCAGACAAACTTGAAATAAGAGACACTACTATTGGCCTGTACCTCCTCAAATATGTCAGTATTATGAGGCATAAAGAGACTAAAGAGCTCTTTAAGATTAAAGAAGGCTGGAGACATACCACTGCATGAAGCACACAATGTAGGTCTTTTTTGTTTTTCTTTCCTTCTTTTTTTCTTGTTAACTATAAAGGACACTGCTGGGACAAGCAGAACCCAATAAGATCTACACATGAGGTAATACAGCATCAATGTTAATTTTCTAACTCCAGTTATTTCAAACAATGTTACTGATTTTAGGAAATATATAGTTTTTAGAGGAAAAGGGCCATAATTCCTGCAACTTACTCTCAAAGGGTACTGTGCCCCACTCCCATAAAAAGAGAGAAGGATAAAGCAAATGTGGTAAAAGGTTAACATTTAGGGAATCTAGTTGAAGGATATAAAGAACTCTCCGCTTTTCTGTGAGTTTGAAACTACATCAAAATTAATTTTTTTCTTTTCTTTTTTTTTTGAGATGGAATCTCACTCTGTCACCCAAGCTGGAGTGCAGTGACGTGATCTCAGCTCACTGCAACCCCCACCTCCCAGGTTCAAGCATTCTCCTGCCTCGGTTTCCTGAATAGCTGGGACTACAGGTGTGCACCACCATGCCCAGCTAATTTTTGTAAAAAATTAAAATTTTTTAGCACGGTGGCTCATGCCTATAATCCTGGCACTTTGGGAGGCCAAGGCAGGAGGATCGCACAAGCTCTGGAGTTTGAGACCAGCTGGGGCAATATGGTGAGATCCCATCTCTACAAAGATAAAAAAATTTTCTGGGCATGGTGATGCACATCTGTGGTCTCAGCTGCTCAGGAGGGTGAGGCTGGAGGATCACTTGAACCCAGGAGGTCAAGGCTGCAGTGAGCTGTGTTTGCACCATTGCATTCCAGCCTAGGTGACAGACTGAAATCCCTTCTCTAAAAATAAATAAATAAAAGTTTTAAGCCAATACATATATATGTATACTTACATATATACATACACACACATATATATATATATATATATATTTTTTTTTTTTGAGACAGAGTCTAACTCTGTCACCCAGGCTGGAGTGCAGTAGCACACTTTCGGCTCACTGCAACCTCAACTTCCTGGGCTCATGTCATTCTCTTACTTCAGCCTGTGGAGTAGTTGGAACTAAAGGTTCACGCCACCACGCCCAGCTAATTTTTGTAATTTTAGTAGAGATGGGGTTTTGTCATGTTGCCCAGGTCGGCCTCCAAAAGTGCGAGGATTTCAGGTGTGAGCCACTGTGCTTGGTCAAGTCAAAAAAATTTTAAAAACCCTTGGTTAACAATCAATATACAGACCGCGTAGAATAGAGGTCAGCAAACCATGGCCCCTGGGCCAAATCTGGCTCATCACTTGTTTCATACAGTGGGTGAGTTAAGAATGGTGACAAAATTGAGAACACTTTGCCTGAAAAGCCTAAAATATTTAATTTGCAGAGGAAAGTTTCCCAACCTCAGTATTAGAACTAAAAATTAAGTATACTCTGTGACTCACCTGGGCGTGGTGGCTCACGCCTGTAAAAATACCCGCACTTTGGGAGGCTGAGGCAGGTGGATCAACTGAGGTAAGGAGTTCAAGACCAGCCTGGCCAACATGGCGAAACCCTGTCTCTACTAAAAATACAAAACTTAGCTGGGCATGCTGGCGGGCACCCGTAATCCCAGCTACTCGGGAGGCTGAGGCAGGAGAATTGCTTGAACCTGGGAGGAGGGTGCAATGAGCCAAGATCACACCACTGTACTTCAGCCTGGGCATCAGAGTGAGACTCCGTCTCAAAAAAATAAAAATTAAAACAAAGTATACTCTGACTCGATAATTCCACTACTTGTTATATAACCAACTGAAACGTGTACAAGACCTAAAAGACAACAGTCACCATGTGTTTAAGTCTTGGTAGATCCTGATTTAAAAAAATAAATAAATAAAAATAAAATATAACCCCTTGGGAAATGATTAAACCATTAGAAATATGAACTGATGATGTTCAGGAATTACATAATTTGAGAATATTAAAATAAAAACTATTAAAGGTGGCTAGGTGCAGTGGCTGACACCTGTAATCCCAGCACTTTGGGAGGCCAAGGCGGGTGGACTGCTTGAGCCCAAGAGTTCAAGACCAGCCCAGGCAACATGGTGAAACCACTCCTATAGAAACACATAAATTAGCCAGGTATGGTGGTATGTTCCTGTAGTCCCAGCTACTCAGGGGGCTGAAAGGGGAGATCACTTGAGCCCGGGAGGTCAAGGCTGTGGTTAGCCGAGATCGTGCCACTGCACTCTAGCCTGGGTGACATAGCGAGATCCTATCTCAAAAACAACAACAACAACAAAAAGGTAACTGCTGATGACTTTTTAAGGTGTGACAACGAATGCTAACATGGCAATGTTTAAAGAAGATAAAGATTATTTATGAAAGATCTATACTGGATTATTTCTTGATGAAATAATATGATATCTGGAATTTGTTTCAGAATTGGAAGGAAAGTGGGAAAGAATATGTGTATGAATGAGGCAAGATTAGCCAGTCATTGGTGCTGGGGGCCTTAATGGGCCTACAGAAATTAATTATACCATTCTGTTTACTTTTGCATGTCCCTGAAACTGTCCACATTCAAGTGTTTTAAAAAACAACCAAACAGGCCGGGCGCAATGGCTCACAACTGTAATTCCAACACTTTGGGAGGCCAAGGTGGGTGGATCGCAAGGTCAGGAGTTCAAGACCAGCCTGGCCAAAATGGTGAAACCCTGTCTCTACTAAAAATGCGTGGTGGTGGGCACCTGTAAACCCAGCTACTCCAGAGGCTGAGGCAAAGAACTGCTTGAATCGGGTAGGTGGAGGTTGCAGGGAGCCAAGATCGCGCCACTGCACTCTAGCCTGGGCGACAGAGCAAGACTCTGACTCAAACAAACAAACAAACAAAAACCAAATATAGCAATATATTAAGATTTGACAAAGGTAAGCCTTGGAAACCTTGTGTTTACCATATCATTCTCTACATTGTTAAGTGCTTAAAATATTTTACTAAAAAAATACAAACATGAGCACAGAGAGGTGGTAAGGAGATAATAGAAATCATCATACCTGCCTTACAAGGATTTACAAAGATCAATCAAACAGGATATGTGAAAGCATTCTATAAATAAAACGTGCTTTGAAAGGCAAATTTTACTAATGTAATTTTCAAACCTAGGCCATGAAACAAGAATTCCAAACAAGTCAACATCCTTTAAAAACAGAGGGTCAGATAAACTCTCAAAACTGAAAACAACTCAGTATACACACGAGAAGAGATGGTTCACATTTCAGAAGACTTACTAGTATATAATATCTGTCTAGATATGGTATAACAATACACTCTGTAAACATCAAACATGTCTAAACACCTCAATCATAGCAACAACAACAACTGATTCTATCTCATCAGAGGAAAAATAATACCATTTGGCATCTCAAATTAATTTTTTTCCAAATACCGTTAACAAATAAATGATATCATGAGGTCCCAGATAAGGCATAAAATTACTCAACCCTTAAGAAACGATGACTACAGGAAGTATGTCAAAGCTGGACTTGTTAACCCAACAGAGAGGCACAAAAATATGGTCAAAACAAGCAAAACCTATCACATTAAGACACATCATAAATCCAATGTGGAAAAAAAATCCCTCATCTTAACAGAGCCTTAGTATACTAACTGGCAATATTTCCAGCACTCAGTAAGAAGTGGTCAAAGTGGTGGATGTCGTGGGCAACATTCCACACTGGGTCTACTTGGGAATACCTACTGTGATCATAACTACTCAGCTTCCACCTACAAAACTCAATGCTGAATAATGTCTCTACATTTCACGTACCTTATAATTCTGGTGTGACTCGAAGTTGGAAAGTGGAGTGTTACATGCCGTAGAGAAGGGCATGACTTTCACACCTCTATAAACAAGGCCTTTATCATAGAGTTGTTTGAAGACCCACCTGGTAAGAGATGGAGTTTCACAATTACAGAACAAAATTCTATTTCTGAAAATGCAAACATTTATGCCATTTTCTTTTTAGAGTTTCTGTCTGCCAAATAAGTGAAAAAACAATGTCTTTCATTGGGAGACTGGCTGGTAAATTATAACAGATCAATATAGTAAGACATCAGGCAGACATTAAAATGCTAATATCTACTGATATCGAATGATATTTAACACATAATGTTAAGAAAAGCAACTGGCAGGCTGGGCGCAGTGGCTCACGTCTGTAATCGTAGCACTTTGAGAGATCAAGGTGGATGGATCACCTAGGTCAGAAGTTCGAGACCACCCTGGCCAACAAGGTGAAACCCCATCTCTACTAAAAAGACAAAAATTAGCCAAGCATGGTGGCGGGCGCCTGTAATCCCAGCTACTTGGGAGGCTGAAGCAAGAGAATCGCTTGAACCTGAGAGGCGGAGGTTGCAGTGGGCCAAGACTGTGCCACTGCCCTCCAGCCTGGGCAACTGAGCGAGACTCAGTCTCAAAAAAATAAAAATAAAAGTTCTACATTCAAAAACAAACCTGTTCCCAAAGATTTTCAGAGAAATAACGATGGACTCAAAAATAAACTGATTCATGCTAGTGCATTTTTCCAATTATCAATACAACAGAATAGAATATTTACCATATTTACAATTTTAAATAAACCTACCAGACTGATTCCATGAATTGTGGATACAGAGTTTTATAGTCATTGTCAAAGTCAATCCATCGGCCAAGTCTGCTAACAGTAGACTTTAAAATATTAATATTAGAACAGTATTAGACAATGATATTTATAATTGTACATCAATGTGTGTTTATTTCTGTTGTCATCACAAATGAAAATTTTGGGAAAACAGAATAATCAATGGTACAAGTAAATCTATACTGCCAACAACATATTATGTAAGGTTAAGAACCAGTTTTCTCGGCATTCATCCTACATGCACAAAATGTTATTTACAAGTATAAATATTCACTTATAAAAGTCTACCAAAACCACCACTTGGCAAATATCACAGGCATAATTATTACTGGCAAAAACCATCCATGGATGTTAAAATTAATAAGTGAATGTATGACAAAAAAAAGAATATTTGGAAAGAATCTCCCCACAAGATACTTATTAATTACAAAGGAAAAACTACAACTTTACAAAGCAGAAAGCTGACAGCACTTTAACCAAGTGAACAAAGTTATCACCATCAATGTGACATAGCCGCAACACATGCCACCTGATATAATGCATTGAGAAGGGCATAGCATCACTTCTGTGGCATTGTCACCAAAAATGCATAACCTAAATTAAATCAGGAAACCTCACACATTGAGAGACATTATAGAAAATAGCTGTTCTGCAATCTTCAAAAGTGAGAAGGCCATGAAATACAAAGGACTAAATAAATGTTCCATACTTAAGAAGACTAAAAAGACATGACAACCAAATGCAATATGTGATTGGTCAGAAATAAAAATTAATGGGGCAACTGCTTTTGAAAATTCTATTAATATTATGGTTACCGAAGATGTTAGCAGCTGGGAAAGATGGATGAAGGATATAGGGGAACCCATCATACTACTTTTTCAATTGTTTAATAAGTCAAATTATTTCAAAATGAAAAGTTAAAAAAATTGAAAAAAGTATTTGAGAAAAAAAGAAAAGGCCTATATATCATGTTATACTTATTAGAATTTTTCCCTATTGGTGATCATGCAAGAAAGTTAGACCAATTAAGCACACAGAAGTCAGAAGAGAGATGGTTCAGTTTAAGCTAACCGTTTAAGTAATAGGGTTGAAGGTGGAAGCTAACACTTTTTCTACAAAAAATAAATTAATAAAAAAAGCACAAGGGACCATAAACCATTTCAATGCCCATTTAGTAACTACATTTGCTGTTCATTCTACTGAAAAAAACCCAACATACCTTCCACTCAGCAGAATATCTCATCACAATTGCTCGGCACTGATTGTTATACTCTGTAATCCCCATTTTGGCCACATCCTCTGGTCCTCTGATTCCCAGTGTCTTATCAATTTCATATTCCTGAAAATTTGTGATAAGACTGTTACCACGCTGCCCTATGAAAACAACTGCAACTATGCAACTCTAGAAAACAAAACAAATCAAACTACAAATATTATAGAAATGAACTAGAAGGTCTGACAGTCAACGTTCATCATACTTGAACATATTATATGACAAAATCTAATGCTTATAAAAAAAATCAGAAAATTATAAAGCTGGATACTCAAACATACCACAGGTAAGCCATGGCAATCCCATCCAAATCTTCTGTCAACATGAAACCCACTCTGGTGAGCATATCTTGTAACTATATCTTTAATTGTACCCGCAAGTATATGTCCATAGTGAGGCAGTCCAGTTGCAAAAGGAGGACCATCATAGAAGGTAAATCTAACAGGTAATAAAAATATATCAAGCCATTTAAAAACAGCCAAAATTTAAGGCATTTTTCTATAGATAGCTCTTGTCATAGTGGAGTCTTCAAGGAGAAAAGCAGCAAGATCAGGAAACCGACAGACATAATTGATTTGATATTTACTGGTGGTCCTGCCTTCAGAAAGGCTACAATTGTGGTAGAGCTACAGAGACCTCCATTTGATTATCCATTTTTCATTTATTAGTTCCATGACATAAGGCAAATTATTTATCCTGATCTTGAGTTATCTCATCAGTAAAATAGGGCAATAAACCCCTATCTCATAGTTTTTGACCAGAGGAGACATATAATGAAAACACTGATTAAAGGACTAGTCTTTTAGGTGAATGAGGACTAAAGGCAGGTAGTACTAT
This sequence comes from Homo sapiens, assembly GCF_000001405.40. Classification (NCBI taxonomy): domain Eukaryota; kingdom Metazoa; phylum Chordata; class Mammalia; order Primates; family Hominidae; genus Homo; species Homo sapiens. Next base: position 123,411 of record NW_025791788.1, read on the forward strand.
AGTAGCCTTCTATGGGGTACTTAGGTATAAGTGCCTAAACGAGGGTGGTGATGAAAATAAAGGTGGAAAGAGGGTGACACGGAGGATGACACATAAATTTTACTCAGATGACCTTTTAAAGAAACAAAATTTACCCCAATAATTGAGAACTCATTCATTCAATGTATATCTACTACTGAGTACCCACTACATAGGGAGCTGGGGGATTCTGGGAATAGAAAGATTAATAAAGAGTATCTGCTTTAGGCCGCGCGTGATGGCTCACACTTGTAATCCCAGCACTTTGAGAGGCCGAGGTGGGTGGATCACTTGAGGTCAGGAGTCCGAGACCAGCCTGGGCAACATGGTGAAACCCCGTCTCTACTAAAACACAAGAATTAGCTGGTGTGATGGCGGGCACCTGTAATCCCAGCTACTCGGGAGGCTGAGGCAGGAGAATCACTTGCATCCGGGAGGCAGAGGTAGCAGTGAGCAGAGATTGCACCACTGCCCTCCAGCCTGGATGACAGTGCGAGACTCCATCTCAAAAAAAAAAAAAAAAAAAAAGTATCTGCTTTAATGGAATTCAGTCTAAGAAATGACTATTCTTAAGGGAACTTAACCTAAAAAATTCACATACTTTGGTTTATGTTTTGATTGCTTTAAGCATTCCTGAAAACAATTAAATTCAGTCCAAAACTCCAAGATTTTCTCTTCTTCAGCAGGAAAATTTATGTTTTCTGGAACTTGTTGAAGCATTTTGTTGCTGCAAAAGAAATCAAATTTATTACTGTCAAAAGAGAAATCTAGGAATAACAGAGTACCATATTATTAACATGGGTGTACATGACACTATCCATACTTTTAAAAAATTACAGCTTTATTGATGTACAATTTACATAGTGTAATGTAAAAAGTGTACAATTCAGTGGCTTTTTAGTATATTTACAAGGTAGTATAACTAGTAATACCTAATTTCAAAACGTTTTCAACCTCCCCTCCCCACCAAAACACCCCAAAACCATTAGCAGTCACTCCCCATTCTTTCTTCTCCATAGCCAGTGGCAACGATTTATCTTCTTTCTGTCCCTGCAGATTTACCTATTCTGGACATTTCATATAAATGGGAAAATTTATAGGAATCATCTATATGTGGCCTATTGCATCTGGTTTCCTTTCTCTAGCATGTTTTCAAGGCTCATCCATGATGTAATATGTATTCATACTTCATTACTTTTGATAGCTGAATAGTATTCCATTTCATGAATATGCCACATTTTGTTTATCCATTCATCATTTCTTGGATACCTGTATTGTTTCCACTTTTTGGTTATTACGAATAACGCTGCTATGAACATTCACATACAAAATTTTGTGTGGATCTATGTTTTCATTTCTCTTGGGTTTGTAGCTAGAAGTAGAATTTCTGGGTCACATGATAATTCTGTATTTAACTTTTTGAGAAAATGCCAAAATTTTTCCAAAGTGACTGTACTATTTTACATTCCCTCAGCAGTGAATGAGGATTCTAATTTCTTCAGATCTTACCCAACACATCTTATTGTCCATCTTTGAATTACAGTCATTCTAGGAGATGTTAAGTAGTATCTTGTGGTTTTGATTTGCATTTCCCTAAGGACTAATGATGCTGAGCATCTTTCCACATGCTTATTGGCCATTTGCGTATCCACGTTGGATAGATATTTATCCTTTGCCTATTTTCTAATTGGGCTCTTTTTGTGGTTGGGTTTTAAGGGTTATGTATACATCCTGGATACAAATCCTTTATCAGATATATGATTTATAAAAAATTTCTCCTGTTCTGTGGGCCGTCTTTTTATTTTCTTGATGGCATTTTTTGAAGCACAAAGATTTTTCATTTTAATGATGCCCAATTTGTCAATTTTTGGTTTTGCTGCTTGAGCTTTTGGTGTCATCAATAAACCATTACCTAAACAAGGTTATAGATTTTTCGCTTACATTTAGGCCACAAATAATTTTATTTTCGTATATGGTGTGAGGGAGGGGTACATGGCTATTATTTAATATTCAGTAATGGTAGAGACAATGTTTCCAAAAGTAAGCAGGAAAATCTTGGAAATTCTATCTAGTGGTGCAAAAAACTCATTAATAATCTGAAGAAAAATATCTCAAAGTAGTTAAGAATTTTCTTACCTACACTCACATGACAGAAATCAGTTCTCTTGAAGTAACTTCATCTTCTCTTTGAGGAAAACTGGTAAAACTTAAAAAATCTTAAAGCTAAAAAGATGAGAATCTCACATTCAAATATAGATTCCAGTTTTCCATTTTACCCTTTTTATTGCTTATTCATGATTTTTATGAAGGATGAGCCCTATACCTTTCTGGTTTAGTCCCTAATGAGAGAAGTCTTAAAGTGTCTTTTTAAATGTTTTGCTAATAACCTCATGCAGAGATACTTGATCAATCTATGACTTAAGTATCTAGTGAGCCACCCTTGAGACCTTTCCTTCTCAAAGTCTATTTATATTTACTTAACAATTCTAACAAGGTGGGTGACGAGCTTTCCAAGTCAGTATCAGATCAGAAGGGGATAAAATTGCTAATAAGGGAACAACAGAGAAGATAAAAAATCTTAAGTACTCAAGAACCACAACAGACCAGGGTAATCAACTCTACAGGAAAAGACACCTACATACCTCAAACAGTTTTGAAAGCATCAAAAGCATCATAGTCTAATCAAGTTATTGATTCAAGTTATCATTTAAAAAAAAGTCTGTGACAAGTAGTATCTTTCATTTTCTTTTACCCTCATTAATTTTTCAGATGTGTGAGTGCCTCTGAGTTTAATTTAAGAAAAAACAGGACAAGAACAGTTGGGCTGTTTAACTAACTGAAATAGCTATTTCTGATCACAGTATGCCATTAAAAGGTATTAAACAGAAGGTTTAAGGCATTTTAGATCTTCAACTCTTATTATAACCTCTAGCCTTTCAAGGACCAAAATAAGTGTTTGTGCATTTACTGATTTATTTAGGTTCATTGTGTACCTTATCAGAGGCCAACTGAAACTTATGGGATTGTTATCTGAAGACTAACAGACCTTTAGATACCAACACATTCTAATCTCTTCAAGGCTGGTCCTACTATGGCCCACATCTATGGGAGCTTATTAGAGATGCAGACTTACCAGCCTCACCTCGCACCTACGAGTCAGAACCTGCATTTTAACAAGATCCCTAGGGGATGAGCATTCACATCAAAGTCTGAACATCACCACTCTTGCACTGTTCTAACAATTATTCAGGAATATCTATCTGAATTTTTATTTTTGAGAAAATAAGATTTAAGCTTTCTGAGAAGAGGATCATTCCTTTTTTTTTTTTTTTTTTGAGACAGTGGCTCACTCTGTCACCTAGGCTGGAGTGCAGTGGCACAATCATGGCTCACTGCAGCCTTGACCTCCCTGGGTTCAGGTGTTCCTCCCAGTTTAGCCCGCCAAGTAGCTAGGACTACAGGTGTGCACCACCACACTCAGCTTTTTTTTTTTTTTTTTTTGGTGGGGAGGGGGTGGTTTGTAGAGACAGGGTTTTGCCATGTTGCCCTGGCTGGTCTTCAACTCCTAGGCTAAAGCGATCCTCTTGCCCTGGGCTCCCAAAGGGCTGGGATTACAGGCATGAGCCACTATGCCTGGCCAGCTCATTCAGCTTTTACTGTGTTTTTTAGGGAGTCTCTACTTTCCCCAAAGATTAAGAATCACTGCATTATTACGTCAAGCATAAACACTCAGTATAACAGCATTGACTATTCAGGAAGAATCATGTACCAGCGACCGGGCTATGGCAGCTGCTGAGGAGAAGCAGCCTCCATGCATAAATCACAGGATTGCTATGGCCCATCGAATCCACTGGAGAGCTGTCCATGCACAACAGCATCCAGCAACCACAGGGCAGGGACAGAGCAGGTTAACCTTGCACAACAACCTTGTTGTGCAGAGGGATGCCATCCCCTTTGCTTCCCTCTTATTATAATCCAGGCCCTTGACTCTTCGCTGCTCCACAACTCCTTCAGGTCACCTTAACCTCAACTTCCCGTTCAGCAATTTCGAGACCACCCTCCCTGATATTAACTACATATTATTCACATTACTTCATATTATTTTGCCTCAATATATTTTAGAAACGCACACTAAAACCATGTTTTGTTTAAAATTTCATAATTCCTTCCAGAATTGCTTCCCTTTTAAACTACTGTATTAGTGGTTCCAATATTCTTCCCATTACTTAGGCATGACATTTTTGAGTCACCCCTGACACTACTCAGAAGATACACACAACCAATTAATCATCAAGTCATGTGGATCCTACCTATAAGCCTATTTCTGTTCCCCCTTTTCATTCTCCTCTAAATCCATTTCTGTTTCTCCTTTTATTCTCAGGTCTTCATAATCTATTAAGTCAAATGTAACCTGAAAGTGGGACCGTCTCAAACGTTTCCTCAATTTAGTTATATCCTATTAACATAGACTCCACAGGTATACTCATGCAAATGTACAAAATGTGTATACAATGACATTCACCGAATAATTGTTTCTCCAGGCAAATAACTGAAAACAATCTAAATATTCATGGTGACTGAAGTAAATTACGGTACATCAATAAAATAAGTATCTCGCAGCCATTGAAGGTAATAAATTAAGACATATAAAAATACGTATTGCCTATACATAAAGTCACAGCTATATCAATTTATACTATGTATATCATTTTAAAAAGATTTTACTCATTTCAAACACTACCTCATTCAAAAAGGCGACCATAAATTCCTGAGGCTGGAAACGAACGAACGGCAAGCCCCGAAGAAACACGCTCTTTTAAAAATTAAATCTTGTGCTACTGTTTCGGGGTTGTAACGCGTGCGTGACCCTCGTCTTTGAGGGCCGGATCCTGCAGGGAAGAGAGGGCGTACCTGAGGGGCCTCGCGTGCCTGGACAGCCCCGCGGGCCAGCAAGCCTAAAAGCAACTCATCCGGCGTCCACGCTGCAACCGGGCGCACGGAGGTGATGCAACGCGCTGAAAATGCGGGATCCAGTGAAGGAGACAGGCTCCGCACCGGCCAATCAGTGCGCGCTGCCTGACACCTGCCAACAAGCCAGGCGCCGATTGGTCGCGCCGGACATGATTGCGCCCACTGGCTCGGATGGTGCGACAGTGGTGCTTGCTGGTTTTGCGCCTCCACGTGGAAAACGAACCAGCGCTGAGGGCGGCGCTGTGCGTGCTGCTTGTATCCGTTGCAGTAGTGTAGACCGAGGTCTCACTCGGGTTGTGGGCACCTCCGGGTAGGTGACGGCCCACTGGGAAGGGGCGCCGAGGTCGGGGCTCATGTTCTTCATCTTGTTTGCTTTTGTCAGTATTTATCTGACTGGACACTTCGTACCTAAATTGATAACGACAAACAGCAACTTCCGGAGAGGTGGCTTTAATAATTATACTTTTGGGCCCTGAGCCGCCGACCCCAAAGCCGCTTCTCCTATCATAAATGGCTACGTGAAACGATAATAACAAAAGGGAAGGAAGGGTCTGACAACCAGATTTAAAAGTTTTATTGTATTTTACTTAAAATGTTTCCGGTAATGAAAACATTGCACAAACGATTTTTTTTTCTTTTTTTGAGAAGCGGTCTCATTCTGTCGCCCAGGCTGGAGTGCAGTGGCACGGTCATGGCTCACTGCAGCCTCAACCTCCCCGGATCAGATGATCCTCGCACCTCATCCCTGGCCAAGTAGCTGGGACTACAGGCTAGCGCCACCACGCCCGGCTAATTTTTGTATTTTCTGTAGCAACGGGGTCTTGCTATGTTGCCTAGGCTGCTGTCAAACTCGTGGGCTCAAGCGATCTGCTTGCCTTAGCCTCCTTAACTGTTGGGATTACAGGCATGAGCCACTGCACCCGGCCTGCATACTTATTATCATTGCTATGAGTCGGCTTGGTACCTTACTGATCTGCTGGTTAAAATCTGGAGCCTTGCAAAGGGCAGTAGGCCTCGGGCTTTGGCCCCAGAGCCTCTAAAGGAAATTCTGGATCTTGCCAAATTGGGAGTAGTTCCGTAGCTGCCTATTGTATCCGTTAGAGGGATATAAAAAATTTATCTGGCCTAGAATAGGTAGAATGCAGTTTCTTATTAAGTTTAGGAACATTTTGATAGTCTGTTCAGCATATATTTAACTTTACTTACCGTCTTGGCCCTGTGTGAAGGATTAAAGTGGTTTCATGTCCTCCATCATGGGTAACTCAGTGTTCTGACTATACTCACATAACGTACATAATTTAATAGCTGCAAATCTTGTTAATTAACTGAAAGTATTTGGAATGTGTTTGAAGTTTTCACATTCCTCACGTTGCCACCTTGTTCAGTTCATTTTTGTCACCTATCCAGAGAGCCCAGATAGAGCCAGACAGAGGGCTCCTGGACAAAGGTGAGGTAGGCCAAGTCTAATTATTTAAAAATTTGATTGAGAAACATTTATATTAATAGTACTGTTGTGTTGGAAATAATGCTCAAAATCCTAAGGAAATTGAACATTCAAACAAAGGATTTTCAGCAAAGCAATTTTACTTCTGCGCAGAGGGGTGCTTCTCCTTGGCCAGTCACCATGAGAGCACACCAGAACAAAGGGGCACGAGAACCTTTATCCCTGACACAAACCCTGCCCCTGTACCCTTTCTCCATTGGCCGGAGTTGGGCCTCACAATCTAAAATAACCACAGTTGGCTAAACATTTTAACTTTCTTTAGATAAGGTGGGCACGTAAGAGAGAGGGGAAAGGGGGAAGGGCTGTCTGTAATGAGCTAGAGAGCTAGTCTTCTCTTCGGATAAGGAATACGAGCTGGTACTGATAACGCCTGGTACTGTGGCCTGTCTAGGCATGTAACAAAGGCAGAAAGGAAAGAGGAGAAAAAGGGAAGAGGGGGGCACTGTGAATTAAAGAATAAAGGATTGATCAGGCTATTTGAAGAGAAACCTCATCATGTCCCACAGTTGGAAGGTATGGGAAGACTAAGTCTAGAAAAAGTTAAGCAAATGAAAAAATTCCAGCAAAAAAGTTAACTGTAGTCAAAATATATTACTTGGACTGAAGAGGTGAATAATTTTTTCACCTTTTCAGAATATGTAGTGTCTGGAAGTGAAAAACCAAGAAATCAGAGCATAAGCATGTTAGGTAGAAACATGGAGGTAAATACTAGAGAAATTAAATTGCTGAAGGTGGTTTCATCTGGGGAGCAGGAACTGGGGGGTGGGCAAGGCTACTTGATGTTACTTATTTGTCTGCTTGTGAAACATGTGCCGGATTTAAATTACGGCCACACATTCTGACACTCCTCCCACTAAGAAGTGAGGATCTGTGTCCCCTCCCTTTCAGTCTGGTTGGGCTGTGTGTCAGTTTAAACCTGTAGAATACAGTGAAGTGACTGAGCCGGTTTCTGGGCCAGGCCTTAAGAGACAGGCAGCATCTGCTTCCTGCCTCTGAGAACACTTGCTCCTAGAGCTTTTTTGCTATGCTGTAAGGAAGCCCATGAACAGGCACTGAGTGGGCCATCTTAGAAACAGATCCCGTAGCCCTAGCTGAACCACCCCAGTGAAAGCACACAGCACAGATCAGCAGTCCCTAGTGAGTGTTGACCAAATTGCAGTATTTGTGCATAAAATAAATGATTGTTACTGAGATGATTTGCTATGCAGCAATAGAAAATAAGGTACAAATGTGATCTACATCAAGAGAAGGTAGAAAGTGTGAATTATTTATCCTGCTGCTTAGTTGTCCACACTCTCCTTGAAGTCTGAAGTTTTGGAAACCTAGGAATCCAGAATTACTCTTCAAGTTATTTAGTTCCTTGGACCCTTACTAAAAAAACATAGAGCATAAGCCCTAGGGTCATAATGGTTAACACACCAGATGAAATCCCAACAGTTAAGAGTTTATATTCAGCATAGGTAAATCAATAAATACTAATTTTAGGTACACACATCATGGCTTAATGATAGTCCCTTGGAACTATATAATACTATTTCTTTTTTTTTTTTTTTTTAAGATGGAGTCTCACTCTGTTACCCAGGCTGGAGTGCAGCAACATGATCTCAGCACTGCAACCTCTGCCTCCTGGGTTCAAGTGATTCTCCTGTATCAGCCTCCCTAGCAGCTGGGATTACAGGTGTGAGCCACCACACCCAGCTAATTTTTGCATTTTTAGTAGAGATGGGGTTTCACCATGTTGGCCAGGCTGGTCTTGAAATCCTGACCTCCTCATGATCCGCCCGCCTTGGCCTCCCAAAGTACTGAGATTACAGGTGTGCGCCATCACGCCCGGCCTATGTAATACTATTTCATACAGAGCCCATTTTGATAGGAGACGTATGTCTTGAAATCTAGGCAGGTTGGTTTATTTAATGTAATGTTAAATCTGTTTCCCTATTTGGGCTCAGGGTCCTGACTCCTAATTGTGACTACCTATCTTTCAGGCACTTGGTATTTTTCATAAGCTTTTAGTCTAACTAGAATTTTGGGATTGGTGTACATCTAGATGTTGTTCCTTAATTCCTAGAGGCAATGACAAGATAACTGTATTTGGCTTCCTCTCCTGGTCCTCACAGAACTCTTATATGATGTTGGTCTGAAATGTCCTATATTTCAGTTAACCATTCACCAAAACACAAGTATAAAACTCAATGTTGACTTGTAATTTATCAGTTTAAACAAAAATGACAAAATGGAAGGTGTATTTGACATAATCAGAAATAAAATTTCAAATAGCCTATAATTCACACAAAGCCTAGGCTGGAAAATACAAGTGCTTTGACTCATTTATTTAAAAAGGCTTCATATAAACCTTGCATGAGAAGATGTCCATTAGTTACTCAGGATAGAGGGCAAAGAGATTATATACAAAAAGTATTTTCAAGGACTATCTTGTTCTTCCTTTATAAGAAGTTGAATTTAATTTTTGAAGTAATTACTTAGGAAGAAATGCAGAGGAGTTCCACAGAAAAAGATGGCAACCAGAATGATATTCCGTCAGCCAGATTTTTAAAATTCCTTCACTCTGAAATTTCTTCTTTGTCAGCTAAAACTGTTTTCTGGGTCAGTTTCCTTAGGTGAGCCTTGTTCACATTCAGTATCAAAACCAGCTGACATTTATTATTTTGGTTTCATTTTCCTTTTTGCGTCTTTATGTTTCTTTCGACAATCCTAGGAAAAAAAAAAGACTTGGTTAGCAATAAACAAATTGTTTTTAAGATGTTCAGTAGATAGAAGTAAAACAGGTTATTCTCACTGTCAGGGCTGTGGAAACCTATTTTGAAAGTGCTCTTTTGAAATGAAGAGGGGATATTGGCATTTTTGGCATTAACTGTTTATAATGGGAACTATAATTCAGTCTTTAAAAATCTGATGCTTTCGTGTTACTTAATAGGCTTGGCTGGATTCTGAGACCAGTCACTCAATTGAGCCAGTCTGCAGTCTCCTCACCTATACCATTCATGAGTTCCCTTCCAGGACTGTAATTCTAGATAGGTAACATGTCTATTTTAGGAAATAATATGGAGAAACAATTACTCACCATACGCAGGTTGGTTGTTCTGGCCTCCCAAGAGTTCCTGCTCATATTACTTCCTACTCCTCTCCAGAATAAGTCAGAACCTATTAGGGGAAAAAGAAGAAAGATGAGGCAGCAAACTACTACTAAAATTGGTAATATTCTAAGTGTTGGCATTATCAAGGTCTCGAATACCAGTTAAGATCATTCTTTTCCCTCAGTTTCTACCTATTTTCAAAAATTAGTATTTTTTCTTTCCAAATGAAAAATATAATATTGCTTTTACTGTTTATATATATCATTTACTATTATGTAACTTTGTTTATGCTAGGCTTTAAGAAATGAGCTCCCCAACAGCCTGAGTTTTCACATGGAATTTATGGCACTAAAACTTAGGGGTTTTATATGTCTAACATCTAAGGAAGCCCTTGGAACAAAACAACCCTTTGTTGATGAGAATGAGCGGGCAAAGAAAGTGGTGAGTGGGGAGCTCTCAGACCTTGACAGCTTTACAAGTTAACATTCATCAGTGTGAACAAATGGGGTTAAACCACATGACATTACCAACGGTCAAAATTCCTGGATGTGAATTACTGTAGCTGTATTATTACCTGTTCTATGTATGTAATTTGATGAAAAAAATGGACTGACCTTGAAGTCGTTCATCATTCTTAGAGAAAAAGAAAAATCTAGTGGTCTCTTTCTCAAGTAATGATGCTTCTCTGAAAAGAAAGGGACAAAGGAGAGAGAAAAATAGGTATTGGTTGGTTTAATTTCAATATTTAAGAAGAAATATTTACATTCAAAACATAAATACACTATTTCTTAAATATATCTTTTTTCATTTCCCCCTAGAATCCAGGTGAGCGAGACTCTTAAATATATCTGCTTTGTATTTTGTGCATTTTGCCCTGAGTTAAAACAACCCTCCCTCTAACATTCTTCTATCTGAAGCTTTGATAATGAAGACTTGTTTAAGTAGAACCTCTATCTTTCCTGTGTTGGTTGCTGATACTCTCACTCCCACCATTGCTACCCCATTTGCCAGTGCCTCCCATGGGTAGGCACCCAGTCAACTGCAACATCCTGTTTCCAGACCAGTGACTTCACTGTCAGGCCACCTTCCCTTTTCTATGCACAAACTATCTTCCCCTTAGTGCTATCCAAATCTCATGGAAAAGGAAACACACTCTCCATTATAAAAAGGCTAGAGAACACTCTAAAGAAACTGAGATGTCCAGGCTCAGTGGCAGGGCGCCTGTAATCCTAGCACTTTGGGAGGCCAAGGTGGGCAGATTACTTGAGGTCAGGAGTTCGAAACCAGCCTGGCCAACATGGTGAAACCTCGCCTCTACTAAAAATACAAAAATTAGCCAGGTGTGGTTGGCACGTGCCTGTAATCCCAGCTACTTGGGAGGCTGGGACAGGAGAATTGCTTGAATCTGGGAGGCGGAGGTTGCAGTGAGCTGAGATCATGCCATTGCACTACAGCCTGGGCGACAGAGCAACACTCCGTCTCAAAAAAAAAAAATAAAATAAAAAAAGAAGCTAAGACAATTTAGTTGTCATGTGAAGAGAAGCTAAAATATTTCTAAAGTATGTCTAATTCAGATTTTACAAATTATGAACTATGCCTGCAAAGAAACAAATTGTTTACCCAGGACTGGAGTTTCTGTGATCTGTTTCTTCAGTAACATCTTCCTCTTCTGAACTGCTGTCTTGTAAACGAGGGTCTTCCTGCCAGACAATCTTTCCAGGTTTCACTGTTTCAACTCTGTAGGTCTCTATATCGTTATGACAACAAAAGATGATGGGATTGTAACTCCACAGCCAAGTATTTCTGAACACATTCATTTGATTACTTTTACCACGTAGACATATCTAAAGTTCCAATATGTTAATCATTAATTTAAAATAGTATCAAAAAAATAGGTAGTATCATCTTTTTAGATTTTTCAAATATTTTCAGAAGCCACTATCATAATTTTGGCATTGCTAGAATGATCTGATAAGGACAGCAGTAATATAAAAAAGGTTTAAAAAATAAAGGTTTATAAATGAGCTATATAATTTTTAAAAATGACACCTAAAATAACCATGGCATCTGTGCTTGCATGAGAAGCCTAAAATATAATAGGATACAGGGAAATCAGGTTTCCCTCTTGTCTATTTATAAATGAGAAAAGGAATATATCTTTACATTTTCAATACCCAAAACTTTTTGCTAGAACTGCTGGAAAAACTACTGCTATAAGATCAGGACAATCACCTCACAAGTCTTCAAAATTTCCCAAGTACTTAAAAAACATCTTTCAAGTTGCTGATGTCTTTAGGACTCGTTTCAAGGTCAATTTCTCACGTTTTGCTCTCAAAGTTAGAAAAACTATCGTTACTATTTACATCATGCCAACTCTACTCAACAGTTTATATAGACAAGAAAATGAAGTCTTATTTGCAATACTTTTTGAACAACTACTAGATTGTTATACTTCCTTTTAAAGTACCACGGAGTTGGTATTATCTGCTAGTGAACCGAGATTGCACCACTGCACTCCAGCCTGGGTGACAGAGACTCTGTCTCCAAAAAAAAAAAAAAAATTATTTTAATCTACCAAACACATGTATGCTATTTTAACTGCTGATCTTTAAAGTAGAATCATTGTAGTTAGGTATGTGTGTATTCTTCTGTATAGGTATTACCTGCTTTTACAGTGGGAACTTCCAGAAAGCTGGAACCCTGGGTGAGGAACAGGTCAGGTGTTTTTTAACCTGTGGCCCATGTTGGCCTTTAGAGGTAAGCCTCTTGAAATGAAATGCAAAACTGTATGTACTAGTGTTTATACTTCTCTCTAGGTTCTGGCAAATCTTCAAGGATAAACTGTGCAATAACTGGCATATTGATGACATGGCATATTTGTGTAAAACCAAGGTTACCTATATCTTCTTTTATCTTATATATAGCACTAGTTTTCCATAAGTCATAGCATCTTCAGCTTCATTTAAGATACAAAGCTCTTTATGTGATTTACTATACTTCTTCATGACGTTTTACTTAACAGAAAAGATGCTGTACATTATTCTCTGGCTTCCCTTCATATGGCAGCTAGTAGAGATTTGCTTCCTTAAATGCAAAAATAGTTTCTTTCACAGCTTCAGGAACATCGTGTTTATGCTCCTGTGACACTAAATCTCAAATCTTCTAGGTAGAAGAAAGAGTCCTTTCTTCAGCTAACATGAAATCTGTTACACTTAATGCAGATTCAATCAATTAAGTTCAAACTGAATAAAATAAAAAAGTATGGGAAAAAAGAAAAGTACCTTCCTTTATGTCTTTAGTGTCTGAATCAAAAAAAGAGAACGTGAACCCGCTGGGCTGCTCAGCGTCACTGGTCAGAGCTGCAGGGTCCTGGATTTCCTCAGGTTTCTCTTTACCACAGTCCTCATTCCAGGGTGTGCCCTCTTCCTTTTCACTGGTATATTTTGTAGTTTGGAATATTTCTTTCAGATCCATAGCAATATTATAATACATTTCTTTAGACACCTCAGGTAGTTTCTCAGCTTCCTCCCTTTTCTTTTTTCGTTTTGCTTTACTGAAATGACATATGTAGACATGTGCATCACAAAGAAACAAGTTTTGGGAAATTTCCAGAAATCAAGAAAAGAAAAAATCTTGGACAACTTTAATTCTATCCTATCAACAACCAGAATATAAAACTCTACTTATAAATAGAGAAATAAAATAAGTAAAACTCTACATATAGAACTCTACTAATAGAAGCAAAATCTTGATCAATAAGCTTTTTTTACACAAATCTCAAACAGCTGCATGAATCATATTCTATCATTCTCTGAACTACATTTCAGAAATTATGCCTAAACTATACACCTAGGTATAAGTAAGGAAATCACTTAGCTTCACTAGGCCTCAGTTTTCTCATAGGCAAAATGAAAACTGTAAGCCACATGACTTCTAAGATACTGGGAATTTTACCAGTAACTGGTAAAATTGTAAATCAGTTGTAGAAATTAATTATAAATATGTATAGTGTCTTTTGAAATGAAATTTTTATATTACCATAAATCTGCTCTGTATTTAGGAATGAATATGCTTTTCTCTTTGATCTGGGACAAAAAGTTACTTGGCAGTTTCCAATACTGAATTTTGAGCTAAGAAAATATTAAAATCCTTTTTCCTCGAAGACCAGGCCAAAGTTTGTAATGTACTACGTAAAATAATAAGTGAACAGGATATCCTAAATAACCATTCTTAGTGGTAGAGACCATATCAAAGAGAGAAACTTTTAGTATTTCGGTAAATAAACCAACCTCGTTAGGTTTTAAGACAGATATGCCTCTTAGGAAACCAAGCTCTATAAAAAATGGTAGGCAGTTCCAAGTGATTATCATTTAACCACCATGTGGTGGCTTTAAAATTTGTCCAAAAACTCTTTGTTACTTCTTCCTTCAAGGGGTGGAAGTTAATTCCCTCATCCCTTGAGTGTGAGCTGGACTTAGTGACTCTTTTAATGGACAGAGTAAGCCAAATGGGATGACATATAACTTCTGAGACTAAGATCACAGCAAAAGCTAGAAGGACCTTGAAAAAACTGTTAGTAGAAACCATATGGTCTTTGAGAAGGTTGCAGGTAAGGGCTTAAGAGAAAAATAAGGTAAATCCTATTGGAAACTGGAGAAGAGGGAATCCTTGTTACATGGTGGTAGAAAGTTTAGCAACACTGTCAACTGCATTGTGTGTACTGTGGAAAATGGAAAATGTACCTAATTAGCTGGGTGATCTAGCTAAGGAGATGTCCAGCGAAGTGTTAAAGGTATATTCTGGTTTCATCCTACTGATTACAGTGAAATAAGAGAGGAGAGAATGAAACTAAAGGGAGGAATTTTTTTTTTTAAAGGGAGCCAGGAATTCATGGTTTTGAAGACTCCTAATCTCCAGAAGGCAAATGACATGAAATTTAAGAAAGGGCTTCTAAGCAAAGATCAACTCTATGACAGCCTCAGAAAAACATGGTCTAAAGAAGGGGTTGGCAAACTATAGTCCATGGGCCAAGTCCAGGCTACTGCCTACTTATGTCTGAACTGCAAGTTAAGGAATTTTTTTTATCATTTGAAATGATAGGGGGAAAAACAAACATCATTTCATGAAAAAATTATATGAAATGAAAATTTCAGTGTCCTTTAATAGTTTTATCGGCACACAGCCTTGCTCATTTGTTTACATATTGTCTATGGCTGCTTTTCTTTTACAAAGGTAGAGTGGAGTCATCACAGCAGAGATGGTCTGGCCTGCAAAGTCTTATCTATTTACTATCTTGCCTGTCACAGAAAAAGTTATAGACCTCGGTCTAAAAATAAAACAAAATTCTTTGTTAAGACCCTAAAAAGAGATAAGAAGCTTCCAACTGTTACCCAGGAACAGTGGTGCACACCTGTATTTCCAGCTATGTGGGAGGCTGAGGTGGGAGGACCACTTGAGCCCAGGAGTTCAAGGCTACAGTGAGCTATGATTGTGCCACTGCAGTCCAGCCAGGTGACAGAGCAAGACCCTGTCTCTAAGATTATACAAAAAAGAAAATAAACTTCAATTGTTCAAACAATAGGGCTTCTATGGAGGTTAGAGGCATTATCTCTCAGCAGTTTCAGTAGAAGCCCAGGGTTAAAAAAACAACAAAAAAGGCTTATCTCAAAATGATTTGTGTGACTTTCATCTAACAGAGTGAATTCCAAGAAGATTCACAGATAACTTATGAAGATTTTAAGAGAATTATATTATCAGAAATACCACTAGACTGGACTGGTAGGTACAGGAACATTTCAAAATGAACAGGCTTTTGGACTCCCAAATTTCTATAAGCAAAAAGCAGGTTGAAAAAACTACTCAGCTGTAAACCTGTGCCAGCACTTATGAAAAGAGAAGGATGATCCAGAAAGCCAAGTCAACGGTCAGGAAGAATTATTCCTAGGCCCTCAGTCCTAATCAAAGACCTTCCAACATTTGTCTGTCTAGATTTCAGAGTTACTATGGACATGTGACTCCTTTGTGCCTGTTTTCTTTCATTGAACAGTACCTATAGTGGTTATCCAATGCCTGTTCCACCGCTCTATATTGGAGGAAGGGTAGATAACTTGCTTTTTTAGTTCATAGGTCTTATCAAACAGAACTGCACTCAAGGTACTGTACTCAAGGAATAACAGAGAAGCCTCATCTGTACTTAGATCTGATCTGAATGATGACATCCTGGATTTTGAGCTGATGTAAAGGGATGAGACTTCTTAGGGGTATAGGGAGGGGGTAAACATATCCTATTTGTTCAATACGGATTATCTGAAATAACACACATATATCCTACATTGGAGGGAATATTAATATTCTACTTTAGTCTAAAATGTGATTCTTTTTAAAAGAATAATTTTGGAACAATTTTAGGTTTACAGAAAGTAACGAAAATAGTAGAGTTCCTAAATAGCCTTCACTTTGTTTTCCCTAATGTAATTATGTGTGTATGTAACTAGGATATAATTGTCAAAATTAGAAGATTAACATTGGTAGATTACCACTAACTAAACTCAGACATTGTTTTGATTTCACTAGTTTCTCCACAAATTGTCCTGTTGTTTCAAGATTCAATTCAGGATACCACACTGCCTTTTGTGATTTTCGTGGCTATTAGCAGTTGGAAAATGAAGGATTTAAACCAAGCTGCTACTGGTTGCTCCATATATTTGCCATGTTTATCCAACTGACTGCACATCTATAGGAAACAGAAGCTCCTACCACACTAGATGGTTGAATGGTTGCCCCCCAAAAGCTATGTCCATGTCCTAATTCCTGAAACCTGTGAATGTTAACATTATTTAGATAAGGGGTCTTGCAGAGATATTAAGTTAAGGGTCCTAGGATGAGGAGCCCATCCAGGATTATCCAAGTGGGCCCTGAATGCTATCACAAGTGTCCTTATAAGAGGCACAAAGAGGAGAGACAGAAAAGAAGAGGCCATGTGAAGATAGAGGCAGAAATGGGAGTAATGTAGTCTCAAGCCAAGGAACACCAAAGGATTGGTGGCAGTCACTAGAAACTAGGAGAGGCATAAAACAGCTTTGTTTCCCTGAACCTCTAGAAGGAACATAACCTGTTCACTATCTTAATTTGGGACTTCTAGGTTCCAGAACTGTAAAGAAATAATTTTTGTGATTTTAAGTAACTAAGTTTGTGGTAGCTACAGAAGACACAAGAAACTAGTACAAATAAAAGGCATCATTTATACAAATAAAAGGTATAAATGATAGGAGTACATATCATTTATAGATTCCTCTGTTAAAAGGTAAGACCTCCTCCACCACATCAATAATTCCTTTCTAACTCTACCTGCACTACCCCTACCCCACCAATCTTAATACAGTGGGACCAATGAGTAGGATATTGGTTCCTACCTACATTTTTAATTGTCTGAAATGAGATTAATTTACATGATCCTATTGCTAAAAGAAGTAGCTCTACTTACCTTTCTTTTGGCTTATCATCTCTTTTTCTTTCGTAAGTGGCATGGTCTTGCTTCGTTGGATCATAATGTATGATGTCCCTATGTAAAAAAAGGAAGGGAGGTTGGAAGAGATAAAAACAGAACACTAATACAAAAAGTAAGTAGCAAATTATAATTCAGCACTAGGAAGATTCTAATTTTGCAGCAAGAAGAAGCCATATAACATCAGATAAGATAACTAGGATCTTACTAGAAATAACATATACATAGATTTTTCTTGGAGACAGAGTCTCGCTGTGTTGCCCAGGCTGGAGTGCAATGGCGTGATCTTGGCTCACTGCAACCTCCGCCTCCCAAGTTCAAGCGATTCTCCTGCCTCAGCCTCCCAAGTAGCTGGGATTACAGGCATGTGCCACCATGCCCGGCTAATTTTTATATTTTTAGTAGAGACGGGGTTTCACCATGTTGGCCAGGCTGCTCTCCAACTCCTGATCTCAGGTGATCCGCCCACCTTAGCCTCCCAAAGTGCTAGGATCACAGGTGTGAGCCACCATGCCCAGCCGAAAAAATATTTTAAACTACCTACTTTTGAGATTTCCTGGATTTTTTTAGCTTTTAAAATGATTTTAAACATACTAAAATACATACAGATAAAATGATATACTATCTGGGATTTGCATAAAACATTTCATTGTGTAAAGTAGGGGTTGGATAAAGGTATAGAAGAGAACACTGGTCACATGTTGGTGACTGTAAAAGCTAGGTGATGGTGTACAGGGCTTTCATTACCTGGTGTACAGGTAATGATGGTATACAGGGCTTTCATTAGTCTCTCTAAATTTCATGCCTGAAAATTTCCATAACAGTTACGTTTATATAAATACTTTTACAGTTACTATTTAAACTGTTTCCCATTTGTTTCACTAATGAAAGCGATGCTGCTATGACATCTAAGTGTATAAATACAGAAATAATTTAAGATTAGTTCCTTGAAGTGAATCACTGGGTCAAAGGCAAGTATATTTTTAAGGGTCTGATACATATTGCCAGCTGCCTCCCCAGGCCATTAAAAGAGACCTAGTTTTAAATTGAGTTCAAGAAGACATTTATGGCAAAGGATGATATGGTAGAATGGGATGGAACATAAAACATACTTAAATTTCTTAGCAGCTACTGATCCTCTGTTTGTAGAATTGCTTAAGTTGATTTGCAAAACACTTTGTACAACATTCAGGGCTTTCTTTTTTTCTTCAGCAAGCTCTTCTTCCTCAGCAGTTTTCTTTTCATTTACCTCTTTGAGGAAAAGGGATAATTAATACTCTCTTGGAAAACACAGCCTGAGAAGTCTCAATCATCAAATATTTACCAAGTACCTAAACATGTTCAAAATCCATTAAGACAGGAAGAAGAAACTTTAACCTCATTTCACTAACCTCCATAACCAAAGACCCTCAGTCATAGCAAACTCAGAAAGTCTGCGTGACCAGACAATGAAAAGTCCTACTTCTGTTCCTAATTATGAAAGTCTGAATTTAATGGCTTTCAGTAGCAAGTCTAAAACTTTTAAGGTAAAGATCGACAAATGTAATAGAGCAAGATACTAATAACTACAGTGATTATAGACTCTTTGATTTTTTTAACATTCTAAACATAATCTAAATTACGTAAATCTAAAAATGATAAAGAGTGAAAAATGGTAATGGTATATCTGACAATATAAGATATTAGTGGATAGTTGTTTCAGTCTTTGATTCAATAACAAGTATTATGGGAAAAAAACCATATGCCCTACACATACTAAGGCATCATGGACTTTTACAAGCTACTATCCTCAACTACTACAAACAGACAAAATATCACAGAATAAAGTTAAACAGCTAGTTTGGATTACAGAAATACAAAAGTAGTCTAAGCCTGTATGACTCTTTCAACTTACTGCAGGATATAAATAACCAACTAACAGAAACTAGAATAAAATGCTAATTTAAGTACTCTACAGGGATGCCCCCAAAGTTTCTAAGGGTTCAAAGGAAGTTGAGATAGTGTTTAACTGAATCAAAAGATGCTTTATAAACTAGGTAAAGTTATGAGGTAGGAAAGATAGAGTTGAATCCCTAGAGGTGGTAGGAAAGCATGCTAGGTGTTGGAAACAAAACGAACACATATATTGAAATAATAAAGTACAAAAAGTTTACACTGCATTAGGTTGAAACTGCTAATTTCAACAACTTTTGACTATCAAAAACATCAATTTAAATTTTAATCTAATAAGCATTAGGGAAGTAGATTATAATGCTGAAAAAGGCTCAAGGTGATATAGGCTGGCTGTGCTGCTTACTTGAGACAAAACGTTGTGCCTCAAAATTTGGGAAGGGGTCTGGTGCAGTGGTTCCATGCCTATAATCTCAGCACTTTGGGAAGCTGAGGCAGGAGGATCACTTGAGGCCAGGAGTTTGAGACCCGCCTAGGCAACACAGCGAGACCCTGTCTCTATGAAAATACAAAAATTAGCTGGACATGGTGGCACATGCCTGTAGTCCTAGCTACTAGAGAGACTGAGTTTGAGGTTACAGTAAGCTATGACTGTGCCACTGCACTCCAGCCTGAGGAACACAGTGAGATCCTGTCTCCAAAAAAATAAAAATAAAATGTTGAGAAGGAAAGAAAAAAACAACAACAGAGATTCTAAGAATGGACACGCCATCAACGCAGAAAGGTTAAGAAGAGCTGGTTTGGACTTGCTGAGTTTTAACACAAACTCAGGAAAGCCTGTGGAAAATATCCAACAGGCGTTTAAGACCAGTTGGGAGCTCAGCAGAACAGCAAGGAAGAAAGAAGATCCAAATTTGAAAAATACTCATGTGCAAGTGAAGGCTAAAGCTATAGGGACTTACAGAACCCTGGGAAGAACCCATATTTGGAGGCAAAAGAAAAATTAGGAATAAAGAGTTAAGAAAACCAGGAAGTTATGATGCAATTGGAAGCAAAGTGAACATTTCAAGAAGGGATGATCAACAGTGACATATGCTCTAGGTTAGCTGAAGAGGATGTCATTGGAGACAATGCCACTGCACTTGGAGGACAAGTTGTTTACGGCTTTGAGGGAACACACACCCAAAGAGTTGTAAAGAAACAGACAAAATTGGCAGAAGTTAAGAAAATAACCTATGTACCTTCTAAATGAAGGTTAGTCTCCAGGTTCTGTTCATTCTTGTGTTTTCAACATGGAGTTTTGAGTGAGAAAGTCAAGTAGAATACAATGCTGGAAAGGGCTCAAGGTGATGGAGGCTGGCTGTGCTGCTGCTTGCAGGATAGACAAACATTGTGCTTTCAAAAGTTGGAAAAGGGCCAGCTACAGTGGCTCATGCCTGTAATCTCAGCACTGAAACAGAATTTGGGAGGACCCTAGAGAATTCATTTTAAAACTCTCTGAACCTTGGTTTCCTGAAACAGTCCAACACTGTTAATAATCACCTCAAAGAATTGAGAAGATCAAATCACAGATTGTTTTCAGTAAAAAGCCAACTGCTACTGAATTAGATGTAATTTACTTTTTCACTTCAAATTTAGAACTGAAAGAGAGATGGAGTACAAACTTGAAAACTGGCATGGTTAGAGGAATGGCTTTTTTGGGACCACAAGACCTAACTATGTCTGTAGAAAAAGGAAGAAGCTAGAAGGAGAAGAATGAAAATGCAAGTGATGAAAGGAGTAATAGGAAGTAGGAATGGTGAGGATTAAAATGCAGATTAGATTAATTCAGGAAGGAGAAAAAAAAAGAAGGGCAGAGAAGTTCTGAGATTAGGAGAGGGAATTAGGGAGCTCATTCAAGCCAGCGACGTAAGAGGTAAGGTGTTTTTAAAAGGGTAAGAGGAGAAGGTCCTGTAGAAAAAGATTGGAAGTACTGCTGTGAAAAATGCTATAGTAAGTGAAAAGAAGTAGAATTAGGATGCTTCTGATAGCATCATTACTCTTAGATACATTCAAACAGGGATAAATTCAAGTAGAATGGCATTCAGTGATACACAGCTTTAAAAAATAATCTGCACCAGGTATGCACACTGGAGGACGATGAACACTGTTCCTTTTAGAAAGCCAAGAGTGACTTAACTGTCTTCCATGGCTTCACCCAGAACCTGCTGATCCACTGCCAGGTAGGAAACTCAACTTCTTCTCATGCCAAGGATGGGATAGAGGAAAATGGTACCTTTGGTGGATGTTATTTTTTCCTTTCCTTTCTGGCAGCTCTAAGTAATTAAATTTTCCTAAATTACTATGTACAAACAAACTTAGTATTAACTGTACATTTGATTATAAACTCCTCAATCCAATGTCTTGGGATGGAGAGTTTCTTCATGTGTTAAACAAAGGAGGTATACTAGGTGATTTCTCAGTGTCCCCAGATATGACATCAGGACTCTGGACAATGAAGCATTTACCTTCCTGTTCCTCTTCACTGTCAGTTTCTAGAAATCGAGAGTCCATGCGGAATCTGTCATCGGTGCCAAAGTGCGACTGTAAATCCATGAGCTACACAGACAGAAAACATACATAATTGATAGCCACATTCCCAAGAAATTGCTTCTGACGAAGACTGTCAATGTACACCTCCCCACACACTGAAATTCACTACATTAAGATGTTTGCCTACCTCCATCTACTTATGAACCAATCAGAGAGGATCACAGAAGACTCACTCTCCAAATAAACACCCCGATGCTATAATGTAGGTTAAGGTCTGCCTGCATTTACCCAGATTTAAGGACTATGTCAAAAAATAAGGACATGCTGCAAGTCTAATTATTTTCAGTCTTCACTAACCTTCTGTCCAGCTCTGCCCTCAAACTGAGGTTTAATTTTGAACCTATTACTGTCATCTTCAGAATCAGATTCGTCATCATCACTGCTATCAAACAGCTTCCCTGATGTTTTACCCATAGACTCCTGTGAAGAAACACAACATTTATTAATAGCAGAGGCAAACAAGCAGTATTTCCCTTCATAACGTAATCTTCTCCCTCACATTGAAAGCCAGTAACCCAGACTCATCTACCAGGAATGAGTAAATGGCAGGTCAGGTGGAAATTCCTGACTCAGTGAAATCTAACTGGCCTCTGGGATCACTAATCCAGAGGCTCTCCAGTGAAGCCTGGATTTGGGGAGGTAGTTATTACATGCAAGAACAGTTTTTGTAGCGTTTCACTAATATTGATGTCATGCTGCAGATGTTGTGGAGAATATAGGTTCATATATAAAAATCTCCAAGACCCCTGTAGTCTCAATATGAGGTGACCTGGCAAGCCCTGGGTCTCATTGGGGCTCTCAGGAGGGTTTTATGTTGAGATTGCCAGTTGTTTGTGGTGTGGATCTGCAGAAGTAGATGAATGTCCACAGAGACATCCTGAACTTCTTACTTTCACCCATTCCTCTCCTGGATGGCTCTGCTCCTGAGTCGATGTCTCCTCTGTTTCACATTCACTGTCAGAACCGAAGATGATGTGCGTTGGCTTATCCTCTGGATGACCATCCTAGGGAGGCCATCGAAAGCATTGCATCTTAAAAAGATTTATGATGAAGACTCCAAAAGCAATTGCAACAAAATCCAAAATTGACAAGTGGGATCTAATTAAACTAAAGAGCTTCTGCACAGCAAAAGAAAAACTTATCAACAAAGTAAACAGACAACGTACAGAATCGGAGAAAATATTTGCAAACTATGCATCTGACAAAGGTCTAATACCCAGAATCTATAAGGAACTTAAACAAATCAACAAGCAAAAAACAAACAACCCTAGTGAAAAATGGGCAAAGGACACAGCAGACACTTCTCAAAAGACAAACACATGGCCAACAAGCATACAAAAAAAATGCTCAACATCACTGATCATTAGAGGAATGCAAATCAAAACCACAATGAGATACCATCTCACACCAGTCAAAATGGCTATTACTAAAAAGTCAAAATATAACAGATGCTGGCAAGGTTGCAGAGAAAGGGAAATGCTTATATACTGCTGGTGGGAATGTAAATGCATTCACCCACAGTGGAAAGCAGTTTGGCGATTTCTCAAAGAACTTAAAACAAAACTATCATTTGACCTACAACCCCATTAGTGGATATTTGCCCAAAGGAATATAAATCATTCTACCATAAAGACACATGCACACATATGTTTATTGGAGTACTATTCATAATAGCAAAGACACGAAATCAACCTAGATGCCCATCAATGGTGGACTGGATAAAGAAAATGTGGTACACATGCCCCATGAAATATTATGCAGTCATAAAAAAAGAATGCAATCATGTCCCTTACAGCCACATTGATGGTGCTGGAGGCTACTATCCTAAACAAATTAATACAGGAACAGAAAACCAAATACTGCATGCTCTCACTTATAAGTGGGAGCTAAATGTTGAGTACACATGGGGGAGCAATAGGCCAGGTACAGTGGTTGACACCTGAAATCCCAGCACTTTGGGAGGCCAAGGCAGGCTGATTGCTTGAGCTTAGGAGTTCAAGACCAGCCTAGGTGACATGGTGAAACCCCATCTCTACAAAAACACAAAAATTAGCTGGGCATGGTGGCACGTGACTGTAGTCCCAGCTACTCAGCAGGCTGAGGTGGGAGAATTGCTTGAGCCTGGGAGATGGAGGTTGCAGTGAGCTGAGATCATACCACTGCACCCCAGGGTGACAGAGTGAGACCCTGTAAAAAAAAAAAAAAAAAAAAAAAAAAGAACAATCAACACTGGGGTCTACTTGAGGGTGGAGGGTGGAAAGAGAGTAAGGATTGAAAAGCCACCTATTGGGCCGGGCACAGTAGCTCACGCCTGTAATCCCAACACTTTGGGAGGCCAAGACAGGCGGATCACGTGAGGTCAGGAATTTGAGACCAGCCTGGCCAACATGGTGAAACCCCATCTCTACCACAAATATAAAAATTAGCTGGGCGTGGTGGCAGGTGCCTGTAATCCCAGCTACTCAGGAGGCTGAGGCAGGAGAATTGCTTGAACCCAGGAGGCGGAGATTGCAGTGAGCCGAGATCACACCATTGTACTCCAGCCTGGGCAACAAGAGCAAAACTCCATCTCAAAAAAAAAAAAAAAAAAAAAGAAAAGAAAAACCACCTATTGGGTACTATGCTGATTATCTGGGTGACAAAATAATCTGTACACCGAACCTCCAAGACACACAGCTTACCCATGTAACAAACCTGCACATATACCCCCAGAACCTAAAATAAAGGAAGAAAAAAAAAAGCATTGTCTTAAAACAACCCAATCTCAAACTGAACATGTCTAAACCTATCACTCCCTTCCCCTGCCAAGTCTACTTCCTGCCCTTTTTCCTTATCTAGTGAATGCCATCACCATCTGTTTATTTGCCTAAGACAGAAACTTACAATTCCTCTTTCTATCCCTATCCAGTTATCACCAAGTCCTATCAATTAAACTTTTTGGTATCAATTCAGTCAATCTATTCCCATTGCTGTTGTTACGGTTTTGACTTTCCACCTCCCCAAAGGCTCTCCTTGGTTACAGACGGAGCCGTTCGATTTGTTTTCATCATGGTCTGAAGGATCTCTCCCAAACAGAGGTTGACAAACTTTTTCTGTAAAAGGCCAGAGTAAATATGTTAGGCTTTGCAGGCCACATATCGTCTTTGTTCTGTACTCAAAAACTATTTTTAGCTTGAAGGCTGTACATAAATAGGTCATGGGCTGGATGGCCTTTGAGGTGTAGTTTGTCAACTCCTGTTCCAAAATAGACACAATTAATCTTCTCTCCTTTGCTTAAAATTCTTCACTCTCTTTTCATTTTATGAACAAAATGAAACCACTAGCCTCATTTCTTGCCATCTCATGCTGTATAAGTTTTAATTACACTGATTGAAAACATTCACCCTTGTATAAACGGTTCCTTTTTCCTAGAATGAAAGCCTTTCCACTCCCTTTCCACCCTTTCACCTGGGCCTGACCAATTCCCACAAATCTTTTCCTACCACTCAGCTCAGACTACAGAAGCTCCCAACTGACTTAGTGTGTCTCCTGCGTGCTGCCAAGGCACAGGGGCACAACCCCCTCCTGGCCCTGTGTAACTGAACTGTGACTGTCAGCATGCCACACCATGAGCCAAAAACTGTATGAAAGGCAAGATCACCATCCTCATACTATAAATCTGGCACTTACTATAAAGGTGTACTTAACAATTGTTAGAAGAATGAACAAAAGCCCATTACAGTAAATCTTGGCAAGACTTGGCAAGGTATAAATCACTTGACAAGTGATTTTTATGTAAATTCAGACACATTTGAATACATTACTTAACTATACCAGGTATAGCTTCTAAATGAAAGAAAATTATAAAGAAATTTTCAGATAAACCAGATGAAAAAGCTAACTCAAGAACCAAAACATGAAACTGGTGAACACCAAGACAATCAGCTCTATGGGGGCACACCTAACTTCATGGGAAAGAAAAGCTGAACTTTCTGAGTTCTTGTTAAATCCATACATTGAAAATATACTCACCAAATTTGCCAGAGCATTATGCACCAGCTTCTTCTGCACTTCTTTTGCTTTTTGCCTCGCTTCCAAGGCTGCCAAACGCTTCTCATTGTCTTCAGCATGCTTATCTTTAGCACTCACATCTGACGAATTACTAATAGAAAGTGAGAAATCAGTTTTGATTTCCCGAGTGTCCTTGGATGAGACCTTTGGTGATTTCTTGAGAGATGTGAGGCCGCTTGAATCAGACCGCTCTTCCTGTGAAGCTTCTGTCTTTGTGGTACTATGGCAGCTGTCTTTGTCAAAGCCTATGTTGTGAGTCTTTGCACTAAGACTTAAGGACTTCTTACCTTCTAATGGCCTAGAAATAGGATTCTTACTTCTCTTTTCAGAACTGCTAGGGGACACTGCCTTGCGATCCTGGCTTTCAAAAGTGGTCTGTCTTTTTTGAGGCTGAATATAGTTTGGGCCATTCGCCTTCTTTGCATGTTGGCATGGAGTCACTTCACCTAATGAGCCATTAACATATGGGGACCCATCTTCCATGGATATGATACTGGGATCCTCATGTTTCATGGAATTCTGATCTTTATTGTTAGAGGCAACACTGTCTTTCAAGGATTTTTTCATTGACTCCTTTTCATATAGACAGCCTACTCCCTTGAAAGCCTGAAATTTTGGCTTTAAATTGTTTTCCTTTGGTTTCTGTTTGCCACAGGTGTTCTCCTCTCCTTCTAACAGGGAAGCCACAATCTCCGCAGGACGAATACACTGTCGGCCTCTGCGGAGGCCAGTGGGAGTCTTGGGGCTCTTGGAGCCTCTGTCAAACTTGCATTGGGTGGTGGTTTCTGGTCCATCACTCTTAGTATCTTCATTTGGAACCTTCAGATCACTGCCAGCCAATTGTTCCAAATCAGCTAAAGTGAGATTCACACGAAGGCAGTTTTTCATCATGGCATTATACTCCTCACCTCCTTCAGAGTCAGCTAATTCTGATGCAGAATCAGCATCTTCACTGCTACTGGAGTGAGAGGGAGATTTACGATTAAGAGACTTTAATCCATGACTGAGGGCTGACTCTACATTGCTTTTTCTTTTTTGTAGTTTAATACAGTGATCAGAAAGCTCACAGTTTTCTCTATTTTTGAAAGAAGTTTTCTTCGTAGATTTTTCCATTTGTGAAAATTCTGTACTGTTTTTGACCTTAGCAACATTTTTTTTCATCGCAATAATTTCATCTGTATCTCCTGAGTCATACTCACGATCATTTCTCATAATATCATCATCACTATCATGGCAAGAGACACGATTTTTGATACCTAAACCTATTAAAGAATGCAGTTTGTGAACGCCTGATTTGAAATCATCCCTTACAACTTCAAAAGGATCACTTTCAGATTCATTTATTGAGGGTTGTGTAGTTCTCTGTAAGTTTTCCTCTTTCGCAATCATCATTCTCAATTCATCTTCAGAATCAGTATCATCATCAGAAATGCTGTTTCTCTTCTTGGCAGTTTCCAAGCCAGAAGTCTTAAAAGGTAGATTTTTAAGTTTCTGAGTATCAGAAACAGGTACAGGAGATGATTTAGAAGGAGTAATGGAATCACAAGTTCTTTTTTGTGCAGCCTGTTGCTGTGTTAAGGGTGGTCTCTCTATTACCCTCCTGGGCCTTGTACTCATGGCCAGAGACCCAGTGGAACTCTCATCCTTCTGCACTTTTATTATCTTCTTGGGAGGGCCATGAAAGTCAGAGAACTCTCCTCGCCGTTTCTTACTCATAGGGTCATTCCCTCCTTCTAATTCCCAAGTCAGGCTGGATATAGGAATGGTGTTTGAGAAATCCTCCCCTATCTTCTTCAGGTTGTGGCAGTATTTTGAGGGATCATATTTGATGATGTTACGCAAGTCAAGAAACAAAACTAAAGCACTTGGTTTTAGGAAAACTCATCAATCTTTGATACAAAAAATATTGCTTAATCTCAAATAAGTCATTTCCCCCCCCTTTCAGTTTCCTGTAAAAGAAAATGAGGACTTAACTAGGTTACCTTTCAGGGTCTAAGAAACTGAGCTTTCTATGACATTTGCTGAGTTAAAGTCTAGTACCACCACTATTAGTTGGCAGAAATTACTTGGAGTGTATGTGGATATTATAGCAAACCTATTCAGATTATATTATAGGTACACAGGTCTCAGGGCTATTTTCTGTAAATCACAGAAATCCAACCATCGAACTGATACAGTAAAGCAAAGTTCTGGGTTCAGGAGAACCCAGAGGACATGGCCACATGTGTGTCCTTTACTCTCAAATTCTTTTGGCTATTTCTGTTCTCTCAGTTCTTACTCATCCTAACTCTGATTCTCCTAGCTGAATAACATCCACTTCACATGAACTCACTCTCTGCAACATTTTTAGGTCTTTATTAGAAAGCTGGCCTGGGCACGGTGGCTCATGCCTGTAATCCCAGCACTTTGGGAGGCCGAGGTGGGCCGATTACATGAGCCCAGGAGTTCGAGACCAGCCTGGGCAACATGGTGAGAACCTGTCTTAAAAATAAAAATTAAAAATTAAAAAAAATCTAATAAATCTTTACCAGGCCTATGTCGACACTATCCGGGAAAGATTCTAGTTAACATCGATGTGTTGTAATGATGGCTGTCATTTGCTGATTCCCTAAAGCATATGAATAGGCAAGTATTAAGGTGCTTTAAGCTATCACTCTTTTTTGTTTTGAGACAGGGTTTCACTGCTACCCAGGCTGGAGTGCCACGGCATGATCGTGGCTCAATACAGCTTCAACCTTCCAGGCTCAAGTGATCCTCCCAACTCAGCCTCCCCAGTGGCAGGGACCACAGGCATGTGCCACCGGGCCCAGCCTGATTTTTCTTTTATTAATATTTTTTGTAGAGTTACAGTCTCACTATGTTGCCTAGACTGGTCGCAAACACCTGGGCTCAAGTGATCCCCCAGTGGCCTCCCAAAGTGCTGGGATTACAGGTGTGAGCCACTGCACCCCACCTTAAGCGATTACTCTTGAAAGTCCCTTTTTTCAATAACTACTTATATGTGCCAGTTATATGTGAGGTGTGCCAAAAAGTGTCTATTGTCTCTACTGTCCTTCAATATCTTCCTCTTTGCCATCAGCAGCTGCCATTGGTGGAAAGCTGGAAAGTGGAAAAGAAGAAATCAGTACTTTCCTGACTTTGAGCCACTTGTAGGGAGGGCAGAGGTCACAGCTATGTCCGGTGCAACTAGGGCCTGGATTCAGGTAGTAGTGGTTTCAGTGGCACAGTAGCTGTGAGCTCAGAGGACACACGTTTTTGCTTCTCTAGTCCCAGTGGGGTAGTGGTTTACTGCAGTTGTCAATCAGTGGGGAATCTGACCTTTGGCTTTTGCTCCTCCAGCACTTGTTTAACTAACTGCATATATTATAATCCCTCTGTTTCAAATACCTGCTACTGTTCCCCTTACTGACTGACACCAGGGTTACAAGCTAAAGAATACATCAAGACGGTCAGGTGCGGTGGCTCATGCCTGTAATCCCAGCTCTTTGGGAGGCCAAGGTGGGCAGATCACAAGGTTAGGAGATCAAGACCATCCTGGCCAACATGGTGAAACCCCGTCTCTAGTAAAAATACAAAAAAATTAGCCAGGTGTGGTGGCACACACCTGTAGTCCCAGCTACTTGGGAGGCTGAGGCAGGGGAATTGCTTGAACCCAGGAGGCAGAGGCTGCAGTGAGCCAAGATTGTGCCACTGCACTCCAGCCTGGGGACAGAGCAAGACTCCATCTCAAAAAAAAAAAAAAAAAAAAAAAAAGATTAAAAAAAAAGAATACATTAAGACACACTGCTCAGAATTCCATGATACCAGGTCTTCAAGGTCTTAGACAATGTGACCTCACTGAATAGGCATTAGAATTTGCTCACACTCTGCTCCAAACTATTTCTCAACCCACCATCCTCGTGCTTGCCCACATATTTTTATCTACTATTCCTACTCCCAAGACTACTTCCCATCACTTCTTATTAATTCAAAACCTACCTCAATTCTAAAGCCTTCTTTAATGATGGTCTCTGGGTCTCTCACCCCTCTTTAGCTCCTTCAGCAATGGCTTTGAATCCATGTATGACAATATGAATAAATTAATAAACCAACCTGCTTCTTTGGCACTCATCATTTGAATTACTTATTGTATAAAACCTCAATCCATTTTCTCATGCTCTAATTGTTTCATACATGTAGGTGAGTACCAAGAAACTGGGAACACGCAAACAAACACCTAAAGATTCACTGATAAGAGACAGTGAAATGCTAAAGGTATTTTACAAGTATCCGTCACTGTGGTAAATAATTATGTTGAGAGGCCAAAGGATATTTTACGTTTATGTTGATTTTTAAGGTGAAGAACAGGTAAGACTCTTCCAAATTTGCTCACAACCCAATTCTAAAAGAAAAAAAAAGAATTTATTTACTATATGTGACACAAATGGAAAAGATTTAATAACAATATTAGGTAAATACAACAAAAAAATCAGTGGGCTATGATTACTGTTGGGTTTAGTTTTCTGACAATGAAATAAGAGTTACCAAAGAGAAAAATTGTGAGAGGAAAGAAAAAAAAAGGAAGATTTGGAGCAGCTATCAATCCCAAGTAAACCGTGTAAGATGGTTTACAAAAAACACTGGCTGCTAATTTGAACAGGCAAACTTGGGACCTGCCTGTATTCCTTGCTACCTATGTCCCTTGAAAGTCCACCTCTGCTTGAGTTTTGATTTCTTTCTCTGTAAAATGATGGAGAACTATGCTTACCTAAGAGTTGTAAATGCACCTTGAAAATCATAAAGTCCTATCTATGTTAATTGCCTCCAAGAAAGGGGAAAAGAGTAACTGGTTTTAGACATGACACCCACAATCACGTGATCTCAGGCATCAGTTTCCAAGACCATGTAATTGGCTCAGGCTACAGAGGAGACTCACCTTATGCCCTGGCACTTCTGTCCCTGGCACAGCTTTCATATGGAAATCCACTCCTCCTGTCTTTTCTAACAAGTTGGCGTTACCTGTTGTTGATTCTTCTTTCTTAGCTTTTGCTGCTTCTCTCTCTTGGGCCAATCTGAATCAAAAAGAAAATACAAATAAAAGAGTCAAAATAATCAGCCACGTAAAATGGTTATTTCACTTTAGGTGTGCCTAAATGAGCACTATAAACAGCTTTGTAGTATTAAAAACCAAAATAAAACAAAAATGCTTTCTTAGTAGCATAATAGCTTACCTACTTATCTGAACATACAATGTTTTTATTATAGAATACTGGAAGACAGAACCGTTAAGAAAACAAAACATATTCCTTATCCCTCATCTTGTTAATATTTTGTTTACTTAACTTCATCTTTGTTCTGTATGTAAATATACATATTTTATAATGTAATCCAAATATCATAAGCACAGTTGGGTACACTTCATTTATCAACTTATACGTTCTTTGAAAACATCACTATGATTGCTGTACAACATGCCTTTCCATCAATCTACTGTAGTTTATTGACCAGTCCCTTACCACCAGCAACTGAGCTATACGGTTGGACAGCAGTGACAAGCTGTGCTGTCAGGGCTGTCCCACCAGAGCATGAGGGTTCTTTTCTTAGCCCATCCACTACACTACAGTCAGTCTCCCAAATCCCTGACATGCACGCTTATACCTGTGCTCTGCTCCAGTGGATGTCCCAGTTCCCCTTTATGGAAGACCAAGACCATGGATCGCAAGTTCTCTCAATTTTCCCCTTTCAATTTATATACGTTTGGCATTTTATATTATCTTCTCTCCATTCACTCTTCCCCATGACGAAGGTATCTTTCGGAGCCCAATTTGTTAGGTCTTGATTATCCATATCCTCCTAATGAAGAGAATGCCACCTCTTCTGATTCAAATCACCGCCACCTTCTTCAGGCCTGGACAACTGCACAGAGCAGTCCTCACTGGCCTCTTTGCCTCTGGTCTGTCTCCTTTATGTCCCAGAATAACCATCAGACCCATGCTTCTCAGGCATATCCACGCAGATACTCCAAGCAGCAGCACTGTGTGCTCAACCTGCTCAGCATGGGGCTCTAGTGCCTGTACACAGTAGGCTGGCAACTGCTGCTGGAATGAAAGGTATATAACCACCCTGTTCACAGTCCTAGGCTTCAGCTGAAGAACAAAATCAAATTCTCACCTTTTTCATAAGGCCAGTCCCCCAAAACATGCCTCAAAGTAGGTTGCTTGCCACTCGTTTTAGAATATATCTGTTCTTGTTACATTTCATTGGTCTGGAACAAGCTTATCAACTCTCCTGGTCATTCTACCTGTATATTCTTTTTTTTTTTTCCTTTTTTTTTGTTTGAGACAAGAGTTTCACTCCTGTTGCCCAGGCTGGAGTGCAATGGCACAATGTAGGCTCACTGCAACCTCCGCCTCCCAGGTTCAAGTGATTCTCCTGCCTCAGCCTCCCAAGTAGCTGGGATTACAGGAGCCCATGACCACAACCAGCTAATTTTTGTATTTTTAGTAGAGACGGGGTTTCACCACTTTAGCCAGGCTGGTCTTGAACTCCTGACCTCAGGTGATCCACCCGCCTCGGCCTCCCAAAGTGCTGGGATTACAGGCGTGAGCCACCGTGCCCGGCCTCTATCTGTATATTCTTAAATTGTTTCCTATTTTGAAAACTCCCCAACAATACCTTTTCTTCCTGAAAATACCTTTAGGATTTTAAAAGCTCTAATGGTTTTTATAATACATTGTCTTGCTCTTAAATCACTTGCATAATCACTCTTATGCCTGTCATACAGTGATCTCCTATTTCCTTTATATTTTGGTATGACACTAGCATTAACAGTCAAAATCAACATATGCAATTTAGTAGTCTACTAAAATTTAAATGCAGACAATGCTAAGATTCAGCAACTCCATTTTCTGATATAAACTGAGAGAAACACCTGCATATACATAGGATATGTGCTCCAGGATCATCTATGACCATGAAAAAGTAGAAACAGTCATCAGTGGGAAGGGACCACTACATTGTGGTATAACCATTTTCTGAAATACTACTAACAATTGTTATAAAGGGAGAAGATCTACATTGCCACAAAAGGGTGTGTTAACAAAGAGAAAATAAGTACATATATGCTTTTATAGCTCATTAACAGAGAAAATAAGTACATATATACTTTTATAGCTTATTACATACATACGTAAATGCATGAAATTATCCTTTTTGTTCGTCTGGGGTGAAGGGGATTCAGAGTTGAAAGGGATTTCAGCTCTACTTATATGTTTGAATTTGTTAAGAATATAATACTATATTACTTGATAATTTGAAATAATATATAAAACCACTTACAATATAAAAAAAATAGGGCTTAAATCCATGTGGAGCAAAACTTACCTGTGCAGAAAGCTTTCTTTTGCTAGTTGAATTTGTAATGTTCCACCTTTCCATTTTGTTTTATTTAAAACAGACATACCTATAAAGTAAAGAATTATTACAAGTACATGGCAATGTAAAAATATATTTCAGCTTGTGCTTTTTCTAATTATTTAGTATCAAGAAAAGCAGGCTTGTTTATCACAAAGAGATCCAGGGGAAGTGGAAGAAAAGAAATGAGACCTGGAGAGAGGGAGCCTAGGCTCTTGTTTCATCTTGACAACTTACCAAAAGAGTCTTTACACTCCCTATCTCACAGTGTTACTAGATTGGAATGAGGCAAAATGTGTAAAAAGTAAAGCAAAATTTATTTGCAATTTGTTTGTAAACAAATGTCAGGAACCTCTGAATAACTGATATTTAATGTATATTTTATTGTTATTTCCTGTAACTATAAAACATATATTTCCTGTAACTATAAAACAATCATCTTTTCAGGTGAATCAGAGGACACTCTGGAATCCTACAGCACCTTAATTTTATTTATCACCTCATACTAATTATCACTGTAGAACTTGCAGATGAATTAACTATGAGTGACTGAACTGTTTGAATTACTATGCCGTAGTAATTGATTTCTCTGAGCATCTGCCGTCAGCTTCCTTAATAATACCATTAACAGAATTTTGTAGGTGGTAGATACTGTACTAAGTACAAATTTATCTTTTCTTTTTGAGACAGAGTGTCCTTCTGTCGCCCAGGCTGGAGTGCAGTGGCACTATCTTGGCTCACTGCAACCTCTGCCTCCCTGGTGATTCTCCTGTCTCAGCCTCCCAAGTAGCTGGGATTACAGGTGTCTGCCACCACACCCAGCTAATTGTGGTATTTTTAGTAAAGATGGGGTTTCACCATGTTGGCCAGGCTGGTCTCAAACTCCTGACCTCAAGTGATCCACCTGCCTTAGCCTCCCAAAGTATTGCAAATGTATCATTTAATTTAATTCTCACAGAAATATTATGAGGCAAGCACTATCTTTTGTCATTCATCACATAAGCAAACTTGGGCTGAGAAGTTTAAGTAACTTGCCACAGGTCACAAAGCCTAGTTGATGTATTCTTAACCACAACTTCACATTTATCACATATATTCCTCAATGTAAAATAGAATAAAGCAATCTTTTCGCAAATGAAATTACAAAAGACTGATTGCCCTCTTCCTCTATTAGCGTGTTCCCTTTACTTATTTTCCGTGTCTTTTTTCACTTTTTGGCCTCCAAATAACTAGAATATGTTACTGTGTCAGCGGCAGTATGGATTATCTCCCATTCTTCATTGAAGGCCACTGTTTGCCCTTGACTTTACTAAACTTATCAACAAGAGATTTCACAATTTCAAGGATACGGTCTTACAAGGGTGTATTTTAAAGCCCCCTCAAGAGTGTTTAGTGACAAGGATTAGCTGTCAAAGAAATGATCAGACTGAGGGGGAATGTGGCATGATATTCAGTGGGATATATGTAACAGGCAGTTTCTATGAAAGTTTGGTCCCTTGTCCAAAATATTTGAGAATAGCAGTTTTAAGTAAACCCACCAGTAAAGTGCTACCATGTCTGCTGATGCCAAATGGAATGGACCTAAACCTGCTGAGTTATACGATACTGGAATTCTCTTCATCACTGCTGTCCCTCTGGATAACGTGAAAAATGGCTGTGGAGGTTTAGATTTAGAACCAGTTATTCCAAGTTACAGAGTCATACAAACTGGCAAACAGTATAGAAAATATATGATGATCTTACATTTTTTCAGGTCCGCTTCTGCTACACTGATGTTGATATATGCAAAAACTTTCTGTGGGTTTCCTAAAAAACAAACAAACAAACAAACAAAACAATTTATTTAAATTCTTATCCAGAGAGCAATGTAAAAACGGTTGTTTCTAAATTAAAAAAAAAAATAGCTCTTGAAAACTTATTATTTCAAAGATAAACCTTGTTTTTTATTGGCTATAAAAATAAGCATAATTATCAAAATATTCCAAAAAAAAAAAGAAGAAAATGTCCAGTAGTCAGATAAGGAAACATTTTGATTGTATGCTAGTGATAGTCTACTTAACGGGACACTTAATCCATGTTAGAAAATTCTAGTTCTCAAAACTGGAAGTTAATATGTTTCTGAAATCAGATGTTTTAGAATTTGGAATTTTTTCTTATTTCAGAAACAAATTCTGGTCAAGTTCCACATCACACATTATACCTCCACAACATCACTTAAAACTTTTGGTGTTCAGAGCTAACATTTATCTTGGGGTTGTTTTATTTTCTAGCACTTAACCTGAGTTATGTCTGCCTATAACTGCCCAGTGAAGGACCATAAATTACCTTGGTCATCTTTCCGTGTGATGATCTCCACATCCGAAACTTCTCCAAATCTGCTGAACTGATTTTGTAGGTCTGCCTCAGAAATGTCCTGGCTAAGGCCACCCACATAAAGGCGCTTCGTTTCTCTGTTCACTTTCATGAAGGCTGGGCATATACTTGGGTGTGTTTCAGTGGGAAAAGTAATTTTCTGTATACAGAGAAGAGTTCTTTCCCTTAGTTCTTCTAAAATCTAACAAAACAACTACTTCCTCTGAACCTTCTGTATCAAATCCGTCTCCTGGATCTGTATTTCACTTCCTATTGTATTACTTCCAAATTTTAGTCTTCGAGGTTTTGCCCAAGCCCTACATCCACATCTTTCATGAATGCACTTTGGAACAGCAACCCCATACCCATATAGACACAGGTACAGACAGAGTTTTTTTCCTCCAAATGGCCATAATATTACACTCTATCCCTCTTAATTTTATGTATTCATGTTTTTAGATGTTTTTCCTTGACTCACTCATACATTCATTTACTGTCTTTAACAAAGTCTGACAGAAACAGGATGTAACGCACTAAAAGATAAAAAGAGCTAGCCTACCTCTTCCTAATTGTCTCCACCCCCAACCTACCCACCCCAGCCTTCTTCCTCCTAGAAGACCCAAAGAAGTGAATAGAGAGGCTAGGAGCTCCTTATAGTCACAAAAGAATAAAACAAATGGCACAATATTATGTCACAATAAAAGTGCTGCAAAGTGGGGTTCAGACACAAAGATCAAGGGATATAGCGAATACAGACTTGTGTTTTTGCTATGTGCCTGCATTGTACAAAGTAGTTTGCATGTTTCCCATTTTTCAGGAGAGCAGAAGAGGTTAAGTCACTTCCTCAATGCCATACCGAAAATTAGTGAATCCAGGATTATAATGCAGGTCTACCTTCAGAACTTGGAATTCTTAACACTATACTATGAAGGTTGCTGTATCACAGGGGACTCAGGAAAACTTTTCCAGAGGTACTAGGGCCCATCATAGTATCTCTCATTTCGTTTAGCACCCGGCAGGCGCTCAGCTCTCGCCCTTCCCTTCCCCAAGAGCTGACAGACTCTTTCCAGAAGAGACTCCCAACCAGCGTCCACCACATGGCGTGTATTCTGGGCAGAACTTCGGCCTACCTCTTCCCGATAGTCTCCGCCCCCAGCCTACCCACGGCAGCCTTCTTTCTCTGAGAAGACCCAAAGAAGTGAAGAGAGACTAGGAAACGGCCCTGTGACTTCTCATGCCCGAAACCCACTCCTCACCACGTCGTTCACCTAAAGCCAGCGCCGCTGCAGCCCCTAACTTCTGGTCACGTGTCCCAACGGAGCATCCTCTCTTCCTTCCTACTCGATTTCCAACCCAGCCTCCTAAGGTTCCGTTACCACAATTCAGTTCCCAAGAGCTTTTAATTTCCTTTTCCGTCCTCCCACCTTCCCTGACGCCTCCGTCACCTCCCCCTCAACGACTGCAAAAGAGCCTAAACCAAAATCCCCTAGTTTCTATTGAACACTATCGCTGTGTGTACCAATTCCTGGACTAGGTCGGCGTAAGAGAGGAAGTAGGTGAAAAAAATAAAGAGGCGCTCCCCTCCACGTGATCCCAGCCCTGCCTCTTTAGTGAGGCACGCGGCCGGGCGGCTCCAAGGCTGCCGGCTAGGGTGAGCAGCGGAGCGCTTGGGCTTGGAGTAGCAAAGAACGCGCTCTCCAGAGAAAGTATAGCCACTGCTTAGACAGCCAGGGAAACGTGTGCGGGGAAGTGGAGGACTCAGGCTCTCGTGCGAGAGCGGAGTTGGACGTGCAGGGCCGCTGGGGTCACGCGGAGCTCTCCCGCCTCCCCTCCGCGTGAGCTCTGGGATGGTCCGCGCCGGGAGCGCGCGCGAGGCTTGAAGCGCGGGTGAAGCGCGCAGGTCGGAGTGACAGCTGCGCTGCCGGCCCGGCTGCGGTCAGCAACGCGCCATGGACGCAGAGCTGGCAGAGGTGCGCGCCTTGCAAGCTGAGATCGCGGCCCTGCGGCGAGCGTGTGAGGACCCACCGGCGCCCTGGGAAGAGAAGTCCCGAGTCCAGTACGTGACCACCCCAAGTCCCCCAGGGCCCGCTGGCCAGGGTTCCCGGGCCAGGCGGGTGAATCTCCACAGACATCCTCGGTCTCCTACTCCCAGCCCTAGAAAGTGGGCATGAACTGGCATTGATCCTGTCATGACGATGGCCTAGAGTTGGGAGCAGCGCGTACGGCGCCCAGCTGTAAACGCATTGCAGGGTATTAACTCGTTTAATCGCAGTCGTCTGTGTGGATGACTGACAAGGAGGAAGTCTTGACTATATCCCTAGCTAGATAATTCCGCCTCCAGTATGCAGAAGTATCTCTAGTTGGGATTTAATAACTCCGTTTGGTTTCATGGCATTTGTTTTGGTAGGTCAGCTAACCATCTCAACTGATAATGACTTTGTGTTTACGATGACATAAAAATTCCTTTGAAAAATAACTTCGGTAAAAAACTAAGTTGATAAAAGAAAAGTAGTTAATATAGACTGCAGGAGAATTTGACATTCCTCTGAGGTAGGTGCTACTGTTAGCCCTGTTTTATAGTTGAAGAAACTGAGGCTCAGAGAAGTTAGGTAGCTTGTCCAAGGTTCCAGAGAAAGGAATTGTCAGAGATGGATTGGGACCCAAAAATTTTACTCCAAAGTCTGGGCACTTTTGGTTTATTGAAGGAGAGGGAGAGAAAAGCTCTGCAACCGTAATTATGTATTATCATCTCAAACATAGAAGCCTCTCGAAAACATAAACTGTCTTCAATTTTTGAGTCAAGAGTAATTTGACATAGGTGCAGAAAGAATGGGATTTTTCCTGAGCTAACTGGAGAAGAATTGGTAGAAAATGGGAAGGAGGAGATCTACAGAAAATGTCTGCGTGCGGTCATGAAAGTAGAGGAAGCTGTGACTGGTTAAAGGGAGAGGAAAAAGGTGTGCTCCTCCACAAATGAGAGTAAATGTATTAAAGACCCTTGCTATTTGAGGTGTGCTCCACAGATGGGACGCTTTAGCATTACCTGGCGGTTTGTTAGAGCGACATCCTGACCTACTGAATCAGAATCTGCATTTTAAAAAAATACACTGCCCTAACAGAGGATTTGTGTGCACACTTGGAAGTTTAAGAACCAGGGAAAAATAGTTTCTTTACTGGCCACAAGATTTCATTAGTCCCCATAGTAGTGTCAACTGAAAAATCATGAGATCTGCAAATTTAGAGAGACTATTTCTTAAAAAGGGTTACAGTCTGCAAAGTGGCCATCCTGACAGGCTAGGAAGCATAGTCTCAGGCAAAGCAGAAAGGCCCACACTTTGGAGGAGGAGGGGTTGGGGCAGGGATTTATGCTGTATGAGTGGGCTAGGTATACATATTCAACAGGTTATAGGAGGGGCTATGAATATTCACGAAGGGAGATGTGCTCACCTGTACTGAATAAAAATGCATATTACATGCACTCCATATTCATTTTGGGAAGCTGACTTAATATTTAAATGCATTACAATTAGGCCCTGTACGTCAAAAGTTGAAGGAGGGAAGCAAAGGTACTTAAGTACACAGGCCTTGTAAACCTGTTAGAACAAGTCCATGGTTGGTGATCTTATCAAAAGAAAATTTTTGAAATCATTCTCTTGTCCTATCAAAGCCTGTGGAACAGGGGAATCAGTTAGCATCTGGTGGTGGATGAACTGCAATTATTTCAATATTGCTTATCTGGAGGCCAGTGCTAGTGAAAAAAATATTGTGGCAGTTAGAACATAGTTCATTCTTTTAAAGGTAGGGGGTATGTGACTTAACCCTTGCCTGGCATGGCCTTAGGTCTTGTTTATAATTTGGTATCTTATTGCCACAGAGTCCGTTCTGCAACTCTTACGATCTCTATTTTAACATTAATGCTGGTCAGTTGTTGTGTCTACATCCCAAATAGGAAGGGGTATAACGAGGTGTGTCTGACCTCCCATCCTGTCATGGTTAAGAACTGAGTTTTTAAGGTTTCTTTGGGGTCCCCTTGACCAAGAGGGAGTCGGTTCAGGTGATTGTGGGGGTGGGGTAGGATTTTATTTTTAGTTCTTAGTAGATTATTTATATAATCTGGGACTTCTCAGTGGTTAAATTGGAAAGTCAGAAGAGTCCAGATTGTGGGAGACATTAAATGTCAGTCCAGGGTGTTTGGATTTAACCGTGAGGTTTCTTTTCACTATAGTGGAGGAGGAGGATTGGAACCTATGTACCAAGCTATTTTTTTAAGTGATTATAAGTGGTTGGATGGATTGGAGGTAGGAAAATTGGAGCTAAATTATTCAGCTATATCCATATGTCCACACTGTGGAGCCAAATTGCCTGCTTTCAAATCCTGTCTCTGCTATTGGCTGAGTGATCTTGGTTAAGTGAGCTCCCCCTTTCTGTGCTTCAGTTTCCTCCGTGGTAAAATTATACCCAAGTTTTTGGGTTGCTGTGAGGACTAATTGAGTTAATATATGTAGTTCATTTAGAAGAGTACTTGCCTCATAATAGTAACTAACACTCATTAGTAGACCATTGACCTTTAAACTCGTGTACAGATTGATTTTAAAGGAAAAAAAATTCTTGCAAGCTCCTAATTCTGACAAAAAATTTTTATGTTATGAGGACAAACTTACAAATAATAAAACCACAAAGTGAATAAAATTCAAACAAATCCAAAATAGCTCAAACTAACATCATTAGTTGAAATACACAAATATTTTGCTCAAACTAAATAACTGCTATGAATAAGAATATGCAGATTTTCTTTTTGTGGCAAAATATACATAAGATTTACTATTTTAACCATTTTTGAGCGTTCAGCTCAATGGCATTAAACACATGCACATTGTTGTACAGCCATCACCACTGTCCATCTTCAGAACTTTTTCATCACCCCTAAACTGAAACACCATACCTATTAAACACGAACTCCCTACTAGCCACTCTGACAACTGCAGGTTCTTTTTTGAGTTCTGCATATCCAGCCTTTAATGATGACTTGGTTCTCTTACCACTTTGCTCTATCGGAAATACCTTGAAATTTTCCTTCATAGTTTGCTGTGACATTTGGTGTTCACTTGTCAGAAGCTCATTTATATTTATGGCTTTTTTTTTTTTTTTTTTTGAGACGGAGTTTCGCTCTTGTCGCCCAGGCTGGAGTGTGGTGGCGCAACCTCAGCTCACTGCAACCTCCGCCCCCTGGGTTCAAGGGAGTCTCCTGCCTCAGCCTCCCGAGTAACTGGGATTACAGGCACCCGCCACCATGCCCAGCTAATTTTTTGTATTTTTACTAGAGATGGGGTTTCGCCATGTTGGGCAGTCTGGTCTCGAACTCTTGACCTCAGGTGATCTGCCCACCTCGGCATCCCAAACTTCTGGGATTACGTGAGCCACCGTGCCCGGCCGCACATCATTTATATATGAAGATTGTCTCTGTTCTTTTTTCTTTTTCTTTTTCTTTTTTGTTTTGTTTTTTGAGAGAGGGTCTCACTCTGTTGCCCATGCTGAAGTGCAGTGGCATGATTATGACTCACTGCAACCTTCACCCACCTCCCATGCTCAAGCAATCGTCCTGCCTCAGCGACCCTCCACCAGCCAAGTAGTTGGGACTGAAGGCATGGCACCTGCCACTATGCCCAGATAATTTTGTGTGTGTGTGTGTGTGTGTATTTTTTGGTAGACATGGGGTTTTACCATGTTGGCCCGACTGGTCTTGAACTCCTGGGCTGCCTCAGGATTACAGGAGTGAGTCGCTGTGCCCAATCTGTTCTTTTTTCCTTGACTTCTATATTTAATGTAATTTGTAGGGGCATCAGTCTATGATGGCAAATGCAAAAGAAGCTGTGGTAGTTTCATGATACAGAATATACTTATATTAACATTTTAAATTAGCATTAAAACAAAATTTGAGACAAATTTTACAGACTTTATTAAGTCTTGGATTCTCAGTGTGAAGAATATAGAGTTAGATTATTCTGTGTAGAGATGGTATAAGGTCATAAGAGCATTGGTTAATGTAGTAGAATTAGAAATACAAAAGGAAGAATAGTTATGTGAGGGAGCAGAACGGATGGCAGTAAGTCCAGATGTCAGGCAAGTGAAGGAGTCAAGGATAACTTCCAAGGTATAGAGCCTGACATACCAAGGGAAATATTTTATTATTAACAAATGTAGGGTAATTTAGAGGAAAAGCAGATTCCAAGAGAAACGATTTGGTGAGCTATCAAGCTAGATCTACCTTGCAGGAAGAAGAGATACATGGTTAGAGGTATATTTTAAGAGTTACTGGCATAGAGGAGCTAAGGCTAATCATTTAGTGTTCCTGCAGAATGAAAGAATACATATTTAGGATAGCAGAAGTAAGAGTGTTAGGGTTTTCCTCTAATGTTGGAGACAAGAAGCTGACCCTAGATAGCAAATGAGAATTGGGATAATTATGCCCAAGAATCCAAGGAAGAGATGTTTTAAGCTGGCCGGAAAAGTCAACAGTATAGAATGTAGCAGAGTGTTTAAAGGAAATAATGGATGACAAAAAAAAAATACCATCTAATACAATTATTAGCTAAAATTTCTTTTTTTAAAAAAGTTTAAGTTTTTTTTTTCTTTTCTTTGTTTTTTTTTTTTTTTGTTGAGACAGAGTCTTACTTTGTTGCCCAGGCTGGAATACAGTGGCGTGATCTTGGCTCACTGCAACCTCTGCCTCCCATACTCAAGCAATTCTCCTGCCTCAGCCTCCTGGGTAGCCAGGATTACAGGCACCCGCCACCACTCGAGGCTAATTTTTTGTATTTTTAGTAGAGAAGGGGTTTCACCATATTGGCCAGGCTGGTCTCGAACTCCTGACCTCAAGTGATCCACCTGCCTTGGCCTCCCAAAGTGCTGGGATTGCAGGCGTGAGCCACTGCGCCAGGCCAACTAAAATTTCATTCTTTTTCTCAAGGAAAATATATTTATATGTTCTCAATGAAGAATGTCTGGCCATAGTGATGTTTAAAGAGATTTGCTATTTCTTTTTCCGATAAATCTCTTTCTTACTATAAAACGTTCTGTGGTGTTTACTTTTAGAAATTAAAGTTAGCTAATTGATTTTATTTTTTAATTTCTTTCTTTTTTTATTTTTTTGAGAGGGAGTCTCGCTCTGTCGCCCAGGTTGGAGTGCAGTGGCACAATCTCTGCTCACTGCAAGCTCCGCCTCCCAGGTTCACACCATTCTCCTGCCTCAGCCTCCCGAGTAGCTGGGACTACAGGCGCCTGCCACCACGCCTGGCAAATTTTTTGTATATTTAGTAGACATGGGGTTTCACTGTGTTAGCCAGGATGGTCTTGATCTCCTGACCGCGTGATCCACCCGCCTTGGCTTCCCAAAGTGCTGGGATTACAGGCGTGAGCCACGGCGCCTGGCCTATTTTTTAATTTCAAGACATCTTTTAAAATAATTTGAGAGATATATCAGACATTTAGGCTGGAATTTCATGGGTCAGAACACACATTGTAATTTTGCAAAGTAGTCCTGTTATAATTTATTTGAAAGGTGTTTCTAATATGTGGAAATTTGGAAGTATAATTTGGTTACATATGTTTTTTGTTGAAATTAAAGATTGTGGGCTGGGCATGGTGGATCACGCCTGTAATCCAGCACGCTGGGAGACTGAGGCGGGAGGATTGCTTGAAGTCAGGAGTTTAAGACCAGCCTAGGTAATAAAGCCAGACCTTGTCTCTATGAGAAGGAAAAAAAAATTAGCTAGGCACAGTGGCATACCTGTGGTCCCAGCTACTCAGGAGGATCCTTTGAGCCTGGGAGTTCAAGGCTGCAGTGCACTATGATTACACCACTGCACTCCAGGCTGGGTGACA
Source organism: Homo sapiens (assembly GCF_000001405.40). Lineage (NCBI taxonomy): Eukaryota > Metazoa > Chordata > Mammalia > Primates > Hominidae > Homo > Homo sapiens. Next base: position 166,660 of record NW_025791788.1, read on the forward strand.
GCGTAAGACCCTCATCTCTTAAAAAGGAAGAAAGAAAAAAAAAGTGGTGGTGTTAGTAACCACACTGGTTTTGAGAAAATTCTTTTTAATTTTTTAATTTTTTTTATTTTAATGGGGGAAGGTGACTTAATTGGAAGAGAGTAAGAGGGACAAAATGGGAATGCTTTGAGGAAAATGGGGTTATTAGATGAAACACGTGTTAGTAATTGGAGTGATTATTTTTGATATTTGCCTTTTAGAAAATCTTTTCAAGCCATACACCAATTCAATTTGGAAGGATGGAAGTCTTCAAAAGATCTGAAAAATCAGCTTGGACATTTAGAATCAGAACTTTCATTTCTAAGTACGCTTACTGGCATCAATATAAGAAATCACTCCAAGCAGACAGAAGACCTAACAAGCACTGAGATGACAGAAAAGAGTAAGCATTTTTTTTAAATCTAGACATAGTATGGAAGCTTACCTTATTATGCATAAGAAATTGGTTGTCATAATATTGAATTAAAATTCTACAAGGTAAGTATTTGAAAGTATGGTTGTGGTAAACTTGTTTACTCACATATCTTTTGAACATCACGGTGTTCAAAAAGCTGCCTGGGCCAGGCCCCGTGATCATGCCTATAATCCCAGCTTTTGGGAGGCCAAGGCATGCAGATCACCTGAGGTCAGGAGTTTGAGACAAGCCTGGCCAACATGGTGCAACTCTGTCTCTACTGAAAATACAAAAATTAGCCGGATGTGTTGGTGGGCACCTGTAATCTAAGCTACTTGGGAAGCTGAGCCAGGAGAATCATTTGAACCCGGGAGGTGGAAGTTGCAGTGAGCTGAGATTGTGCCATTGCACTCCACCCTGGGGGACAGAGCAAGACTCCATTTAAAACAAAAAAAAAAAGGGCTGCCTGAGATAAATATTAAAGAACAGACACAGTTTCTTTTCTTTCTTTCTTTTTTTTTTTTACCTTCTCCTTCCTGATGGAAAAGAACAGACACAGTTTTTATCATTAAGTACCTTAATAGTCAAGTAAATAGTAATAAGCGAATAATGATTATAAGAACAACAGCACCATTAATTTATACATCTTAGGAGTTGTTCAGCACTGACATGAAAGCTGCCAAGATAAATATTTTAGCAGCTGGACCTTTTGCTGGAAGGAAGGTTTCTGGTCCCAATGACTAGATTTTATTGCCAAAGATCTGTGATGCACTAAGAGATAAAGGGAAGCTACTGCAGCTGTGCAACTGGATGTCAAGAACTTTGGTTGGTCAAGAATAACATTCCCAAAAGCAGAAATCATTTTTGGTGTGCTTTCTGACTTTTCCACTGAAAATTACCCTCATGACAGGGGAGAGGGTCTTGGGCAGCCACTGCAGGGAGACTGAATTACATGTAGAAACAGAGTGATGGAATTTGGAGACTTAAATTACTTGAAAGGAAGAGATGGAATGCAGAGAGAATAGAGAATGAGGATAGGCCAGTTATAAGACTTTTACTAGCTTAAAAGCCGCAGCATGAAGATTAGGCGTAGAGTCTTGACAAAGCTAATGTGGTTTGAATGGGAGATTTCAGACAGGGACATCACAAGAGTTGAAATGCTTTTTTCCTGTGAGTAATATGTGCTCATTTTAGCAAACTTGGAAAAATATAGAAATTATGAAGAAGAAATATCATTTTAAAGCCAGAAATCTAAGTAGTTATAGGAGTTTCTTGAAATTAATTGCAAGTAATTCAGCAAGAGTAATGGTACCGGAAGAGAAATATCTTGTTTTTTATTTTTTTGTTCTTTTTCCTTTGTTTTTTGTTTGTTTTATTTTTTCGAGATGGAGTTTTGCACTGTCACCCGGGCTGGAGTGCAGTGGCGTAATCAAAGAGCTTTTTGAAGTCATTATTGTTTTCCATAGCTATTAGTTGGGCAGACACAGTTTCTGTGGTGTGTTAATGAATGTAGCTGAAGCTAGGTAATCAAATGATCTTGATTTCCTTCAAAATAATCATGTGAAGAATGTAGACTTTATTGCAGCTATGCTTTTATTTCTCCAAACATTTTTTAGAACTTTCTTTTGGAATTTCCTTCAGTGCCTATGATGATTCTTTTAAATTCTCCATTTTGATTCTGTAAGAGTCGGTTTACAAACTAAGTAATGGAATTTGGAGTCGAAAATTAAGTGTTACTGCAAAGTAATGAGAGTAGGGTTTTTTTTTTTTTTTTTGAGACAGAGTCTTCCTCTGTCGCCCAGGCTGGAGTGCAGTGGTACAATCTCAGCTTACTGCAGCCTCTGCCTCCTGGGTTCAAGCAATTCTCCTGCCTCAGCCTCCCGCGTAGCTGGGACTACAGGCACGCAGTGCCATGCCCAGCTAATTTTTGTATTTTTAGTAGTGACGGGGTTTCCCTACATTGGCTAGGATGATCTTGATCTCCTGACCTCGTGATACGCCTGCCTCGGTCTCCCAAAGTGCTGGGATTACAGGTGTGAGCCCCTGCGCCTGGCCGAGAGTAGTATTTTAATTTATAATTTTTATTCTTGTCTTTTGATTAGCTTTAAATGTATGTTGTTAAAAATATGTAGATGGGCTTGATGTATGGATGGTTTTGAAGGACTAATCCTCTTCTGCTGTCTGTGAACTTTGTTAAAAATGCACCCTTACTCATTATTTAAAAATAAAAATCAGGCCAGGTGCAGTGGCTCACGCCTGTAATGCTAGCACTTTGGGAGGCCTATGTGGGCAGGTCACTTGAGGTCAGGAGTTTAAGACCAGCCTGGCTAACATGGTAAAACCCCATCTCTACTAAAAATACAACAATTAGCTAGGCATGGTGGAGTGTTCCTGTAGTCCCAGCTGCTCGGGAGGCTGAGGCAGGAGAATGGCTTGAAGCTGGGAGGCGGAGGTTGCAGTGAGCTGAGATTGCACCACTGCGCTTCAGCCTTGGTGACAGTGAGACCCTGTCTCAAAAAAAACCAAAAAAACAAAAAAAAAGGCCGGTTGTGGTGGCTCATACCTGTAGTCCCAGCACTTTGGGAAGCCGAGGCGGGCGAATCACTTGAGGTCAGGAGTTCGAGACCAGCCTGGCCAACATGGTGAAGCCTGTCTCTACCAAAAACACAAAAATTAGCAGGGCGTGGTGGGGCATGCCTGTAGTACCAGCTGCTCGGGAGGCAGAGGTTGCAGTGAGTGGAGATGGTGCCACCGCACTCCAGCCTGGGCGACAGAACGAGACTCCATCTCAAAAATAACATAAAATAAAATAAAACAAAATAAAAATCAGTGTGTTCAAGTTAAAAAGTACTGAACTGAAAATTTATCATGCTATATATTTATATGCAATTTATGTATGCATAGTGTTCATCTATAAAGAAAAAATAAAGCCTGGACATAAAGAAAAAATAAAGCCTAGAGATTGGACAGATTAGTAAGTCTCTCTCTGTCTGATTTCTTATATGCAAAATAAAGTGGTTGCTGTAGATTATTTCCAGGATTCCATCTGCATTTTTTCTTTACCGCATTTTTGGCACATTTATTTTTATGGACAAAGCCCAAGGTCATCTAGATTTTCTCCTATATTCTAGGAGTTTTATAGTTTTGTATTTTATATTTAGATCTGTGATAAATTTTCAGTTAATTTTTGTGAAAGGTATAGTCAGTGTCTAGATTCTTTTTTTTTTTTGTTTTGCATATGGATGTTCAGTTGATCCAGCACCTTTTGTTAAAAAGACTATTCTTTCTCCATTGAACTGCCTTTGCTCCTTTGTCAAAGATCAGTTGACTGTATCTGCGTGAGTCTATTTCTAGACTTTCTCTTCTGTTCTATTGACCTATTTGTATACTCTTTCACTAATACCATACTGTCTTGATTACTGTAGCTTTATAGTAAGTCTCTAAATCAGGTCATTTAAGTTCTTAAACTTTATTTTTCTTGAAGTTTATTCTGGCTCTCCTGAGTTTTTGCCTTTGCGTATAAACTTGATAATCATTTTGTTGATATCCAGAAAGTAACTTGCTGGAATTTTGATTGGATTGCATTGAATGTACTGATCAAAGTTGGGAAGAACTGACATCTTAACCATAGTGAGTCTTCCATAGCTATTTGTTTAAACAATTCCACATCTAATCCACGATTAAGCATTGCATCTATCTGTTATGTCTCTTTAGTCTCCTTAATCTGGTCATTCTTCTCTGTCTCTTACGACATAGACATATTTGAAGACCACTTGTATTATAGATTGTTCTTCAATCTCTTTTTTTTCTGATAGTTTCCTCTTGATGACATTCCTGTGCAATTTTGGCAGGAAAACTATGAAAGTGATGTTTTGTTCTTACCAGTACATCTAATTAGGAAGCAAATTATGTCAATTTGTACCATTCTGTCTTTTTTTCCTAACTACTTATTGAACAAATCTTTAACCAGTCTTCCTATTTTGAGCCCCAGGTTCACCTCCCATAAAGGTACTTGGTGCTGCTGACTCATAATACCCGTCTCGTATTCTGCTATGTAAATGAACTTACTTCTGGGTTTTCCTCATTTGCTGGCTTAGGTTTCAGTTTTCCTGGCTCTACCAGGTCACTTTCATTTGTCCATGTGCTATCTAGTGCATCCATCTGATTTCCAGCTTCCCAAATCTGATTGCTCTTATCTTCCCTGTTCCCTTTATCCTTGTAGAATCTTGCCCTTCTAAAAGTAACGTCATTAGCAAAACTAGATGACTACGTAAAGTCAGGATAGTGCTTACTTACCTCTTGGGGGTAGGGAATAGCCTGGGAAAGGATATGAGGGAACCTTATAGGTTCTGTAAAATTCCTGTAGTATGATCTCAGTGGTAGTTACCTGAACAACCACATGTATAAAAGAAATATTGAGCTGTATACTTAAGAATAGGGCATTTTATGCATTCAAATGTATGCATGTTATATCTCAAAAATATCACTGACATTTTAGTGAAGTTTTGAGAGATGGCAGAGGTGAACGCATGGATTCAATTTACTGCCTTTAAGTACTAGATAGTGTTGAAAAAATAAAAAGCATTGAACAGTTAACATGACTCAAATTTGTCTAGGGTTATACTAGTACATTTCTACTACTTACCATAACTTTTGGTATAGTTGAAAACTTGGCCGGGCGCAGTGGCTCATGCCAGTAATCCCGGCACTTTGGGAGGCCGAGGTGGGTGGATCACCTGAGGTCAGGAGTTTGAGACCAGCCTGACCAGTATGGTGAAACCCTGTCTCTACTAAAAATACAAAAATTAGCCAGGCATGGTGGTGCACACCTGTAATCCCAGCTACTCGGGAGGCTGAGGCAGGAGAATTGCTTGAACCCAGGAGGTAGAGGTTGCAGCGAGTCGAGATCGCACCATTGCACTCCAGCTTGGGCAACAAGAGCGAAACTCCTTCTGGAAAAAAAAAAAAGAAAACTAGAAACACAAGTTATCATTAATTTTATTTTGCAAAGATAATCAATTTGGTTTACGTTCTTCCAGAGTTTTTCAATGTAATTGCTAATGCACACTTTCACACATATACCCACATGTATTGTAGATATTCACACAAAATTAAATAATACACATTTGAAGAAAATGGCTATTTGCAAACAAAATATTTGTTTTTCTGCTTTACAGGTATTAGAAAAGTTCTACAGAGACACAGATTATCAGGAAATTGCCACATGGTTACATTTCAACTTGAATTTCAGATTCTGGAAATTCAGGTAAATTAAGAAGCATGTTGTGATAACAGAGATACTTCTGCTATGAGATAAACAATTCCCACACCCCAGCCTTCAACAGTGATGGAGCTGAAGAGGAGTTCATGAGCCAGGGCCCCCCCATTCATAGCACATTTGTGCAAAGTGGTACATTTTCAAAATTTCAGGTATTAATAGCCCAGCAACTGCATATGGTAGGGTTGTTGTGAAAGCCAAAGGTGCTTTATTGAAGGACAGGTAGCAAGATGCTCCTGGGCTTCCAGTGCAATTCCATGAGGTTGTGGGAATAGTCCTGGGTGTCATCAGTAGTTAGGTGATATGCCAGCCATCTAATATCTATTAGTTATCTATTGCTGCTTAACCAGTCTCCATAATATTTAGCATCTTAAAACAACCCAAAATAGGCCAAACATGGTGGCTCACACCTGTAGTCTCAGCATTTTGCGGGGCCAAGGCAGGAGGATTGCTTGAGCCCAGGAGTTTGAGACCAGCGTGGGCAATGTAGTGAGACCCTGTCTCTACAAAAAAATAAAAAATTAGCCAGGCGTGGTGGTGCGCACCTGTGCTCCCAGCTACTCCGGAGGCTGAGGTAGAAGGATTGCTTGAGCCTAGGAGGTCAAGGCTACCGTGAGCTGTGATTGTGCCACTGTACTCGAGCCTGGGTAGCAGAGTGAGACTCTGTCACACACAAAAAAAAAACCACCAAAAATACAATTATCCCTCAGTATCTGTGAGGGATTGGTTCCAGGACTCCCTGTAGTACCAAAATCCACGGATGCTCAAGTCCCTTCTATAAAATCGTGTAGTGTTTACCTATAATGTACACACATCCTCGTTTATACTTTAAATCATTTCTAGATTACTTCCAATACCCAATACAATGTAAACGCTATGAAATAGTTACTATAGTATATTGTTTAGGGAATCATTATGAGAAAAACAACTTGTACGTGTTCAGTACAGATCCAACCATCTGCATCTGTAGATTTTTTTTTTTCAAATATTTTTGGTCTGCAGTTGGTCAATCTATGGATGTGGAACCACAGATAGGGAGGGCTGACTATATTTATTAATTATCTCACCTATTTTGTGTGGGTCAGGAATTTTGGAGCCACTCAGTTGGGTGTCCTTGCTCAGGGCCTCTCATGAGGTTGTGGTCATCTGGGACCACAGCCATTTGAATGCTCCTTGGGGCTGGATGATCTTGTACCTCGTATTGAACTGCTGAGACACAACAGAGGGAGGAAGACCCCTTTGGCTAAGACCTTCACATAATATCAGGAAGCAGGAAAGCGAAAGCAGACAGAATGATAACAAGTAACCCCACTGGCCAGGGTGCAGCAGAACAGGGCTCAGCCACCTTCAAAGGCTGACTCCAAGAAAAGTTGAAAGCCAGAGAAAGCAGTTGAAAGAGGAGAAAGCAGTTTCAACCAGTTGGTTTTGCCAGTTGGGCCAACAGGGAATGTGTGCAAAGAGGAGGAACAGAACAGGGAAGGGCTGTCAGGCTGCATTGGCCTCAGCTCATCAGATATCTAAAGTGGTGTAGAGTAGTTGTTGTAACTGAGTCCTATGGACAAGCTGCCTGCTTATATTCAGGGTCATGTGCCAGGATTCCTTATCCTTTTCATCAGTGTCCTTAGCCACAAAAACAGTCCCAAGTTTCCCATTTTGTATGAGACAGGACTTGGTTATGGAGTCAGGACTTTTCCTTATTCTTTGTCAGATAGCCACTCCCTAACTAGTCCCAAGGATTTGGTACAGTTACCTGGGTTTGGAAGTTTTGCTTCTCTTTGCAATCCAAGTCTCCATTTGCTATTACTGGCTCTGGCAGGCTGAGGATGGGCTAGGGGTTGTCTAGACCCCCTCATTTGATGGCAAAGCTCCCAGCCTGTACTCGTCTTAGAGTATCACTCTCACACTGCCAAAGTGACCAAGAAAAGGTGTAGTATAGCATTGCCTAGGCCATTTGAGCAGGATACAAAACACATTTCAGCATGTTCAATGTGTCAGGGGCATGGGTGGTAAGTGGCTCTAGGGGACTGACATTGTTCCCATATGGGCAGCAGGCCTTGGGGATGTACAAGGTCACCAAGGAGATATCACATGACCACAAAGATCATTTGCTGAAGACTCAAGCAGAGAATGGACCCAAATGGATTGGTATCATTTAGGCTGGACAACCTGTGCCACCACCCCAGGCTTTTCCTTTAGGTGGCTCAGGGACTCCTGGATGTTGTCCCTTTGTAAAAGGTTTCATAGTCTGACTGACTATATTTTCTTTCTTTGTGGCTGATGTGAACTTGACCTGAGAGTGGTAATCTACTGAATGCTCTTCTGTATGCTGGCATCCATTAATGGGCCAGGCCTGCAACCCATGGCAGGTTGGTGGAATCATAATCCTATGGTCCACTACCATCTCCGAAAACATCTGCACTCTAGTATATATGTCCAGGAAACTGCTCAGGGGAATCCTAGCAGCCTTGCGGTCTTGCAGGCTTTTTCTACTGTAAGAGTTCATCTCTTTCACAGTTGCCTCATAGGTTATGCGGAGAGAAGCTCCGTTGTGGGCAGAATTAGTCTTGTCCTTGAGAGGCTTGTCCACAAATCCAAGTGAAAAGGGAAAGATTATCCTCTGACATTGAGGTGAATGAGCTTCTTAGTGGAGTTATACCTTCCAGGATGGGTTGTACCCTAAGATTGATTGGTATGCTCCTTAGTGGGGCTATGGCCTGAGACATAACATAGGCTATAATATCCAACATAGACTACAATATCTTCACTTTATTTAAGTTGCATACTTCAGTCACCTTAAACCTCTGATGGAAAGTATCAAATAGTAATTTGATGCCTTCCTGAGTCAGATAAGGATGAGGTCACCATGTAAAATGTTGCGGGAAGTCAGGGACCCCAAATGGAGGGACTGGCTGAAGCCATGGCAGAAGAACATGGATTGTGAAGATTTCATGGACATTTATTAGTTCCCCAAATTAATACTTTTATAATTTCTTATGCCTTTCTTTACTGCAGTCTCTAAACATAAATTGTGAAGATTTCATGGACCCTTATCACTTCCCCAATCAATACCCTTGTGATTTCCTATGCCTGTCTTTACTTTAATCTCTTAATCCTGTCAGCTGAGGGGATGTATATCACCTCAGGACCCTGTAATAATTGCATTAACTGCACAAATTGTACAGCATGTGTGTTTGAGCAATATGAAATATGGGAATCTTGGAAAAAGAACAGGATAACAGCAATTGTTCAGGGAATAAGAGAGATAACCTTAAACTCTGACTGCTGGTGAGCCGGGCGGAACAGAGCCATATTTCTCTTCTTTCAAAAGCAAATGGCAGAAATATGGCTGAATTCTTTTTCTCAGCATGGGACATCCTGAGAAAGAGAATACGTGCCTGGAGGTATAGGATTATAAACAGCCCCCCCAGGGGCGCCTGTCTCTTATGGTTGAGACTGCAGAGATGAAATATACTCCAGTCTCCCATAGCGCTCCCAGGCTTATTAGGAAGAGGAAATTCCCACCTAATAAATTTTGTTCAGACCAGTTGATCTCAAAACCCTGTCTCCTGATAAGATGTTATCAATGACAATGGTACCTGAAACTTCATTAGCAATTTTAATTTCGCCTTGGTCCTGTGGTCCTGTGATCTTGCCCTGCCTCCACTTGCCTTGTGATATTCTATTACCCTGTTAAGTACTTGATGTCTGTCACCCACACATATTCGCACACTCCCTCCCCTTTTGAAACTCCCTAATAAAAACTTGCTGGTTTTTGTGGCTCGTGGGGCATCACGGATCCTACCAACGTGTGATGTCTCCCCTGGACGCCCAGCTTTAAAATTTCTCTCTTTTGTACTCTGTCCCTTTATTTCTCAAGCCGGCCGACGCTTAGGAAAAATAGAAATGAACCTATGTGATTATTGGGGTAGGTCCCCCGATAGTAGAAGACATTTCTGATAATGTGATATGCTCCTAAAGAATGACAGCTGCCTGACCAGAGTCATTCCTAGCATGAACTACCACATGGTTTGGCCTGCTGGGCCTGGGCAGCCGCCCCAGGGCAGCACAGACAGGACAGAAGCCAGACAGTGGATGTCCTGCCACTTAGGTCCTGCAACCCCTGCTGCTGTGGCCACACTCTGCCTCCTAACAGACAGTGTTGGCACTGACCCAGACCTCAACAGTATTTTAAGCCAATATTCTCATCCTCATGTCATGAAAGCATGATTGAAAATTTTGTGACCATTTGATAATGGCCTGAGATTATACTGTTAGCTCACATGCTGAATGAATTAGAGTCAGTTGAGCTGTGCCAGACAGAAAACTTAAAAATAAAGGTACTAGAAGTGTATTTCTCTATTACTTAAGTAAACTTGTAAGTTTTCAAGGGCTAATATGGTGGTTTTATGATAATCAGGTTCTACCATCAGCCAACATGGCTTCAAGTCATGGCACAATGATCACATTAGCATTTCAGGTATCAGGAAGAAGTTGGGCAAAGAAAGCCTCGCCTGTTCTTTTAAAGGACACTTTCTGGAAGTTGTACATTCATCATTTTCACTTATATTCTATTGGCCAACAAGTTCATGCAAAGGATGCTGGGAATTTAGTCTTTGTTATGCTTGGCCATATGGCCAGTGAAAAACTGGGGCAAGAAAAAAGTATAAATAGAGGGGACTACTAGCAGTTTCTGTCCTATATGCTTTAGCGGATGCAGGGGGAAAAAAATCTAAGGAGAGGAACTGTAGATATCTTCTTTGAAGGACATAGAACCTAGTAATTGCTGAGTCTCTAAAGAGACATGAGTTGTCATTGTTTAAGTTTTAAAGTATGTATGTGTTTTGGGACTGATTGGTTTTACTAACAAAGTGCTACAGAAAGAGTGTGTTCTCCCTGGCTGTGTTAAGAACTCTCACTTTCTCTCTGAGCCTTTTAGATTTTATGATTCTTCTTGAAGACCAGGACTGGTAAACAAGGTGTTGGAAGAAATTACAGAGAGCTGTGGAATCAACAGGGTTTTTGGAATCAGTTGTGTGAGAGGCACCAAGAGTTCTTACTTGGGGAGGGAAAAACAAAGGACTATCTCGTTTCTCTTTATTGCTTACAATTCTGATATAATAACTTGATGAAAAGTTTTTGAAATGTTTATTACTTAATGGTAAATTCTAGCATATTCTATACCAACTTGTGTATGTATGCCTTTAGAAACATATCTAGTAGAATTGCTGGGTCAAAGGAAACTTACAAATTCTGATTGATAGTGGCAAATTGCCTTCTAAAATAGTTTTACCATTTTACATACTGAGCACATTTTTACATTTTTACTGTGAAGACTGATAGAAAAAGAAATGACACAGCAACCTTGTGTGTTCTAAAACATTTTTTAAAAATAAAATTTCCACTAGAGGGAGAGGTTTAGCTATCTGAAAATTAAAAAGTAATCTAAATAGTAAAACCCTCAATTTACAGAATATTGTTGTAATAAAGTTATATTAATATAATATTTGAACTAAACATGACCTCAAATCATGTTAATAGAATGTTAGAACAAAGTGATGACTTATAGTTTGTCTAGGTCAACCCTATTATTTTATAAGTAAATGGATCCAGAGAGTTTGAATGATTACTCATGTTGGTGCAGCTATTGTTGTCCAAGGTGGTTGGGACATAGAGCTCTGTTGGCCAGATTTACTTTCTGGTGTTCTTAGTACTACATTTGTGAAGAGTTGTAAGGCCATCAGAATTAACGTTTATCAGCCTTCCATAATCCAAGCAATATAGTCAATTAGATTGGTAGGAGTTTGTGGGGAAAGTGGCAGGTTAAGTATGTTTCCATAACTTCTGTCCCAATGAAATGAACAAAATTATTCAAAAAATAAGCAATTTTTTTAAATGGAAGAGAATACAATTCCATTATCACAGGCTCCAAAGAAAATCTGTTTGATATTAATGACATTTGAGTCTAAACACTGAAATCCAATACAGGGTGCTTCATGAGAGATTTGTAAGTTTTACAAAGTTAAGCTGGCCACATTGGCTCACGCCTATAATCTCAGCACTGAGGGAAGCCAAGGCAGGAGGATAGCTTGAGCCCAGGAATTAAAGGCCAGCCTGGGCAACATAGCGAGACCCTGTCTCTAAAAAATATATATTTTTTTAAATAAAAAAGAAATTAGCCAGGCTTGGTTACTTACATATATAGTCCTAGCCACTTGGGAGGCTGAGACAGGAGGATTGCTTGAGCCCACAAATTCAAGGTCACAAAGAACTGTGATTGAACGACTGCATTCCAGCCTGGGCAATAGAGCAAAACCCTGTCTCAAAAAAAAAAAAAAAAAAAAAAAAGGACCAACTTAATGGCACCCTTTTCCTAAAGATCTCTACCCATAATCCTTCAGTTGTAGAGGAGAATGAGAACTGTGGGCTTAAGTGGACCATAGTAGAAAGGAATGTGGTACTGAGACACATGTAGGGGCTTTGAGGTCAGATTGTTTATAAGGTCTCTTCCCTTATTTACCAACTGGGGAGAATTGACCTAGTTAGCAGTACCACAAGCAGGGGAGAGATGGAAAGATGGAAAAACAATATTTTGAAGTCAGCTTTTGAGTTGTTAAACAGGATTCTATAACCCAACAAAAAATTTGTTTTTGCCTATCCTAATGGGTGAAAAGCTGAAATCTAACATGTATCTACACATACTTGACCAAGAGACCAGATGTGCTCCTGAGATTTTTGCTTTCCTTTTCCTTTCTTTGCTTTTTTTTCTGGTAACAGTTCTATTGAGATATAATTCACATACCATATAACTTACCAGTTTAAAGTGTACAGTTCAATACTTTTTTTAAAGATGTAATTTATTTGGAATCCAAGCTTTGTTTCACAAGTTTATTATTTATTTTTATTATTATTATTGTTATTCTTTTTGAGACTGAGTCTCGCTCTGTTGCGCAGGCTGTAGTGCAGTGGCACGATCTTGGCTCGCTGCAACCTCTGCCTCCTGTGCTCAAGCGATTCTCCTGCCTCAGCCTCCCGAGTAGCTGGGATTACAGGCGCCTGCCACGACGCCTAGCTAATTTTTTGTATTTTTAGTAGAGACGGGGTTTCACCGTGTTGGTCAGGATGGTCTCCAACTCCTAACCTCAGGTGATTCACCCGCCTCTGCCTCCCAAAGTGCTGGATTACAGGCGTGAGCCACCGCGCCCGGCCAGTCTTTGCTCATCTTATAGGTAAAAATGGCATCTTATCGGCCAGGCGCGGTGGCTCCCGCCTGTAATCCCAGCACTTCAGGAGGCAGAGACGGGGGGATCAGGAGGTCAAGAGATTGAGACCGCCTGGCACGGTGGCTCACGCCTGTAATCCCAGCACTTTGGGAGGCTGAGGCAGGTGGATCACGAGGTCAGGAGATCGAGACCATTCTGGCTAACACGGTGAAACCCCGTCTCTACTAAAAAATACAAAAAAATTAGCCAGGCATGGTGGCGGGCACCTGTAGTCCCAGCTACTCGGGAGACTGAGGCGGGAGAATGGCGTGAACCCGGGAGGCGGAGTTTGCAGTGAGCCGAGATCGCGCCACCACACTCCAGCCTGGGCGACAGAGCGAGACTGTCTCAAAACAAAAACAAAAACAAAACAAACGAGATTGAGACCATCCTGGCCGACATGGTGAAACCCCATCTCTACTAAAAATACAAAAATTAGCCGGGCGTGGTGGTGGGCACCTGTTGTCCCAGCTCCCCAGCTTTGGGGAGAATGAGGCAGAAGAATCGCTTGAATCCAGGAGGCGGAGGTTGCGGTGAGCCGAGATCGCGCCACTGCACTCCAGCCTGGTGACAGAGCAAGACTCCGTCTCCAAAAAAAAAAAAAAAAGGCATCTTACCTTATTGTTTTAATTTACAATTATTATTAGTGAGATTGAACTTTTTTTGTTTTTGTTTTGTTTCTGTCATGATTACTCTTTCCTTTTATTTGGTGGCATTTCATTTTGCATATTTCAAAAGTATTTTTGTCTTTTTGAAGTTTACTGTGCTTTGATACAGAAATTTTTATCTTTATTTTAGAATAAGGAGAGATTATCTTCTGCTGTTACTGACCTCAACATAATAATGGAGCCCACAGAATGCTCAGAATTAAGTGAATTTGTGTCTAGGTAAGCTATTTTACAAACTTACTTTTTTAGAGAAAAAAAGTAAATTTACACTTTACAGTTTTAAGTTTACCTTTTCCTCTTCTTAGTAAGTAAATAGGTCTTCTCTGAAAGTATAACACCACTGTTGTGCTTATATTTGAGCCCATATTCTCTATATCTATCATTCTTTCATTTAGTTTATATTTATTGCACATTCACTATGTGCTGGGTATTAAAATTAAAATGTGAGCAAAAAAAGACACAATCCTCAGTCCTCATGGAATTGACAGTCTAGTGGAGAAGTTAGATATTGATCAAATAATGGCAGAAGTAAATATAAAATTATGGCTATGTTAAATGCTACAAAGGAGAGTTACATAATGCTGTTGAAGTATATATCAGGAATTTTTGTTTTTTATTATTTTTGTATTTTTTTTTAAATTAGAGATGGGGTCTCACTATATTGCCCAGGCTGTTCTCAAACTCCTAGGCTCAAGCAGTCCTCCTGCCTTAGCCTCCCAAAGTGTTTATCAGGAATTTGACTAGCAGAGAGAACATGAAATCATTTGCTGAAGCTTGAACTGACATCTGAAAAATGAGTAGGTGTGAACTAACAAAGAGGGAATAACTTTGCTGAGCACTGTGCCAGCAGGGAGCATGGTGTCTGTGAGCAATTGACACAGGGCCACAGTGACAGGTGGAGGCAAGAGCCTAGGAGAATGGTGTAAGATGAGGTTAGGAAATTAGGTAAGGTCCATACTACTGGGAATTGGGTATAAAGAGTGTTATCACAGTCCCAGGACCAAGTGAAACTATTGAAAAGTTTTGAGCAGGGCCTGAGGAAAGCAAAAGTGTGGCATCCTAGAAAGAATTATTCTGGATACTATGGGGAAATGGAATGAAGGGGTGCAATCATTGATACAAGTGAGTCAATGACTAGTCTTTTAAAACAGTTCAGGCAAGAGAAGTTTGTAGTTTGGACTGAAATGATGATACTTAGCTAGATGGATTTGGGGGATAATTAGGAAGCAAAAATGAGTGGGCATGGGATTGCTTGAGTAAAAGGGATTAGAGGTCATTCACAGGGGATAACTCTTTGATTATGGTGGTCCCGTCTGCTGTTAAGGGAAGGTTGGAAGAGGACCATTGTCAGGTGACATTATGACTTTATTTTGGACATATGGGACTTGAGTGCCTTTGAAAACACTGAAATAAAAATGAGAAAGAGGCAGCACAGTAGAGGTGGGGGTGGGAGATATAGAACACTGGAATTATCTTCTATTGGGTAGGAATTAAAGCCTTGAGCAGGAATGAGTTTGCCTATGAAGGAATATAGAGTAGAACTAGAAAAGGCCCTAGAACTGAGCCTTGAGGAATTCTAAAATATACTGGCTGAATAGAAGGGAAGGATCCTGCAAAGGAATTAGAAAAGGAACTGTTTGAGAGGTAGGGAGAATACCAAGAATGTGTTGTGTCATGGCAGAGATCACATATTTCCTTTTGTTCAGACCATAGTTTGGAAGTAGCATCTGCTATTTGGAAATTACAAAAGGAAGAGTAGTGAGATATCTCTCTTCCTGTAATAATGAGCATATTATAGTTACTTAATAAATATTTAATCCCAGCTTTTTGGGCAATTTTTTAGACTGGGTTCCCATTTTGTGGAGAGTGACTGGTATTTTAGAAAGGGTGCTGAACATAGGTCAGAAGACCTGGATTTTATTCCAGATTCAACTACGTGTAAGTTACCTCTCCTTTTGGAGTTTCTTTCTTCTTTATCTCTGCTGTTATGCAATTTAAATGTTATATGCCTAATTATGAATTTATTTTTAGTTTTTCATTATAGATCTGTAGTTTTTCAGACAGGATTGGTATCTTTAGGTTTTGAAAAATTTTTAGTCATTATTTTATTGACTCTTGCTTCTACCTTGATCTTCCCTTATCACAGTCTACTTTCACTTTAAATAGTAAGCATTTCACATGTACTATAAGAACAACAGTATACTTTCCATTTATTTTCCCTCAACCATTGTATTATTATTTTCATATAATTGTCATACACTTTTACATGTTCCAAATGTCTCAGGGCATTGTTACTATGTTTGCCTTAGACTGTCAATTATTTTTTAAAGCAATTAAAAATAAGACAAAACTTGTTTTGTTTTGTTTTGTTTTGAGATGGAGTCTTACTCGGTCACCCAGGCTAGAGTGGAATGGCATGATCTTGGCTCACTGCAACCTCTGCCTCCCAAGTTCAGGCAATTCTCCTGCCTCAGCCTCCTGAGTAGCTGGGATTGCAGGCATCCAGCCACCATGCCCAGCTAATTTTCTTTCTTTCTTTCTTTCTTTTTTTTTTTTTTTTGTGCATTTTTGGTAGAGACAGGGTTTTACTACATTGGCCAGGCTGGTCTTGAACTCCCGACCTCAAATGATCCACCCACCACGGCCTCCCAAAGTGCCAGGATTACAGGCATGAGCCACCGTGCCTGGCTGACAAAACGTGTTTTTGTATATTTATCTTCATTTTTTCATTTCCAACATTCTTCATTTCTTTATTTCATTCTTCATTTCATTTGATTCAGATTTCTAACTGCTATGCTCCTTCTTCCTTAAGAACTTCCTATAACTTTTTTTTTTTTTTTTGAGATGGAATTTCGCTCTTTTTGCCCAGGCTGGAGTGCGATGGCACAATCTCAGCTCACTGCAACCTCTGCCTCCCGGGTTCAAGTAAATTTCCTGCCTCAGCCTCCCAAGTAGCTGGGACTACAGGTGTGTACCACCACACCCGGCTAATTTTGTATTTTTAGTAGAGACGGGGTTTCACCATGTTGGTCAGGCTGGTCTCAAACTCCTGATCTCAGGTGATCCACCCGCCTTGGCCTCCCAAAGTGCTGGGAATACAGGCGTGAGCCACCGCACCTGACCCTTTAACATTTCTTACTGTGCTTGTCTGTTGGCCGTAATATCTATCAGCTTTTGTTTCTCTGGAAAGGTCTTAATTTTGCCTTCATTTTTTGAAAGATATTTTTGCTGGCCATAGAATTCTGAGTAGACAGGTTTAAAGATAAAAAACATATATCTTTAAACATACTCTTTCATAATCTGGATTGCATAGGTTGTGACAAAAAGACTGCGATGATTGTTATCTTTATTTTTCTGTATTAGTGTGTCATGTGTGTGTGCTTGGGGCAGCCTTAAATCTTTCTCTTAATTTTGTGTTTCTGTAGTTTGTGCTATGTTTAGGGTATATTTGTGTGAAAATTATCAACCATGTCTTTTAAAGTATTTATTTTGCCCTGTGTCACTCTAATGACACATATGTTAGACTATTTGACATATTGTCCCAGCATTTGGATGCTCTGTTCTATTTCTTTCATGCCTTTTTTCCTTTGTGTTTCAGTTTGGATAATTTCTATTAACCTATCTGCAACTTCGCAGAGTCTTTCCTCTGTTGCAGTACTGTCTGCCAGTGGGCCCATTTAAGGAGTTCTTTATGTCGCTTGTAATGCTTTTTATTTCTTGTGTTTTCATATTCCCTTGTATGAATGTACCATAGTTTGTTTATTCATTTACCCATTGAAGGATATCTGGGTTATTTTCAGTTTTTGGTGAATATAGCATATTATATATACTTTTTTTTTTATTTTTTTTTTTTTGAGACGGAGTCTCGCCCTGTCACCAGGCTGGAGTGCTGTAGTATGATATCAGCTCGCTGCAACCTCTGACTCCCTGGTTCAAGTGATTCTCCTGCCTCAGCCTCCCGAGTAGCTGGGATTATAGGCACGCACCACCACACCCAGCTAGTTTTTGTATTTTTAGGAGAGATGTGGTTTCACCATGTTGGCCAGGATGGTCTCGATCTCCTGACCTAGTGATCCGCCCACCTCAGCCTCCCAAAGTGCTGGGATTACAGGCGTGAGCCACCACGCCTGGCCTATGTATACATTTATGTAGCATATTATAGTGTATAATATAGCATATTATCTTTATATATGTTTGTATGTATACACACACATACACATGCATTCATGCTGCTACAAACATTCATATGCTATAAATATGTATATTACACACACAAACATACATGTATATGCTGCTGTGAACATTCACTAGAGGTTTTTGTGTGAATGTAAGTTTTCTTTTCTCTAGGGTACATAACCAGAAGTGGAATTGCTGAGTCGTATAAGAGTATGTTTAAATTTATAATAAACTGCCAAACCGTTTTCCAGAATGACCATACTGTTTTGTATTCCCACCAGTAATGTGTGAGAATGTCTGTTAATATTTTTGTGAATTAATTTCTGATGGTCACCTAATTTTAGATGTAATAGTCCCAGGAATTTATTGTTAGAATAAAATTTTGGAATCTTTATCCTAAATTTCTCTTTGTGTTCGCTTTATACTTGAGAAGGAGACATTTGGAGTTATTTTTGTTTCCTGACTACTTTAGCTGAAATTGAAATGGGTTACTGCCAACATTTTATGAAAGAAATCCATGACATCTGTTTTACGTTTAGTGAAGTTTGGACTTTGCTTAGGAAAAATAGATAAATTACAGTCATTCTTACAGCTGTGAGAGCCAACACCCACACCCACACACAAAATTTCTTTCTATATGGAAAACTCTTATGTGCTGTAGTACAGTATCCTTTATGAAGATGCAAATGGAAGAATAAAGGAATTGTGAATTTTTTAAAGTTCATTGTAAAAGAACAGTCTTTTCTTCTGTGTGTATGTGTTTAAACTTGAGTCATCATAGCTTTTAAGATTATTTTCATGGCTTACTCCCTCATCACATGATTAAGAGTTTATTTTTTTGCTCACTTGTTTGATGGAGAACGAAATATCGTGTCACTGTGGCCTTTAAGCGTGAATGAACTAATTTCTCCTCTTTGTAGGCCCATACTTTTTGGAAAACAATTTTTTTCAGATGTTTAAATAATTTTTAAAATAGTTATTAGACTGACTTTTAACACATAATCTCCAGTGTTCCCTATAAACTACATGCTTATGCAGCTTTGTGTTAATTCAGCTATTATTTTATGTTCTTTGTTTTCAGTGAATCTACTTGGTTTTTTTGTTCACTATTGCCCAGGCTGGTCTCAAACTCCTAGGCTCAAGCAGTCCTCTTGCCTTAGCCTCCCAAAGTGTTTATCAGGAATTAGACTAGCACAGAGAACATGAAATCATTTCCTGAAGCTTGAGCTGACATCTGAAAAATGAGTAGGTGTGAACTAACACCTACTAACACCCTTTCTTGCCTTCTTTTAGATTATTTAACTTGTTTTCCTATTTTTTTACTGTGGCAAAATACTTACAAAATCTACCAACTCAACCATGTTAAAGAGTACACTTCAATAATAGTAAATACATTCATTATGTTGTACAACCATCACCACTATCTGTCAACATAACTCTTTCCTCTTTTAAAACAGAAACTTTGGCCAGGTGTGGTGGCTCACGCCTATAATCCCAGCACTTTGGGAGGCTGAGGCGGGTGGATCATGAGGTCAGGAGTTCAAATCCAGCATGGTGAAACCCTGTCTCTACTAAAAATACAAAAACTAGCTGGGCATGGTGGCACGTGACTGTAGTCCCAGCTACTTGGGAGGCTGAGGCAGGAGAATCGCTTGAACCTGGGAGGCGGAGGTTGTGGTGAGCCGAGAGCACCACTACACTCCAGCCTGGGTGACAGAGTGAGACTATCTCAAAAAAAAAAAAAAAAAACCAGAAACTTTGTACCCATAAACAATAACTCCCACTTCCTCCCTCTCCTCATCCACCATTCTACTTTTTGTCTGTGTGATTTTGATTAATACTATCTAAGTATTAATCTAAGTACCTCATATAAGTAGAATCATACAGTATTTGCCTTTTTTCTTTAGATGGAGTCTCGCTCTGTCGCCCAGGCAGGCGTGCAGTGGTGTGATCTCTGCTCACTGTAACCTCTACCTCACCAGGGATTCTCCTGCCTCAGCCTCCCAAGTAGCTGGGATTACAGGCACCCGCTACCATGCCCAGCTAATTTTTATATTTTTAGTAGAGAAGGGGTTTTGCCATATTGGCCAGGCTGGTCTTGAATTCCTGACCTCAGGTGATCTAGCCATCTCGGCCTCCCAAAGTGCTGGGATTACAGGCGTGAGCCACTGTGCCTGGCCAGTATTTGCCTTTTTTGACTGGTTTATTTCGCTGAGTGTAATGTTGTCAAGGTTCATCCATGTGGCATAAGTCAGAATTTCTTTTTCTTTTTCTTTTCCTTTTTTTTTTTTTTTTTTAAGCACCACACAAGCTTTATTTGCACCATCTATATAAGATAGTCCTGGCCATGCACAGTGGCTCATACCTGCAATCCCAGCATGTTGGGAGGCCAAGGTGGGCACATCACCTGAGGTCAGGAGTTAGAGACAAGCCTGGCAAACATGGAGAAACCCTGTCTATACTAAAAATACAAAAATTAGCTGAGTGTGGTGGTGGGCGCCTGTATCCCCAGCCACTCGGGAGGCTGAGGCACGAAAATCGCTTGAACCGGGGAGGCGGAGGTTGCAGTGAACCAAGATTGTGCCACTGCACTCCTCTGGGTGACAGAGCAAGACATCATCTGAAAAAACAAAACCAAAACCAAAAAAAACTAAGATAGTTCTGTGAATCTGTCCCATTGAGAGAAGACAGGGCCTTTTCTCTCAAGCCTGTTGCTTAAAGCCTGTGTGTGTGTGTGTGTGTGTGTGTGTGTGTGTGTGTGTATACATATATATATATATATATATATATATATAATATAACGGGGAGTTTATTAAATATTAACTCACATGATCACAAGGTCCCGTAATAGGCCGTCTGCAGGCTGAGGAGCAAGGAGAGCCAGCCTGAGTTCCAAAACTGAAAAACTTGGAATTCAGTGTTCAAGGACAGGAAGCATCCACCACAGGAGAAAAATGTAGGCTGGGAGGCTAGGCCAGTCTAACCTTTTCATGTGTTTCTGCCTGCTCTATATTCACTGGCAGCTGATTAGATAGTGCCCATCCAGATTAAGGGTGAGTCTGCCTTCTCCAGCCCACTGTCTCAAATGTTAATCTCCTTTGGCAATACCCTCACAGACGCACCCAGGATTAATACTTTGTATCCTTCAATCCAATCTAGTTGACACTTAGTATTAACCATGACAAGTCCACCCCTTGTCAACTTGAACCCATACACATCTCCTAAGATCATACATAATCTTCAAATAAAGACAATAATAGTCATAATTGTGCCTAACATACAACTATCCTTCATAAAACCAGAAACTCACCAATCCCCAACCCAAATACTATTACATAAAGTTGATAATACTTAAATGCTGATATGAAGTCAATAAATCATATGTCACATGATAAAGGAAAAAGGAAATAAAATGAAAGTACTTTCTTAGTGCAAGTGTATACATGCACAAACATATTTTTAACGAAAGAAGAAGGAAGTACTCATGACAATTACAGTCCCCGTTTCTGCAGCTGGTCATGTGGTCATAGCTGGTACTGATGACTCCCTTCTTTTACTACCCATTATGTATTCCCTTTGCGTTCAGCAAGCACCTCAGGGGGTCGTGTTTTTTTCCTGATGGAGCGACCCAAACCTTCATTCCTGAAGGATCTGGGCCATTTGTAGTCCTGTTTGGATTGGGCTGTCGTAGTTTCCCATTAACCTTACTTACAGGGCTTGGTAATACTAAGAGAAGCCGTAATGAATCTCTGCTATTCCATGCATATTCTTCCTTACCTCCATTGTGAAGTAGTAGAATGATTTCATCTTGATAGTCTGGGTCAGTCATCCCAGCCAACACTGTAACTCCCTTCTTAGCCTGTTGACTTAAATGTAGGAGGAGCCCAAAGTGTCCAGGTGGCAATCTTAACTTCCAGTTTAATGAGATCTTTGTTGTGTCTCCTGGAGGCAGCGTTCCTCCCTCTGGAACTAAGACCTCTAGGCCAGCAGAATGTAATGTCGCAGGAACAGGAAGCAAAAATTTTGCCAGTAGATCACTAGGGGTGTTGGTGAGTGGTGCCACTTCAACTTCCACCCCTTGATTCCTGGACCCATGAATCTTGGCTATGGAAGAAACAGTACCATATATTGGATGCTGATTCAGAGCATACATGGCCTTCTGGAGAGATTTGCCCCAGCTTTGCAAAGTATTGTCACCTAGTTAGCATTGTAATTGTGACTTCAAAAGGCCATTCTACTGTTCTGTCAATCCAGCTGCTTCAGGATGATTGGGAACATGGTAAGACCAGTGAATTCCATGAGCATGAGCCCACTGCTGCACTTCTTTAGCCGTAAAGTGAGTGCCTTCATCAGAGGCAATGCTGTATGGCATACTGTGATGGTGGATAAGGCATTCTGTGAGTCCACGATGGTAGTCTTGGCAGAAGCATTGCATGCAGTATAGGCAAACCCATATCCGGAGTAAGTGTCTATTCCAGTGAGGACAAACCTCTGCCCTTTCCATTATGGAATAGGCCCAATATAATCAACCTGCCACCAGGTAGCTAGCTGATCACCCCAAGAAATGGTGCCATATCGGGGGTCAGTGTTGATCCCTGCTGCTGGCAAATTGGCCTTGTCAGACGTGGTGAGTGGAAGTCCTTGTTGCTGAGCCATGCGTAACCTCCATCCCTGCCACCATGGCCACTTTACTTTGTTCATGGGCCCATTGAGCAATGATAGGGGTGGCTGGGGAAAGAGGCTGAGTGATGGATTATCCTATCCCTTGATTATCCATCCTATCCACTTAAAAATGCTAAAGGAAGGGGTCTCACTCTGTTGCCCAGGCTGGTCTTGAACTCCTGGACTCTTGCTATCCTCCTGCCTTGTCCTCCCAAAGTTCTGGGATTATAGGCATGAGCCACCACACATGTCCTTGCAATTTCATTTTATGCCACTTTAACTTAAAAAAAGTTTAAAAGACCTGTGTTTCTTTAGAGCTCTGTCCCCTATTGGGGGAACCCACCCCCAATATTTCAGCATAGGTTCTTTCTATTTTCCATAAGTGTCGGCTGGCTGAGAAATAAAGAGAAAGAGTAAAAAGAGAGGAATTTTACAGCTGGGCCGCTGGGGGTGACGTCACATATCAGTAGGACCGTGATGCCTGCCTGAGTCTCAGACCAGCAAGTTTTTATTAAGGGTTTCAAAAGGGGAGGGGGTATAAGAACAGGGAGTAGGTACAAAGATCACATGCTTCCAAGGGCAAAAAGCAGAACTACTAATAAGGGTCCAACAAAGATCACAAGGCAAAGGGCAAAAGCAGAACTACTGATAAGGGTCCATGTTCAGCGGTGCACATATTGTCTTGATAAACATCTTAAACAACAGAAAACAGGGTTTGAGAGCAGAGAACCGGTCTGGCCACAAATTTACCAGGGCGGAGTTTTTCCCCACCCTAGTAAGCCTGTGAGGGTACTGCAGGAGACCAGGGCGTATCTCAGTCCTTATCTCAACTGCATAAGACAGACATTCCCAGAGTGGCTGTTTATAGACCTCCCCCCAGGAATGCATTCCTTTCCCAGGGTATTAACATTAATATTCCTTGCTAGGAAAAGAATTTAGCGATATCTCTCCTACTTGCATGTCTGTTTTTTTTTTTCTTCAAGTAATTCAGCCACTACTTTAATACCACACTCTACATAAAACAAACACATTAAATGCCAAGCTGGCAGAGCCTCCCAGTATGCACTACAGCTGCAAAAATAATGACATGGAAGGTTTCTTTTTGAAGGCTGAATTATTTGAGAGAAAATCAAACCATTTCTTTTAGACCAATCTAGCTGAACAAATAAGACTTCTGTAAAGATTAAGGAGTCTATAGCACAAGAAATGCAGCATATTCATTTGCTATAGCTTCTACTCTTCGAATTTTACACTGGAGACCTAAAAAAAGAATAGCTTAAGTCTAAAATAGCCCATTATGAGACATTTCATATGCATAAATTCTCAATATTTCATAAATACTGTAACTACCAAAAAATCATTCATGCCTTAGATTTAGCAAATGGACCCTTGTGGAACATTGCATTTCTCAACCTGAGCAAACATAAGTTAAATATTTATAAAACAAAATATACTGAAACTATTTCAATTCTTGTAGGGGTAGAATAGACACTTTAAAGGAATCAGCCTGAACTTAGGAGTCTTCTGTGTATTAATAGTGAATATGCATATGCAAAAACTCTACAGAAATATTAAAATTGATAGAGTTTCTAAATTTTCATATCATATCAGAATATATAAACACAGGGGTTAGTCAACTATTTTACTAACTGATTGATATTGTCAGTCAGTATTGATTAGTTTGGTATTTAAAAATATATGGAAGTAAACTAAAAATAACTACTGCTTAGAAAACCTCAGCTGATATGTGGAAGGATTAGATAATTGGAACACTACAGAAAGGAGCAAAATGAAGAGTAGAATTCTCTGTCACTCAACTAACCCCATCTCTTTCTCCAAAGGCAGCCACTATTCAATTTTACTTCTGTTTCCTTCTGGAAAGGGTGAGAAAAAGATTTATTAATGTAGCAACAACTTGCACATCTGTTTATAGGCTCTCTGCAAGAAGAAAAATATGGCTCTTTTTGCCCGACCCCACAGGCAGTCAGACCTTATGGTTGTCTTCCCCTGTTCCCTGAAAATCGCTGCTATTCTGTTCTTTTTCAAGGTGCACTGATTTCATATTGTTCAAACACACATGTTTTACAATCAATTAGTACAGTTAACACAGTTGTCACAGTGGTCCTGAGGTGTCGTACATCCTCAGCTTATGAAGATAACAGGATTAAGAGATTGAAGTAAAGACAGGCATAAGAAATTATAAAAGTATTATTTGGGAACTGATAAATGTCCATATCAAAATGAAATCTTCACAATTTATGTTCAGAGATTAAAGACAGGTGTAAGAAATTATAAAAGTATTGTTTGGGAACTGATAAATGTCCATATTAAAATGAAATCTTCACAATTTATGTTCAGAGATTAAAGACAGGTGTAAGAAATTATAAAAGTATTATTTGGGAACTGATAAATGTCCATTTTAAAATGAAATCTTCACAATTTATGTTCCTCTGCCGCAGCTCCAGCTGGTCCCTCCGTTCGGGGTCCCTGACTTCCTACAACAGTCCCCAGCCTTTTGAATTATTGATGTTATGAACTTGTATATTTATATGTTGTGCACCCCAAAATGTAAACTAATAATTCTTTAAAATGCATTAGTTTTTTAAATTACATAGAAAATAATGTGGAGTCACAAATGAAAATTACATTAATACTAGCTTTTAGTCTAATTTTTAAAAAATGTATTAGTCTGTAAAATCATGTAGGAAACAAAAAGTAGAGTAACAAACTATTGTTGCAAAAATACTAGCTTTTATAATTTCACATGTATTTACCTTTATTGAGTCTTTTTTTTTGTTTTTTTAAACTTTTTACTTCTTTTGCCTTTTTCCATATGTTCTAAGAGTCTATTTCTTAATATGTCTTCAGGTTACTGTCTAGTGTCCTTTCTTTCACTCTACAGAATTCTCTTGACCATTTCTTACAGAGAAAGTTTAATGATAACCAACTCCCTCAACTTTTGTTTGCCTGAGAATGTCTTAATTTCTCCTGCACTTTTTTTATTTTTTGTTTTATTTTTCTTTTCTCCAGCCACATCCCTTTGATCATCTCCCTCATTATTATTATTATTATTATTATTATTATTATTATTATTATTATTATTTTGAGATGGAATTTCACTCTTGTTGCCCAGGCTGGAGTTCAATGGCGCGATCTCAGCTCACCGCAACCTCTGCCTCCCGGGTTCAGGTGATTCTCCTGCCACGGCCTCCCAAGTAGCTGGGATTACAGGCATGCGCCACCACTCCTGGCTCATTTTTTTTGTATTTTTATTAGAGATGGTGTTTCTCCATGTTGGTTAGGCTTATCTCCGATTCCCGACCTCAGGTGATCCTGCCTTGGCCTCTGAAAGTAGTGGGATTACAGGTGTGAGCCACCGCACCCGGCCACTATCTCCCTCACTTTTTAAGGACAGTTTTGCAGAATAGAAAATTCTTGGTTGACAGATTTTTTTTTTTCTTTTAGCACTTTGAATATATGACCTCACTGACTTCTGGCCTCCATACTTTCTGATGAAAAATCTGCTGATCATTTTATTGAACATCCCTTGTATGTGACCAGTCTCTTTTCTCTTGCTGCTTTCAAGATATTCTCTCTTTGTCTTTGTCTTTTGACAGCTTGATTATAATGTTTCTCTATGTGGATCTCTTAGTTCATCTTGGAGTTCTTTGAGTCTCTTGGATGTTTTATATTCATATCTTTCATCAAATTTGGGATGTTTTAACACTTTATTCTGTCTGCTTCTTCCTCTCTTTTTTTTTTTTTCTGAGACTCCTACAGTGCAGAAGTTGGTAGTTTGTTCTCTTGACATGTCCCCATGTCCCACAGTTTCCTTACATTCTTTTTTTTTCTTTTTAATGGAGTTTCCCTCTGTCACCCAGGCTAGAGTACAGTGGCGCAATCTCAGCTCACTGCAACCTCCACCTCATAGGTTCAAGCAATTCTCCTGCCTCAGCCTCCCGAGTAGCTGGGATTACAGGTGCCTGCTGCCACATTCAGCTAATTTTTTGTATTTTTAGTAGAGATGGGGTTTCACCATGTTGGTGTGGCTGGTCTTGAACTCCTGACCTCAAGTGATCCACCCACCTTGGCCTCCCAAAGTGCTAGGATTACAGGCATGAGCCACCACGCTCAGCTAGTTTCCTTACATTCTGTTCACTTTTCCTCATTCTTTTTTCTTTTTATTTCTCAGACTTGACAATTTCTATTGTCCTATCTCCAGGTTTGGTGATTTTTCTTTCTGCCTACTCAAATCTGCCTTTGAATTCCTGTAGTGAATTTTTCATTTTAATTATTGTACTTTTCACTTCCAGAATTTCTTTTGGTTTTCTTTTAGGTTTCTTTCTTTGTATTGATATTTCTATTGTGTTCCTGTATCATTTTCTTAACTTTCTCCAGATCTTTCTTTAGCATTTTTAAGATGGTGGTTGTAAAGTCTGTATGGTAGATCTACCATCAGATTTTTTTTCAGGGATGCTGTCTATTCATTTATTTTTTTTCATTTCACGAGGCCATTCTTTTGTATCTCTTTTTTTTTCTTTCTTTCTTTTTTTTTTTTTTGAGATGGAGTTTCGCTCTTGTTGCCCAGGCTGGAGTGTAATGGCATGATCTGGGTGCACTGCAACCTCTGCCTCCCAGGTTCAAGCGATTCTCCTGCCTCAGCCTCCCAAGTAGCTAGGATTAAAGGCATGTGCCACCACACCCAGCTAATTTTGTATTTTTAGTAGAGAGGGGGTTTTGCCATGTTGGTCAGGCTGGTCTTGAACTCCCGGCCTCAGGTGATCCGCCTGCCTTGGCCTTTCAAAGTGTTGGGATTACAGGCATGAGCCACCGTGCCCAGCCTTCTTTTATATTTCTTTGTATCCCTTGTGTTTTGTTGTTATTGTTGTTGAAAAGGGCTCATTTGAACCTAATAATGTGGTAACCCCCAAAGTCAGATTCTCCCTCTTCCCCAGGGTTTACAGGCTTGTTATTGTTATTATTTATTTTATTTATTTATTTATTCATATTTTTGTAGGCCATCTCTGTGCCAGGGATTAACCTGAGGTATAAACTTAAGGTCTTCTCAGTTTGTTTCTGGGCTTGAAGCTTTCCATGGGTATGTGCAATCTCTTACAGAATCTCCCCTTATATGCAGTTATTTGTCAATGTCCTAGTCTTGATTGTTCGGCTCTTAGAAAGGGGAAATGAAGAAAATGAAGGTGGGAAAAAAGGAGCTCTGGCCTTTTAAGTCCCCTGGAAATCACTTCAACTGGAGGAAGCAGGGTTTTCAAAAGTGTGGGGATGTGTAACTACAATGGCTGCCTGACTCTTTGTCTACACTTCTGTGATAAGAAGCCGCAGTGAACAAAACACAGATCCTTTATGGCTGGAGGACAGGGTCCTTTTTTTTTTTTTGCTTGCTCTGGCTTCTATAAGCTGTGTGTAAGCTGCTCTGGTTATACTCACATGACTGCCTGCCAGGGGGGTGGGGGTGAAGAAATGGGTAGCTGCTGCTATACTAAGAGCTGAAATTTGCTAAAATTAATCACAATTTACCATCCAAGCCCTTCTCCAAGCCTTTGCCTGGATGTTGCCAGCCTTCATTAGACTCAGAGTTTCCAAATGGTTATATCAAACAGATTCTGCCAGTGAAATTGTTATATAAGTGGAGAGATGGAATTCTGGTACTTCCTATTCTGTCATCTTCTCAAAACCCTCTCCTTTAAATATATTTTAATATTCTCTTTTAATTTATTTCATTCACGTTTTGGCTATATTTGTATTATTTTTTATTGGCTGCTGTGGGGATTATAACATACGTAACCTAACTTTTAACAGTCTATTTAGATTTGATACTTTACCACTGCAGTTATAGTCTTGTGGTCCTATAACCACATGGATCACTTCCCCTTCCTGCTTCATGTGGTAGTTTTCATGTGAATTATATTCACATGTATGTGCTGAAAAACTCCATTAGTCCAGTCTGAGCAACAAAGGAAGACCCTATCTCTACAAAAACAACAACAAAATTAGCTTATTGTAGTGGGGTGCACTCGTAGTCCCAGCTACTTGGTAGGCTGAGGTAGGAGAATTACTTGAGCCCAGGAGTTCGACAGTGCAGTGAGCTGTGATTATGCTATTGCACTTTAGCCTGGGAGACTGAGACCCTGTCTCAAAATATAATAATGATAATAATAAAACTCCATTAGATAACATTATAATGTTTTACTTCAACTGTCATACATACTTTAAATAACTTAAGAAAAGGCTAATAGTTTGTCATATTTCTCCAGATTTTTATTTTTTATTTTTATTTATTTATTATTATTATTTTTTGAGATGGAGTCTTGCTGTCGCCCAGGCTGGAGTGCAATGGCGTAATCTCAGCTCACTGCAAGCTCTGCCTCCTGGGTTCACACCATTCTTCTGCCTCAGCCTCCCGAGTAGCTGGGACTACAGGCGCCCACCACCACACCCGGCTAATTATTTTTGTATTTTTTAGTAGAGACAGGGTTTCACTGTGTTAGCCAGGATAGTCTCGATCTCCTGACCTCGTGATCCGCCCGCCTCGGCCTCCCAAAGTGCTGGGATTACAGGCGTGAGCCCCCGCCCCCGGCCATATTTATCTAGATTTTTAATGTTTCTGCTGCTGTTCTTGATATGGAGCCTTTTTAGGACATGTTGCATGTATCATGGCTCATTTCCCATAAATACTTAAGTGTGTATTTTTATTATTTTACTTTATTTATTTATTTATTTATTTATTTATTGAGATGGAGTCACACTCTGTTGCCCAGGCTGGAGTGCAGTGGCAAGATCTTGGTTCACTGCAACCTCTGCCTCCCAGGCTCAAGTGATTCTCCAGCCTCAGCCTCCCTAGTAGCTGGGACTACAGGCACATGCCACCACATCTGGCTAATTTTTGTATTGTTAGCAGAGACGGGGTTTCGCCGTATTGGCCAGGCTGGTCTCGAACCCCTGACCTCAAGTGATCCATGCACCTCAGCCTCCCAAAGTGTTGGGATTACAGGCATGAGCCACCGTACCTGGCCTTATTTTATTTTATTTTATTTTATTTTATTTTATTTTATTTTATTTTATTTTATTTTGAGATGGAGTCTTGCTCTGTCACCCAGGCTGGAGTGCAGTGGCACAATCTTGGCTCACTGCAACCTCCGCTCCCCAGGTTCAAGTGATTCTCCTGCCTCAGCCTCCTGAGTAGCTAGGATTGCAGGCATGCACCACCACGCACAGCTAATTTTTTTGTATTTTTAGTAGAGATGGGGTTTCACCATGCTGGCCAGGCTGGTCTCGAACTCCTGACCTCAAGTGATCCGCCCACCTTGGTCTCCCAAAGTGCTGGGATTACAGGCATGAGCCACTGCACCCGGCTCAAATGTGCAGTTTTAAGTTTAGAGATATTCCCTTATATAATTACAGTGCAGTGATCAACTTCATAAATTGACATTGATATGATACTTTTATCTAATATGCTTTCCATATGCCAGTTTTCTTAGTTGATCTCATAATATCTTACATTGCATTTTCTTTCTCCTTGAACCTGGGGAGTGGAGGTTGCAGTGAGCTGACATTGTGCCACTGCACTCCAGCCTGGGTGACAGAGCAAGACTCCATCATAAAATAAAATAAGATAAGATAAGATAAAATAAATTCAAGTATTGCATTTAGTTGTCATGTCTCTTTAGTTTCCTTTAATCTGGAGTTATTCCCTAGCCTTTCTTTGCCATGTTTCACTTTGTCATCTTTTTAAAAAGCTCTTCCTGCAACCATCCTGAGCAACAGAGCAAGGCTCTATCTCTTCAAAAAGTTAAAAAAAAAAAATTAGCCTGGCATAGTGGTGCATGCCTATAGTTCTAGCTACCTGAGGGGCTGAGGCAAGAGTATCATTTGAGACTGCAGTGAGCTATGATCAAGCTACTGCATTCCAGCCTGGGCCACAGGGCAAGATTTGTCTCTAAAAAAAAAGTTCTTTCCACTTTTTTGTTTGTTTCTTTTTCTTTCTACTTTTTTCCCCCAATAGAATGTTTCTTATTTTGTCTTTGATCATCTATTGTGATCAGTTGATGCTATGCCTTCTTAGGCAAATTCTGCATAGATGATATTTTGTCCTTCTCAGCATAGCTGTCCCTCATAGGTGATATTAAGTTTTTCACTCAATGAAACTGTTGTATTTCTCCACTATATGATAACTAATTTTTTCTCCTTTGGCTCCAATATGCAATCTGTGGGGACAGACTTGATGACCACACAATTACTACTCTTTATTAATATTTCTTCCTCAATTTAGCATCTATGATTATTCCTACCTTATCTACTCTCTACTATGATGTTTGCAAAATGATGATTTTTCAACTCTAGCACTTCCTCCACATTTCTCAGTAGGCATTTGGCATTATGCTTAAGAAATAGATCACCATTCTCTATGTATGTATATGTATCCATATTTATAATATGTATGGATTCATTCATTTCTTTTTTTTCCAACGATTTATAATTTCTTAATCTTATTTTGGTGCTCAAAGTGTCCCGGATTTGATCAGAGGGAATCTCTTTAAGCCGGCTCCTGAATCCATGTGTTAATTCCTTATTATATTTTTGAGCACTTCCTCATATTCTGTCATTAAAAGATTTTCCAGGCTCACAATATACCTGTCCTGCCCTAGGTGTAGATTCAGCAATTTATCTGAGGAACCAGAGTTTCTTTTTGTGGGAAATGGCATTAGAGACTGAGATCTGACACTAGGTCTGTTCATTGCTATTGGAGTGTCTTTGCTTCTTGGTTCTTTCAACAAACAGTACTAGGAAATATGTATTTATACATATATACACACACACACACACACACAAACCTGTATGTAAGAAATCATGATTCATATAATATTCATGTGCACAAATAGTCATGTGCCGCATAACTACTTTTTGATCAGTGACAGACTGCATATACAAAGGTAGTCTCATGATTACATTACTGTATTTTACTGTACCTTTCCTATGTTTAGATATGTTAAATGCACAAATACTTAACATTGTTTTACAATTGCCTACAGTATTTAGTATAGTAATGCTGTATAGGTTTATAGCCTAGGAGCAATAGGCCATACCATATAGCCTCGGTTTGCAGTAGGCTGTACCATTTAGGTTTAAGTACACTGTATGATGTTCCTATAGTGAATAAATCATCTGACAATGCATTTATCAGAATGTATCCCTGTTGTTAAGCTACACATGACTATAAATATTTACAAAATTATGAGTGTACACCAAGGCCTCCAGTTCTACTCTAGCTTATCCCCAGTTTATAGTATGTATGTGTTTATGTGTCTATATACATACTATCATTTCACATTTCTATGTCCTTTCTTCCATATTGAGAAACTTGGCTCCTAGAAATATCAACAAAGTTATTCATTTGCTCAATCCTATTGGGTTTTTTTTTTGTTTTGTTTTTGTTTTTTTTGAGATGAGGTGTCACTCTGTTGCCCAGGCTGGAGTGCAGTGGTGCAAACCCGGCTCACTGCAACCTCCACCTCTCAGGCTCAAGTGGTCCTCCCACCTCAGCCTCCTGAATAGCTGGAACCACAGGCATGCACCACCATGCCCAGCTAATTTTTTGTATTTTTGGTAGAGATGGGTTTTTGCCATGTTGCCCAGGCTGGTCTTGAACTCCTGGGTTCAGGTGATCCATCCACTTTGGCATCCCAAAGTGCTGGGATTATAGGCATGAGCCACTGTACTCAGCCAATCCTGTTGTTTCTTGTAGTGAAGGCCTGCTTTTTTTTTTTCAATTAGAAAAAAAAATTTTTTTAGAAATGGGGGTCTCACTATGTGACCCAGGCTGGTCTCACACTCCTGGGCTCAAGCAGTCATCCTGCCTTGGCCTCCCAAAGTGCTGGGATTACAGATGTGAGCCACTGTGCCTGGCCTAATATTCTGCTTTTAATGGAATTTTTAGCTTTTTCTATGATTTTGGTCTTAAAAGTCTTTATTTCATTTTTGGTTTTGAAAGATATCATTCTGGGTATAGAATCCTTGGTTGACTGTTTTGGTTCTTTGGGTTTTTTCTCCTGAGTACTTTGGAGGCATTTGTCTGTTGTCTTATGGCTTAACAGTAAATTTGCTGTGATTCTTCTTTATGTTCCCCTGTGTGTATGGAACTGGTTGTTGTGTTGGATACACAACTCTATTCATTTGGCCAAAATCATAAAATTAAGAAAAAGAGTGAATTTTACTGTATGTAAATTCTTAAATAAATAAATACATATATGTTAAAAGCATATTATGTACTTTGCATTGTATTAGTCTCTAAGAATACAATGATGAACAAGATAATTTTCAGTTTTATGAAGCTTACAACCTAGTGTATGCACAAAACCAATGATACATGGTAATTGATGGTAGAGTACATGCTATAGGAATATAAATGCATACAATGTCTACTCTAGGGGAGAGGGAGGGATAGTATTAGCCCCAGGTAACCTAGGAGAGTGCCTTGTACATGGTTGGTGTTCAAACAGTTCTTGAGTGAATTGTCTAACAAACCACTTGAAAATATAAGACCTGAAGTTAAGCAGAGATTAGACAGACAAGTCGCTAGTGTTCCTTCATTTATCCAGCAGTTACGTGTTGCCTGTTCTGCAGCCAAGCATTGTCGTTGTGCTTAATATGTAGCAGTGAACAAAAGAAAAGCCCGTCTTCATAAACTCAAGAGATTTATTTTCTAGTAGGGGAAACAGGCAATAAACAAAACAGATATGTAAAATAAATAATATATTAGATATCGATAAGTGGTGGGGAGAAAATAAACAAGGATGGGCTGCACAGGAGGAGGGAAGGTATGCATTTTTAAATAGCTTGACTGGGGAAGGCCTCATTGAGAATGTGACCTAGGAGTACATGGAGGAGGTTGCCTGGCCTAATCATATCAGTTTGTTATCAACCCTAGGTACTCTCTAAAAATGTATCAATGTATCAAATTATGCCTTGTATTATAACTACTCTTTTTTTTTTTTTTTTTTTTTTGAGACAGAGTCTCGTGCTCTCACTCACGCTGGAGTTCAGGGGCATGATCTTGGCTCACTACAACCTCCACCTCCTGGGTTCAAGCGATTCTCCTGCCTCAGCCTCCTGAGCAGCTGGGATTACAGGCATCCACCACCACGCCCTGCTAATTTTTGTATTCTTAGTAGAGATGGGGTTTCACCACGTTGGCCAGGTTGGTCTCGAATTCATGACCTTAGGTGATCCACCCGTCTGGGCCTCACAAAGTGCTGGGATTATAGGCGTGAGCCACTGTGCCCAGCCTATAACTATTCTTATCCTCATGTAAATTATAAATTTGTGATAATAAGGACAATGTACCTTTATGTATTTCATTTCTTTCTTTTTTTTTTCTTAAACTAATGACTAACAGCATTGAATTAGAAAAGGTGTTTAATCTCTGTGGAGTTATCTGCAAAATGAAAGAACTGGAAATAATTATTTCCAGGGTTCGCTGGGCATGGTGGCTCACGCCTGTAATCCCAGCACTTTGGGAGGCCAAGGCGGGCGGATCACGAGGTCAGGAGATCGAGACCATCCTGGCTAACATGGTGAAACCCCGTCTCTACTAAAAATTCAAAAAATTAGCCAGGCGCGGTGGCGGGCACCTGTAGTCCCAGCTACTCAGTAGGCTGAGGCAGGAGAATGGTGTGAACCTGGGAGGCGGAGCTGGCAGTGAGCCAAGACGGCGCCACTGCACTCCAGCCTGGGTGACAGTAAGACTCCGTCTCAAAAAAAAAAAAAAAAAAAAAGAATTATTTCCAGGGTTCTGTCCCATTCTAAAAACTTATATATTTATGAATTGAAGAATAAAATATATCTGAGAAATGATGGAATTTACTGGAATTGGAATGATAGAGCTGTAGAAGAACATCCACAACTTAGATCTCTTCTTTATAACATGAGATGATTACCAATACTTGGGGAATCCTTCTCAGTGAAACCAGATATACAAAACACTGTTTCTTTGGGCCACCCTCTAGACATAAAATTACTTCATTTTACAGATTGTTTATTGTTTGGTATTACTTGTGGCACAGATTCCTAAACTCCTTTAGTAAGTATATGTGCCCACCACTATTTACAGATCACTCAACTGATCTAGTTAAAGTCCTCAGTAATGAATTTTATGTGCCAGATGCTTTCTTCAGTATTTGTGGTCTTTTTCTTTTTAAAAAGGCATTATTTTTAAAATAAAACACAGAAAAGTATAAAAAGTTATACCTGGAAGGGATTTGGGAAGAAATTATTCCTCTGATTAATCATTGTACAGGTAAGCTGAATGATTATTACACACACATGCTCATTTTTTCAAACATCTGAGGCTGTTTTGAGGATATTGTTTGAGAGGATCACGATTCAGTTAGTTCAGTACTGACTTCCCCAAGAGCTCTCATGGAGTTACTGCAGGTTGAACATCCATAATCTGAAATCCAAACTGCTCTAAAATCTGAAATTTTTTGATTGCCGACATGATTCCTTAAGTGGAAAATTCCACACCTGACTTGCGTTTGCAGTCAAAACGCAGGTGTACAACACAGTTCATTCAACATCCTCAAGGGAAAAAGACCCTCCCTGCTCCCTTCAGCTGCGGTAGCAGCACACATTCATAACAGAACAAGAAATCATATCAGATTCTAAAATCAAAGCTAGATTAATAAGACAAAAGTTGTTGTTAATGAGGCAGATAACTGTGGAGGAAACGTTTATTTTATTTTTATGTATTCATTTATTTTTTGAGACAGAGTCTCACTCTGTCTCCCAGGCTGGAGTGCAGTGGCACAATCTCGGCTCACTACAACCTCCACCTCTCGGGTTCAAGCAATTCTCCTGCCTCAGCCTCCCGAGTAGCTGGAATTACAGGGGCACGCCACCACACCCAGCTAATTTTTGTATTTTTAGTAGAGACAGGGTTTTGCCATGTTGGGCAGGCTGGTCTCGAACTCTTGGTCTTAGGTGATCTGTCCACCTCAGCCTCGCAGAGTTCTGGGATTACAGGCGTGAGCCACCATGCCTGGCCTTTGGAGGAAACATTTAAAAATGGTTCTACAGGAGCCATCCAGCAGAATGCCTCCTTATCCCTAGAGAACCCATTTCTTGGTCCCACAACTGTTTCTTATGTTTCTTCTCACCTAAAAAAATAAAATACAGTATACAGTAACATTTTATTTTATTTTATTTATTTTTTGAGATGGAGTTTCACTCTTGTTGCTCAGGCTGTAGTGCAATGGTGCGATCTCGGCTCACTGCAACCTCCGCCTCCTGGGTTCAAGCGATTCTTCTGCCTCAGCCTCCAGAGTAGCTGGGATTACAGGTGCCCGCCATCACGCCCAGCTAGTTTTTGTATTTTTAGTAGAGATGGGGTTTCACCACATTGGACAGTCTGTTCAAACTCCTGACCTCAGGCGATTCACCCGCCTTAGCCGCCCAAAGCACTGGGATTGCAGGCGTGAGACAGCGCACCTGGCCTATAGTAACATTTTAATCAAAACACAGCATCATAGGTGGAGACTGAAAGCCTACCATTGTTAGTTGTTGCTTTTTTTAAAAAGCTGGTAACTGGTATTTTGGTGATACTACACTGCATACATTATTTTTTCACTATTTAATGGCATGTCATGTTTTTTACTGTTAAGTTCTTATGTGTGAATAAGTTAAGAAAATTATTGCTTATTGGTATCATAAATTCAGAATCAGGAATGATGATGATGCTATATAGCCATAGATCATCTACATGGGTGGCTGAGATAGTGACATCTTTGTTTTCTCATGGATCATTGTGCACAAACTTTGTTTCACACACAAAATTATTTAAAATATTGTATAAAATTACCTTCAAGACCTGGACACTGTCCCCAAGATATCTCATTATATACATGCAAATATTCCAAAATCTGAAAAAAATTCAAAATCTGAAACGCTTCTGGTACCAATCATTTTTGGATAAGGGATACTCAGCCTGTATTCTAGCTTCCAATAATTTTATCAAAGTTAGCTTCAAAGCAGCTTCATGGGGCCGTTTATTCAATGATCAAGAGCTACACCAAATTAATCACCTTCATAAAAATATAACTATAGCTGCTGTGAAGAACAATTTCATGAGGTCTCTCTGGGAAGCAGTCCCAATGAGTTCATCGTCTGTTACAGAACCTTTTGAGTGACCAAATATGGAGAAACTAAATCTCACCTCTGGTATTTATATATTGTGGATAGTTTTTTTGGCTACTGACGGGAATCAGCAGCTTATATTTGACATATATCTGTGTTCATATGCACTGCATGATTAATATTTAAAAGTTAAGAATAAATGGCTCAGATGCAGTGGTTCATGCCTGTAATCCTAATGGTTTGGGAGACTGAGATGGGAGGATCGCTTGAGCCCAGGAGTTCATGACCAGTGTTGGCAACATAGTGAGACCCTGTCTCTACAAAAAAAGAAATTGAAAAACATTTTCCAGGTCTGCCTGCCTGCCTGTAGTTATAGCTGCTCAGGAGACTGACATGGGAGGGTCTCTTGAGCTCAGGAGCTCCAGGTTACAGTGAGTTACGATCATGCCACTGCACTCCAGGCTAGGTGACAGAGCAACACACTATCTCTAAAAATAAATAAATGGGAGCCTATTGTAATAGCTTTTATTATTACTAACAACTAATAATATAGTGAGGCTAACAGATGAAGAGACAATTGCCATTAAAAATGTAGTTACAGTTCACAAGAGGGAGAGGCACACCACACCATAGGGGCCACATGAGGAGCACTGGGGTCAGTCAAGAGACAAATAGGAGAGGGGAAATCTATGGGCAAGAGCTTTTATTGTGGTCTCCGTGGGAAGGAATGGTTGAGGCAGTGTAAGCCGGCTTAAGCTTGGCTTGTTTGAATAATTTCAGTGAGCTCTGGGTCAGAGGACCTGTCCCTAGTTAACTCTCTTGTATCTGGCCCTGGGGTGATTACAGCAGGTGGATAGTGGAGAGAACTGGTAAAGAGAGAACCTGGTAAAGGAGGTGGTTGGAGGTGTGGATTCTGGGTTGGTTGTTTTGCATTTGAAAAACTCACTCAAGGGCAAATTGTTGATTATCTCTAGAGATTGGCTAGGATTGCACTGAATTGGTAGATTGCTTTAGACAATATGGTCATTTTAACAGTATTAATTCTTCAAAGCAATGAGCATGGGATGTGCATGAGATGGCACATTTGTTATTGGTGTATAAAAACACTACTGATTTTTGTACATTGATTTTGTCCCGCAACTTAACTAAATTCATTTATCAAATCTAAGAGTTTCTTGGTAGAGTCTGGGTTTTTCTAGATATAAGATCATTTAAGCAAAAAGATACAATTTCACCTTGCTCTTTTCCAATTGGGATGCCTTTTATTTCTTTCCTTTGCCTGATTGCTCTGGCTAGGACTTCTGGTCATATGTTGAATAGGAGTGATAGAAGTCTTATTCTAGTTTCTAGAGGAAAGGCTTTCAACTTTCCCCTGTTCAGTATGATGTTACCTTGGGTTTTTTATATGTAGCCTGTATTATTTTGAGGTATGTGCCCTCCATGCTTAGTTTGTTGAGTGTTTGAATCCTGGGAGGATGTTGAATTTTATCAAATGCTTTTTCTGCATCAATTGAGATTATATGTTTTTTTCCCTATATCTTGTAGATATGATATATTACATTTATTGATTTGTATATGTTGAATCATCCTTGCATCCTTGGTATAAATTACATCTGATCATGGTATATTATCTTTCTCATGTGCTTAAAAGGGTTTGGTTTGCTAGTTACTTTGTTGAAGATTTTGCATCTGTGTTCATCAGGAATATGGGCCTCTAGTTTTCTTATGTATGTGTGTGTCCTTAACTTGTTTTAGTATCAGGGTAATGCTGGCCTCTTGTAGTGAGTTAGGGAGAATTCCCTCCTCTTTGATGATTTAGGAATAGTTTCAGGAGGATAAATATTAGTTCTTCTATGTATGTTTGATAGAATACGGCTGTTACTCCTTCTGGTCCTGGTCTTTTCTATGTTAGACTTTTTATTGTTTTTTTGTTGTTTTTTTGAGATGGAGTCTCAGTCTGTCTCCCAGGCTGGAGTGCAGTAGTGGCATGATCTTGGCTCACTGCAACCTCCGCTTTCCGGGTTCAAGCGATTCTCCTGCCTCAGCCTCCCAAGTAGCTGGGAACACAGTGGCGCATCACCATTCCCGGCTAATTTTTGTATTTTTTTGTAGAGATGTGCTTTCACCATGTTGGCCAAGCTGGTCTTGAACTCCTGTCCTCAGGTGATCCACCTGCCTCAGCCTGCCAAAGTGCTGGGATCACAGGCGTGAGCCACCACACCCAACCTAGACTTCTTGTTGATTCAATCTCACTACTCATTATGTTCAAGTTTTCTATTTATTTCTGATTCAATCTTGGTATGTTGTATGTTTCCATTTCCTCTAGGTTTTACAGCTTGTCCTTATAAGTTGTTGATAATAGTCTCTCATCTTTTTTATTTCTGTGGTCTCATTTGTATTGTCTCCATTTTCATTTAAATTGTTTGGGTCTTCTCTTTTCTTGGTTAGTCTAGCTAGTGGTTTGTCAA
This sequence comes from Homo sapiens, assembly GCF_000001405.40. Classification (NCBI taxonomy): domain Eukaryota; kingdom Metazoa; phylum Chordata; class Mammalia; order Primates; family Hominidae; genus Homo; species Homo sapiens. The sequence goes on from NW_025791788.1 coordinate 205,752, forward strand.
TTTTGTTTATCTTTTCAAATAACCAACGTTTTGTTTTGTTGGTCCTTTGCATTATTTATTTGCTTATTTATTTTTTGACTATCTATTTCATTTAGTTCTGCTTTGATCTTTTGAAATTCTTTTCTTCTGCTAATTTTCTGTTTGGTTTGTTGTTGCTTTGTTCCTTGAGGTACATTGTTAGATTTATAGTTTATAACTTTTTACCTTCTGGATGTCAGCATTTATTGCTATAAATTTCCCTCCTAGCACCATTTTTGCTGTATCTCACTGATTTTGCTATGGTGTGTTTCCATTTTTACTTATTTCAAGGAATTTTTTTATTTCTATCTTAATTGTTTTGTTGACCCAGTGATCATTCAGGAACATGTTGTTTAATTTCCATGTATGTGTATAGCTTCCAGGGTTCCTTTTGGTGTTGATTTCTAGTTGTATTCCAGTGTGTTCTGAGAAGACACATGCTATGATTTTGATTTTTAAAAATGTTGAGACTTGTTTTGTGTCCTAACATGTGGTCTGTCCTGTAGAACGTTCTACGTTCTGATGAAAAGAATGTACATTCTGCAGTTGTTGGATAGCATGTTCTGTAAATGTCTGTTAGGTCCATTTGGTCTAAAGTCCAATTTAAATCCAATGTTTTTTGTTTGTTTATTATCTGTCTAATGCTGTGAACGGAGTGTTGATGTCCCCCATTATTATTGTATTGCAATCTAGTTCTCTCTTTATATTTGGTAATATTTGCTTTATGAATCTGGATGCTTCTATATTGGGTGTATATATATATTTAGAATTGTTACATGTTTTTTCTGAAATGACTCCTTTATCATTATATAATGACCTATTTGTTGTTGTTTTTTTTTTTTTGAGACGGAGTCTCTCTCTGTTGCCCAGGCTGGAGTGCAGTAGCTCAATCCTGGCTCACTGCAAGCTTCACCTCCCGGGGTCAAGTGATTCTCCTGCCTCAGCTTCCCGAGACTCGTGCCACTGTACTCCAGCCTGGGCAACAGAGTGAGACTCCATCTAAAAAAAAAAAAAAAAAAAGTGCTGGGATTACAGGTGTAAGCCACCATGCCAGCCATCTTTTTTTTTTTTTTTTTTTTTTTTTTTTTTTTAACTGTTCTTGACTTAAAGTTCATTTTAGCTGATATAAGTATAGCCACCACTTGCTTTTGGATTTTGTTTGCATGGGATATCTTTTTCCATCCCTTTAATTGCAGTCTATATTTGTCTTTAGTGTTAAAGTGAGTTTCTTGTAAGCAGTGTCTAGGTGGATAATATGTTTGAATCCATTCAACCTTTCTATATCTTTTAAGAAGAGAATTTAATCTGTTTATGTTCCAGTTTATTATTGATATATGAGGCTTTGTTCCTGTCATACTGTTGTTTTCTGTTGTTTTATATATTCTTTGTTCCTGTCTTTTTCTCTTACAGTTTGTCATTGTGATTTGGTAGATTTTTGTAGTGGTACTGTTTGAATTATTTTCTTGCTTTGTATGTTTTCTTTACCAGTGAGTTTTACACTTTCATGTGATTTCATGATGGTAAATGTCATCCTTTCGCCTCCAAGTTTAGGACTTCCTTGAGCATTTCTTCTAGGGATGGTCTTGTGGTAATGAATTCTTTTAGCATTTGTGTTGGGATGACTTTATTTCTCTTTCATTTATGAATGAGAATTTAGTTGACTACATTTGGTTGCCAGTTATTTTCTTCACACACTGAATATATCATTCCATTCTCTTCTGGCCTGTGAGTTTTCTCCTGAGAAATCCACTGTTAGTCTGATTGAGGTTTTTTCTTTTTCTTTTTTTTTTTGATAGGTGACTAGACTCCTTTCTCTTGCTGTTTATAGGATTTGCTCTTTAAATATGACTTTAGACAGTCTGATTGTAATGTGCTGTGAGGAAGATCTTTTTGCATTGCATTTGCTTTGAGGTCGTTGAACATTTTGTTTCTGAATGTCTAAATCTCTTGATAGACTTGGGAAGTTTTCATCTGTTATTTTATTAAATAAGTTTCCTAATCCTTTCTTTGTTTATTTGCCCTTGAGTATACTGCTAATTTGTAAATTTGGTCACTTCATGTTGTCCCAAATGTCACAAAGCCTTTTTTGTTTTTTAATTTGGCCATGCACAGTAGCTCATGCCTGTAATCCTAACACTTTGGGAGGCTGAGATGGGAGGATGGCTTGAGGCTAGGAGTTTGAAACCAGCCTCTTTAACATAGTGAGACCCCATGTCTTTTTATTTAAAAATATATATATATATTAACGACTGGGCTATACCAACATACCTGTTTTCAGGTTTTGAGATTCTTTCTTCTGCCTGATCTGGTTTATTGTTGAAGCTTTCAAATGTATTTTATATTTCCTTCAGTGATTTCTTCAGTTCCAGAATTTGTTTTGTTCTTTTAAAAATACCAATCTCTTTGATAAATTTATCATTCATATCCTGAATTATTTTCCTGATTGTATTGTTTTTCTGAATTCTCTTGTATCTCACTGAGCTTCTTTAAAAATTAATGTTTTGAGGCCAGGCATGGTGGCTCACGCCTGTAACCCCAGCACTTTGGGAGCCCGAGGTGGGCGGATCATGAGGTCAAGAGATCAAGACCATCCTGGCCAACATGATGAAACACCGTCTCTACTAAAAATACAAAATTTAGCTGGGCGTGGTGGTGCGTGCCTGTACTCCCAGCTACTCGGGAGGCTGAGGCAAGAGAATCACTTGAACCCAGGAGGCGGAGGTTGCAGTGAGCCGAGATCATTCCACTGCACTCCAGCCTGGTGACAGAGTAAGACTCCATCTCAAAAAAGAAAAAAATCAATGTTTTGAATTCTTTATCTGAGATTTCTGAAATTTCTTTTTGACTGTCTATTGCTAAATAATTATTGGGTTTCTTTGTAGGTGTCCTGTTTTCTTGCTTTTCATGTACCTGTTCCCTTATGTTGATATCTGCACATACACTGTAGCAGGCACTTCTTTTTTGGCATTTGCTTTTGTAAGGGAGGACTTTTTTCCTGAAAATGTATCTATGGTGCTGGCTTGGTCTACCCCCAGTTGCTGGATTGCTACTGGCTTGCTTTCCTGTTCCAGCAGTGACCAAAAAAAAAAAAAAAAAAAAATTATTCTGCCAATCTCTGCCATTTGATGGTGAGTTTAATCCATTTACATTTAAACCAATTCCTGATAAGGAAATATTTACTTCTGCTGTTTTGCTGTTTGCTGTGTGTGTGTGTGTGTGTGTGTGTGTGTGTGTGTGTGTGTATGTGAACCCCTCCTGGGTTCAAGTGATTCTCCTGTCTCAGCCTCCCAAGCAGCTGGGATTACAGGCATGTGCCACCACACCCAGCTAATTTTTGTATTTCTAGTAGAGACGGAGGTTTCTCCATGTTGGTCAGGCTGGTCTCGAACTCCCAAACTCAGGTGATCCGCCCACCTCGGCCTCCCAATCTTTAGTTATTTTCTTACTGGTTACCTTGAGAATTACAGGTAATATCTTAAACTTATAACAACCTAGGTTAAATTAATACTAAACTAGATTGGCATTAATAATACCTTTAATAATTTGCAAAAACTCTGCTTCTTATATCTATGTTTCTCCCCCTTATATTGTGATTGTCACAGATTGCATCTTTCTACATTGTTTGGCCATTAACATAGATTAGTAATTTTTGTTTTATGCATTTGTCTTTAAATCATATGGGAAAAAGAGGGCTTATTAATAAAAATACAGTGATACTTTCTTCATTATTTACCTATGTAACCATTGTTCATTATTTCTATATATGGTTTTCAGTTACTGTCCAGTGTTTTTTCCTTTTAGCCTGAAGAATTCCCATGAGCATTTTTTTGTAGGTCAAGTCTACAAGTAACAGACCTCAGCTTTCTTGAATCAGGGAATGTCTTAATTTCTATTGCATTTGTGAGAGAGAGTTTTGCTGGATATCAGTCTCAGGATTCTCTCTCTTTGGAGCTCAACAGATTTACTATAATGTGTCTTGATGTGGATCTCTTTGAGTTTATCCTATTTGCAGTTTATGCACTTCTTGGATGTGTATATTAACTTTTTCATCCAGAGGGATTTGACTGTTATTTCTCAAGATATAATTTCAGCTCCCTTTTTTTTCAACTTTCCTTCTTTGACTTTCATTATGTATATGTTAGTACTTTTTTGGGTGTCCCACAAGTCTCTTAGGCTCCGTTTATTTTTCTTCATTCTTTTTTCTTTCTCTTTCTTAGACTGGATAATTTCACTTGACCTATATTCATTTTTACTGATTCTTTTTTTTTTGGAGAGGGAGACTCACTCTATTGCCCAGGCTGGAGCGCAGTGCCGCAATCTCAGTTCGCTGCAACCTCTGCCTCCTGGGTTCAAGGGATTCTCCTGCCTCAGCCTCCTGAGTAGCTGGGATTACAGGCACACACCACCACGCCCGGCTAATTTTTGTGGTTTTTTTTTAATAGAGATGGGGTTTCACCACATTAGCTAGGCTGGTCTCAAACTCCTGACCTTGAGATCCGCCCACCTCGGCCTCCCAAAGTGCTGGGATTACAGGCGTGAGCCACCGCGCCCGGCCATTTTTACTGATTCTTATGCCCACTCAAATCTGCTGTTGAGCCCCTTTAGTGAATTTTTAATTTCATTTGTTGTACTTTTCAGTTCTAAAATTTCTATTTCTTTTAAAAAAATTTCTCTCTTTATTGCCATTTCCTGTTTGTTGCATACTTTGTTCTCTTGATTTTCTTGAGTTCTCTAAACATATTTAAGACAGTTGATTTAAAATCATAGCCTAGTAATTCCCCTAGTCATTCAACAGGAGAAGTTTCTGTTAATTTCTTTTTTTTTTTTTCCTATGACTGGGCCATATTTTCTTGTTTCTTTGCATGCTTAGTTTTTTGTTATTGTCATTAAATACTGTACATTTTGAATATTATGATGGGCAAAAAGGAAAAAAATAAGAAAAAAAGATATCTTCTCCAGGTCTGTGCATTTTGGTTCTGTATGGGGACACTACTTCAGTGCTTAGCCAGGTCTTTCACAACCCTGCCTTAGTCCTGTCCTTAGCCTAGAGATTAGCCAGAGGTTGAAGTTATGCTCCCCTCAGATCTCTTCTAAGCATGCATTCTGCCCTGAGCATTCAAGTGGCTTTCTAGTTCCCTGGTATACTTGAGCACTTTTTCCAAGACTTTATTCCCCAAAGATTCTCATTCCCTACCTTTTCTTTCCTTGGCTTTCAGCATATCTGTTGTTTGTCTCAACTGTGCTTTTGCCCTACACAGCAGCAACTTGTTAATTTGCCTTTTAGTATTTTTGAAAAACATCCCCTGTGTAGCTATGTCTTCATGGTGAAGCAGCATTGTTGTCTGGGGTAATACCCAAGGTTCATTGTCCCACAGCCACGGAAAACCAGGACATGAACACACCACTGTGAGGTTAAGAGTGGATATTTAATAGGTGAAAGAAGGAGAGGAGCTGTCTGCACAGAGAGGGGTCCCAGAGAAAATGGGTTGCCGCTTCCACAGTCAAATGCAGGTTTTACAGATGAGCTTGAGGAGGCAGTGTCTGATTTACATAGGGCACAAAAAATTGGTCAGACCAGGTGTACCGCTTGCATAGGATGTGAAGAAGCTGGCCGCCCCACCCTAATCTTTTATTATGCAGATGGGTTCTCTACTGGGCCAGCGCCATGTTGCCTGCTTTTTTACTGTACACGTGGTGACAAAGAAAAGGGAAGATGGAGACCAGGTGCAGTGGCTCACGCCTGTAATCCCAGCACTTTGGGAGGCCAAGGTGGGCAGATCACCTGAGGTCAGGAGTTCGAGACCAGCCTGGCCAATATGGTGAAACCCTGTCTGTACTAAAAATACACAAAAAAATTAGCCAGGCATCATGGCGCACGCCTGTAATCCCAGCTGCTTGGGAGGCTGAGGCGGGAGAATCACTTGAACCCAGGAAGCGGAGGTTTTGGTGAGCCGAGATTGCACCACTGCACTCCAGAGTGAGACTTAGTCTCAAAAAAAAAAAAAGAAAGAAAAGGGAAGATGGAGCCTCCATGTTTAACATACTTGGCTTCCAGGTATCCCTTTTCTATTGCAGAGCATTTACCTGTGCAAACTTCTAGCTTGCTTATCTATGTTTGCAGCTCTATTTTTCAGGCTGCTCTTTGTTAGAAAAGAAATGATTTGGGGGCTGCTTTTTATTAAAAGGGAAGCCTTTCTGAGGGCTCCTTAACCCTCACTATCTACCTAAATAATTTCTTTCTAGCTCCTGTATCAATTGCAAGAAAGTTCTGACTTAGCTGAAATGCAGTCAGACCCCTTGAATCAAAACGATTCCTTGGGAATGAGGTCTCTTTTACTTGGGAACCAAGTCAAGACAAACAATTCCTTGAGAATAAGATCCCTTTGACTGTTGTCAGGATTAGGTTCTCAGGCTAGTAAAGTAGCATGCTATCTTTAAGACTGCTACTGTGGCCAGGTAGGGAGTGTGGCAAGGGTATCTTACAGTACTACAAAACGCTCTTAGCCTTTTTCAGTTGCCCTTTTTCTGATTAAGTGTTTTCTCAGTTGTAAGCTTTTTACTCTCTTCCCAAATTCCAGTAAAAGTGATTCTGACAGCTATGCAGTAGTTTTCAGTGTTTCTGAGACAGGATGACCCCAGCACTTCCTATTTTGCCAAAATTTTTTTGTTCTTATTGTTGAATTTCTAATTCAAAAGCACACCCTAGCCCACTTTAGTCTGTAGTTCAATATCCTATTGTGGTCTGCCCTACTTATGTACTATCCTGAGGCCAATGTGAATTCTGGAAATTATTCTATACTATAATTCAGTTCTCAGTATTTTTTTTCTGTGTAGATTCTGGTTCGTTTTATGTAGGGGTTATTTAGGATTTCATAAACAGATGTAAAAGATTCTTGTCTGAAGGCTCCTCTTCTCTGATTCTCCCTTATCTCTTCTTGGGATGACTTAAGTGCAGGGTGTGGAAAGTTAACAGAGCAACCCACTGTGTGTGCAGCTGCCATGCTGGTTGAGATCAGAAATGACATCCTTTCTTTGCTTATGTTTGCTTGGTGTCAGTTGGGGCTAGCTGACAAAGCTTCCTCTCTCAGTCTTTCCAATAGCAGTACCCGATTGGGAGGTGAGGACTCTGCTTTGCCTGCTTTTCTTATTGTTGGCAGTGATGGTTGACAGGCTTCACACCTCAGCCTCTGTGGCTAAAGTGCCTGATTAGGAGTGAAAGGGGCACAGCTCCTTTTTGGCATTGGGGTTCCCTTCTGCCAGGCCTGTTTCTTCTCATTTTGCATGATCTCCGTTGGTTAGAGGGAATGGTCTTTCCTGGGGCCTTTTGGGTTATTGTTGTTGTTAATGTACCCTTTGGTAATTCTGGGTTGCAGTTTGCTCCTGTGTACAGACTGGGATATACAGGAGGCAAAAATAAATCCTAAGGAATTCTTTTCCAGGTCCTCCCTTGATTCCTGAAGACTCTACCTGTCCTGCTTTCTTCATTCCACATTTCAGAGTTTCTGATGTTTGCTTTATGTGCTGTGTTCATGGTTTTAAATTATAGTTAACGGAAGCATTGGGGTGGAATATGCTTACTCTATCATTACTGGTACAGGAACTCAACTCCCGCAATCATTTATCAAATGAGTGATTAAATGATACATGGTTCTTGCCTTCAAGTTACTTGTGGTGTATGTGGCTTACATTATTAACATAGATGTACTATTAAGAGAATTAAGACTCATTCCTGTGAGAGTTCTCCTAGGCAAAGGAGTGAGATTATTTCTAGCTGTTAGGGAATAGGATACGTGGTGTGGTGGTGTGGTAATTGTTCTGACAATGGTTCTCTGTCACCAACTGGATGTCCTGCAGCTCAGTTCAGTTCTCACACTAACAGACCCCACAAGTTATAGGCAGAGGTCTCCACCAGGAGTGCCTCCACTTCACACTCCAGCTGCAAGTATCAAGGTCCACCTGCAGTTAGGACCAACTGGCCATAAATTCTGGAGTTCCCACATATCTCTCAGGTTTAATAATTTGCTAGAACCGCTCACAGAACGTACTGAAAACACTATACTTACAATTAGCATTTTATTATGAAGGATACAACCCAGACACAGCCAAATGGAAGTAATGCATAGACGAAGGTCTGGGGGTTGGGGAGACAGAGATTCCTTGTGGAATCCAGACACATTATCCTCCCAGTACATCAGTGTATTCATCAACCAGGAAGTTCTGCTGTGCTCCTGGTTAGCCCTCAAATGATGTGTTTGGTGATGTGTTTGATGTGTTTTCCTGGTGAACAGCCTCCAGTCTGCAATACGTAGAAGCCACTATGAGACAACTCATTAGCATAACAAAGACACATCTATCACTCAGGAAGTTCCAAGGGTTTTAAAGCGCTGTGCCAGAAACTGGCACTTACATACTGTCTGTTCTTCATTATTCTTTATTATACTACAGTCATCAAATAAAATTTCAGGGAATGTGGCATTTGAGTGATTTAAATAATACGTAGACTTAAACGTTTGAAAATGGGGAAAGGGGTATTCTAGGCTGAGAAAGTAGCATTAGCAGTCATACCAGAGGAACACACACACACAAGTGCAAGAATTGATATGTAGAACTACTTCAAGTTTTTGGTTTTAGTGTAGGATACATGAAAAGGAAAAGAAATAAAGCTAGATTGGGTCTATCATTTAATGATATTTATTAATCAGAGAATCATTTATTCCTACAGAGCAGAAGAGAGAAAAGATCTGTTCATGTTTTTCCGAAGCCTGCATTTTTTTGTGGAGTGGTTTGAATATCGTAAGCGCACGTTTAAACATCTCAAGGTAAAGTCTGAAGTCTTTGAATTTAAACATATATGGAAAACAAAGCTGATATTAATTGAGAATTCATCCCTAACATCCTTTTCTTAAAAGCTTTCAAACAGTAGAAAATATTCTCATTGACTTTTGGAATTTGCAATTATTTGGAATAACTGGAGGAGGATTACTTCTGTACAAATCAGTGAACAATTTATGTTGTGGAATGTCTTGAAAGAAGTGTGGTTATATTCAAATTTATTTAAAATCCGCATTTTGGAAAAACATTCTTTCAAGAGTATTTGAAGTAAAACAACAAATGTTAATAAAGAATATCATCACAGCAGGCTTATCATGTAGTGGTATACTGCTAACTTCCTGAGCCAGACTCTGTGTTTTCAGCTTCTCAATTGTGCATTTCGAGTTTAAATACCAAAGCCTGATTCTTGCGAAGTAATGCTTCCTAAAGCCTGATATGGGTACTTTAAAGTACTTCCTTTTATTCCCTTTCTTTGTTTTCGGGCATAACTGAAATTAAGTTTGGTTGCATCGTAATACCTCAGGTTCTACTCATTTGGATAGCATCAAATTATTGACAGCATTAATCCACACAGCAACCAGTTCTGAAAGTCAACTTAAATAATATTTCAGGGTTCAGATTCTCTCAAAAGCCTAACCAGATCATGAATATTGTTTTTAGGACTTGTACTAACTCTCCTTTATTTGGGGTTCTATTGTTTCTTATTATTATTTATTCTATTTGGTTGAGCTAATAAAATCTGTCAGGCCTAGGATTTTTTTCCACAAAGAAACATGGGCAGTTCTGTACTATAGTACCTTGAGGTGTTCTCATGATTTTGTTATATTCGATCATAGGTAGTCTTAAAATGCCAGAAAAATTAAATATTTCTGCTTCACAAGTGTTATAATACAGTAATGACCAGGGAGTGTGCTGGCAGTTATGGTAATAGATGAATCACCTAATGTTGCTGTTTCCTTATGCATTTGAATGGGTGATGGAAAATGGGAGCACTAGTCTCCATTTCCAAAGCTGATTTGACTCTACGTGCTTTCCAGTCAGGTATGAAGTATAATTGGTGTATTTTTCTTATGGAGGGTAAAGAGCTTCTAGGAGCTGGTCTTTGCTAGTTATAAAATTACTAGGGTGGAAAAAACCTATCACATTGTCCTGTAACCGTCACCAATATCCACATTGTTTTGTAACCATCACCACTGTCCTTCTCCAGAAGTTTTTCATCATCCCAAACTGAAACATACCCATTAAACATTAACTCCTCATTCCTGCCTTCTCTTAGCACTTGCTACCACTGTTGTGTTTTCTGTTTCTATGAATTTGACTATTCTAGGTACCTCATATATGTGGAGTGTCTTTTCACTTAGCATAATGTCCTCAAAGTTTCTCCATGTCATAGCATGTGTCAGATTTCTTTTCTTTTTTTTTTTTTTTTGAGACAGGGTCTCACTCTGTCACCCAGGCTGGAGTCCAGTGGTGCAGTCACGGCTCATGGCAGCTTTGACTGTCCCTGGCTCAGGTGATCCTCCCACCTCAGCCTCCCAAGTAGCTGGGACTACAGGCACACGCCACCATGTCAGCTAATTTATGTATTTTTCGTAGAGATGCAGTTTCGCCGTGTTGCCCATGCTGGTCTTGAACTACTGGGCTCAAGCAATTGACCTATCTTGGCCTCCCAAGCCCAGTGCCCTCCCCCTGCCTTTTTATTAAGGCTGGATCATATTCCATTAAATGTATGTACATTTTGCTTATCCATTCATTTGCTGATGGTCACTGGTTGTTTTTACTTTTGGGCTATTGTGAATAATCCTGCTGTGAACATTAGTGTACTGATATCTGTTTGCACCTCTTTCAATTCTTTTAAGTGTAATGATATACCTGGAAATATAATTGCTGGATCATATGGTAATTCTATGTTTAATTATTTGAAGAACCGCATACTCTTTTCCACAGTGCTTGTACCATTTTACACCAGCAAAGCACGAGTACTTCAATTTCTCTACAACTACTTTAATACTTGTTATTTTCTGCTTTTTTTTTTTTTTTTGGCTATAGCCAACCTAATGGGTAGGAAGTGATATCTCACTGTGGTTTTGATTTACATCCTCCTAATGGTTAGTGATGTTAAATGTATTTTTATATGCTGGTTGGCCATTTGTATATCTTTGAGGAAATGTCTGTGCAAGTCCTTAGCCCATTTTTGAATTGGGTTGTTTTTTGTTGTTGAATTGTAGAGTTCTTTATATATTCTAGATATTAATTTCCTCTTAAATATATGATTTCAAAATACTTTCTCTGGGTTGTCTTTTGACTCTTGATAGTGTCCTTTGATGAGCAGAAATTTTTAATTTTTAAAATTTATTTTTATTTAATTTTTAATCGACTAATAGTAATTTTACATATTCATGGGGTACATAGTGGTGTTTCAATACATATAATGTATAGTGATCAGATCAGGGTAATTAGCATTTCCATCAGCTTAAACATTTATCATTTCTTTGTGTTGGGAACCGTCAGTATCTTCTAGCTATTTGAAACTATATATTATCGTTAATTATAGTCATCTTACAATGGTATAGAACTTATTCCTCCTATCTAGCTGTAATTTTGTATCCTTTAACAAATCTCTCCCAAAAGTTTTAAATTTTGATGGAGACCAGTTTATCTATTTTTTCTTTTTTACCTGTGTTTTTGGTGACAAATCCAAGTAATTCCGTGCCAAATTCAATGTCATAAAGGTTTTCCTCTATATTTTCTCTAAGAATTTTATAATTTAACCCTTAAGTTTAGGTCTTTTAGTTTGTTTTTAAATATTACATAAGGTAGGTGTCCAACTTCATTCTTTTGTATATGGATATCCAGTTTTCCCAGCACCATTGTTGAAGAGACTGGCGTTCTCCACTGAATGGTCTTTGTACTTTTGTTGAAAAGTATCTGACCCTATTTGGAAGGGTTTATTTCTGGGCTGTTTAATTTATTCTGTTGGTCTATATGTCTGTACTTACGCTAGTACCACACTGTTTTCCTTTTTTTTTTTTTTTTTTTTTTTTTAGACAGAGTCTTGCTCTGTCGCCTAGGCTAGAGTGCAGTGATGCGATCTTGGCTCACTGCAACCTCCGCCTCCTGGTCAAGCGATTCTCCTGCCTCAGCCTCCCAGTAGCTGGGATTACAGGCACCCGCCACCACACCCGGCTAATTTTTTGGAATTTTTAATAGAGACAGAGTTTAACCATGTTGGCCAGGCTGGTCTCGAACTCCTGACCTCAAGTAATCCACCCGCCTCAGCCTCACAAAGTGCTGGGATTACAGGTGTGAGCCATTGCGCCCAGCCACACACTGTTTTCATTACTGTATCTTTGTTGTAAATGTTGAAGTTAGGAAATGTGAGTCTTCTATCTTTATTCTTATTTTCAAGATTCTTCTCTTTATTTGGGGGTCTCTTGAAGTTCCATTTTATTTGTGTGAAAGCATCATTGAGATTTTGATGGCAACTGTGTTCAGTCTGCATATCATATTGGATAGTATTGTTGTCTTAACAACATTAAATCTTACCATCCATAAACACAAGACATCTTTCCATTTATGTATGTCTTTAGTTTTTTTCAGCAATGTTAGTAAAAAGTAAATCATTTAAAAATTTAAAGCCTCTAATTATTAGTGTCAAGAATGAAACATTATGAATATAATGGAGACAGCATATTTTTACTTTCTCTAATTATTTCGTCTGATATCTTCTGAATCTTGGTGGTATAATTTGTATTGTTTATTTTGTTTTATTTGTGATTTAAGGTTGTGTATATGAAGGTGTAAGGTATGCATGTTCATATATATCCTCTTATCTAGAAATCCCCAAATTATTTCTTTAATTCTGGAATTCATACCTTTTACCAATGTTCTTTCTCCCTTATCATTATCTTATCTAAAACTACTGACTTTTGAATTTTTTCTTAATTTGAGAGTTATTTGATGGTGTTTTGCTCCATAAGTTTTATCATAAAAATAATATAGGAATACATTATTTTTCTGAAAACTAGAAAGATGACAGTCATTCAAGATTATGATAGTTTAAAGATTCAATTTTTCCAAATAAAACAGAACCCTTCTATTTAGATGGATTTTATTTTGCAATATTTATTATATATTCAATTCAAATGTACTCACTATTGTGCTAGGCAATTGAAAGTAAAAAGTATAAAGCTGCATTTTGCGCTCTCAGTGAGGTTTAAGTCAGGGAAATGAGGCATGCACACAAAATAACGAGAAAGTAGTATAATAGCTGTGATCATTAGTTATCAAAATAAGTGAATGAGCTAATAATCATTGTTAGAATAATAATTGTGTTCTTAGATCTCAGATGCTTTAATGAAAAATGTTATCTTGAGGTCAACTTTGACAAATGGGGAGATAACTGAAAAACATCTGACATTCTAGGTAGGGAAAACAGAAGCAAATGCTTAAAAATGGGAATAAGTATGTATTCTGTACACAGAGACAACTTGATTTCAATACATACTTTATGGTGGAAATAATGTTTGTACTTTTACTTACACAGTCCGGACTCATGTTTCTAAAACACTGATAATTTTGTGTTTAACTTCAATGTAATGTGTAGTCTAATACTTTTAGTGGGGTACAAGTGAGAGGAATGTTATTTTAGAAACTTTACTCTGGCACCACTGAGTCATCATAAATTATTACTCTCAGATAGAAGATTTAATTCTTGCAGTTAGCCATGTCAGTTTATCATGAGTAATCAGAAAGTGTTACTCAGAAGCTTTATTGTGAATATTCAGTTTGTTACAGTGAACATGGATGTGTATGGGTGGGAAGGTAGTGTGCACTGGCACCACAGAATATTCTGTTTTCATCTTATGCTTGAACTAATTTATTGATGAGATTCTCATTTCTGTAGTATAAAAGGAAAATATTTTGCAGTTATCTCGTATTTGAAAGACTTTGCCATAGAGAACTTTATCAGAAATGGATGAACTTTTCATTATTTCTTATAAGCATATTGGTTTTGGCCTGCTTGAGTTTAAAACTTTTTTTGGTAGACTTAGAATGTTAATATTTAGATAAAGAAAATATTTTACTGAAGACATTACCAGAAAGTAAAATAACTTGAACATTTCTGTATTAGCTCTTTATCAGAGAATAACATTTATTTTATTTGGAAAGTTTTCCTAAATATGAGACTATCTGCTATTTCTCAGACTAAGTGAAAAATTTAATAAAATAGCTGCCTTGATAGGAGGAAAACAAAGTTCTTACTTTATAAGGAATAACGTATGAATCATAAAAGAAGAATGAGCGATCATGGGAAACATTTAGCTTTTCAAAGTTTTTGGAACATGTACCTTAAATGCTTTTGGGATCCAGTAAAGGCCAGGAAAGGCAAAGAGTTGAAAGTTTCTTGGATTTATCCTCGTACTTACATCATTAGTAATAGGAATAATGCATCTCAAATTTGGGCATTTATATAAAAACATGATTTTTAAATGGTAGTCTAGTATAAACTAGGATTTTGTAATGCTGTTTAAATATTTTCATATTACTTTGTTTCGAACGTAGACATTCAGTCTTACTTTTTACTTATTATATGTAAGATTTTGAACATCCTTGCTTAAAATATTAAATTCCTTCAAAATGAGATACAAGGTTAATATTAAACCAATACTTAAGTTCCTTTACTCATTGTTGAGACAGACTATTAGTGTAGGTGTACTTTCATTTATATGTTGTACCAATAGAGGTTAAAAGTATGACCCTATCGGTAATCTTTTTAAGCAAATAAAACTGTTTGGATGCTTTCCCAGGACGATTGGATTGCCCTCCAGGCGTATCTCTTCAATGCGGTCCCGGATGTAACTGGTGTCATTAGCCTTGCAGAATGTGTCATCTGTAATTGAAGCTATGTTGTTGAACTGAAAAAAAACGAGGAAAACATTGTTCAGAAATCTGAAATCAACCTTTCATATGCTATATAATGGGTAAAGGAAACCTAAGTCAGAGGTCTGAGTGCCCCCTCACTTCAAATCCTTGTGTCAAATTAATTAGGAAATACTCAAATGTACACCTGGAGACAAATACAATCAAGAGCAGACTTCACACGTACTGTGCTGGTCTACTTGTTATGCTCTGGATGGAATCTGGACTTCTGGGAAGAAAGTTCATGAGCCTAGTATTAATCTTTTTGATAGGCAGACATTTAGCTATCACGCTACTACAGTGATCTAACCAAAATTTGTATGTGAATAAGTGAGGTTCCCAATGAGTCACAAGATTTTGACTCATAGGTAATTAGAGTCAGATATTGTGAAAGGAACTATCATACCTGAAGATGAATTACACGTAGACTTTCTGGTAAATTAAGAGGCACGGATTCCAGGGCATTATGGTCCAAGTAGAGGAAGGTGAGGTTATTCAGTTTCTGTAAGGAAAATTTCATGTGAGTGTTATTGAGGTTCTGTACATTCTTTCACAGGATTCAAGCAATATATATGTGCATATGAGTATATGTCTATATATACAGACTTGCATATTGATATGAATACATCAATTATATCAATTGTTCGTATGGTAGTTTCTTGTTTGGGTTTTTTTTCTGACTTCACGTGTAGTGTATTTTGATCCTTTATGATGGCCAGTGGAGCTCTGCCGCATACCCCACACTTCTGTCCATTCATCTGATCTCTGAATATCCGGCTCTAATGCCAACTTCTGGTACTCTTTGTGTTTGTCTTGATAGGAACTAATGAGGTGAGTCCCTATGTGGGATTGAATTTTGACCCTGGTGCTGCCATAACCTCTCCTGTACCTCTGGAGTTTCCCATCTCAGTTCCACCAATTTCTAGCTAAGTGGTTACTTCTTAGAAATGTGTGTGCTTGTATGTTTTTAGTAGAGACGAGGTTTCACCATGTTGGCTGGTATGGTATCGATTTCCTGACCTCGTGATCTGCCCGCCTCAGCCTCCCAAAGTGCTGGGATTACAGGTGTGAGCCACCATGCCCGGCCTAAAAAAATACAAAAAATTAGACAGGCGTGGTGGTGGGCGCCTGTAGTCCCAGCTACTCGGGAGGCTGAGGCAGGAGAATGCTGTGAACCCAGGAGGCAGAGCTTGCAGTGAGCTGAGATCGCACCACTGTACTACAGCCTGGGCAACAGAGCGAGACTCTGTCTCAAAAAGAAAAAAAAAAAAAAAAAAAAAAGAAATGTGTGTGCTTAGCCGGGCATGGTGGCTCACGCCTGTAATCCCAGTACTTTGAGAGGTCAATGTGGGTGGATCACTTGAGGTCAGGAGTTCGAGACCAGCCTGGCCAACATGGTGAAACCCCATTTCTACTAAAAATACAAAAATTAACTGGTGTGGTAGCACATGCCTGTAATCCCAGCTACTAGGGAGCCTGAGTGAGGCAGGAGAATTGCTTGAACCCAGGGGGTGGAGGTTGCAGTGAGCCGAGATTGTGCCACTGCACTCCAGCCTGGGCCACAGAACGAGACTCCATCTCAAGAAAAAAAAAAAAAAATGTGTTCTTAGCAAGATGTTTCCCAAAGCAGTTTAGCAAACAGTTAGCTTGATGCAGGTTTTTTCCCTAAGGGCTTAATGTTGGATTATTCTTCATGATCAGTAACCCATTATTGTGTATAATTGTAATTTCCCCTGACATTACTCTTTTACCTTATCTTCAATATGTATCCTGTGGTAGATTTTGCTAATTCTTTTCTGTGTTGCTATTTTAATACTTTCTTAAGCACCCTACCCTTCCACCATGTGGGCATCAAGCTCTTGTCTTCCCAGTGAGTCTCATTTACATGAGGTAGAATAACCTAATTCTACTAGTGACTGTAGCAGCTTAGGACATTAAACAAAACTATAGGGCAGCTGAATTTATTATTTTCTTTTCTTTTTTTTTAGAGATGGAGTCTCACTCTGTTGCCCAGGCTGTAGTGCAGTGTCATGATCTGAGCTCACTGCAACCTCCGCCTCCCAGGTTAAAGCAATTCTCCTGCCTCAGCCTCCTGAGTAGCTGGGACGACAGGTGCCCACCACCACGCCCAGCTAATTTTTTGTATTTCAGTAGAGACAGGGTTTCACCATGTTGCCCAGGCTGGTCTCGAACTCTTGAGCTCAGGCAATCTGCCCGCCTTGGCCTCCCAAAGTGCTAGGATTACAGGCATGAGCCACCGTGCCTGGCCAAGTTTATTATTTTCATACCAACTTGTCATAAATCCCTTCTGTAATTCCTGTCTAAACCCCAGAATATTCAAATGTTCTTTTTGTGAAATGTTGATCAGCTCCTTTTTTTTTGGAGACTGAATCTTGCTCTGTGGCCCAGGCTGGAGTGCAGTGGTACAATCTCAGCAGTTCACTGCAACTTCTGCCTCCCAGGTTCAAGCAATTCTTGTGCCTCAGCCTCCTGAGTAGCTGGGACTACAGGCGCCCACCACCACGCCTAGCTAATTTTTGTATTTTTAGTGGAGACAGAGTTTCACCATGTTGGCCAGGCTGGTCCTGACCTCCTGACCTCAAGTGATCCGCCTGCCTCATCCTCCTAAAGTGCTGGGATTATAGGCGTGAGCCACTGAACCTGTCCTGATCAACTTTTATAGGTCTTTAACATGTCTGTTATTCAAAGAGTGACCAACTCAAATTAATATTTTCAAATTACAACTTTAAAACAAAAAAAAAAAGGCCAGGCACGGTGGCTTACGCCTGTAATCCTAGCACTTTGGGAGGCCAAAGTGGGCGGATCACCTGAGGTCAGGAGTTCAAGACCAGCCTGGCCAACACCCATCTCTACTAAAAGTGTAGAAATTAGCCGGGCGTGGTGGTGTGTGCCTGTAGTCCCAGCCACTTGGGAGGCTGAGGCAGGAGAATTGCTCAAACCTGGGAGGCGGAGGTTGCAGTAAGCCAAGATCACGCCACTGCACTCCAGCCTGGGTGACAGAGCAAGACTCCATCTCAAAAAAAAAAAAAAAAAAGGTGTATCTGCTTTTAAAAAGTCCTCTAAGAGTCCCTTAACTTCTGAGTTCCTTATAAGAAACATCAGATGAGCTCTGATGTAACTTTAAAATGTCCCTTAAAGTTGAATAAAGATACCTTAATTGTAATGAAAAATGAAAAAATGGACTATTTGTACACTTTCTAACAGATTGTACATTTTTTGACAGAATTTACCTGTGTGTGATTATCATAAACTTTATGATAATGAATATTTGATAGTTTCTGAAGTTACCTTTAGAAGCAAGAAACCTTGCCTTTTGAATGAGATTATGTCTGTTACCAGCAATGGCATGGTCATCATTTTATCTGGGGAATGATTACATCAGAGCTATGGAAATCCTGGACTAAAGTGATTACTCCTGTAGGTCATGCATTTTGAGACAAATTGTCTACCTAAACCGAAGTAGATTACTTTCCCTTTTTCCTACATAATATTTGCTTGAATTGTTAAGAAATGTATTTAATTCTTACTACATATAAAATTTTATATTACATGCTCTCATGAAATTCAAAGGAAAATCTCCCTATAGAATTTCACAGTCTAATATCTTTAAATATTAAAAGTTAAATTCAGTATTTACTTTTGGATCTTTATTTTTTTCTGGTGTTTATAATTTGCTAACATTGTAAGGAAAAAGAAACACAGGAAATATCCCATTTTGAGCTTTCGTAGACTGTAAGTGTCATGAGAGGGCCAACCATGTCTGTCTAAATAAATATTTGCTGTATGAACAAGTGAAAAAATGAGAAACAAAATAGTCCCATGAAATAAAATAAAGGTTATGTATTTTAACTGAGATATGGGTATAAGCTAGGCTGAATGAGCCTAATAGGATGGTTATTTATTATGTAAATAATGTCTTCATTTATTAAATCAAAATAGTTTTTAAGTGTAATCAAAATACAATTCTAGACCAAAGTTTCTCTTTTATCTATCATATCATCACTCATACTATGCTTAGTTTTACTATAAAATACTTACTTTGAATGCATTTGCTTTGATTCCCCTACTCTTGATTTTGTTGTATTTTGCATTAAATAAAGTGAGCTTGGGAGGAAGAACTGGAAGTTTTAGTAGTTGATTTTCAGCAAGTGAAAGTTCTTCTAACAGAGAAAGTTTTGAAAAAGTACCATCTTCTATATCTTCTATCAAATTTCCTGTAAAATCGAGTCTTCTTAAGTTAGCTAGAGGGAAAAAAATATAAAAAACAACTACGTAAGTAAAATTCTTATTGTATGGACTGAAGAAAAGCATTTGTTTAACAGATCACTCAAGCATCTTTCATTTTTAGTGCCTGGTAGACTGTTTACAATTCATAGCCCAGTAAAGTTTTGTGGAATGATCACTGAACACCTCTTTGTGCCTGAAATTGATTCCCTTTCTGACTGGAGTCCTAGAATCTCAGGTTTGAAAGTGATCTTAAAGTTAATCGAGTCTTTTCATCTTTCTCTGTTCAAATTCCTTGGGATGGTCAGGCAGTTTGAAAGAAATTCTTGTTGCAAATCATGGAAAGGAAGCATTACATTTGATTGGAATCATGTAATTTTTTTTATTTTTTTGCTGGCATGTTGCGTTGTGATTCTGAGTATGTTATCTTAATCTTAATCTCTCTATGCCTTATCGCTTAACAACAACAAAGACAAAGATGTTCCCTGATTTGTTAAAGTGACACAGATTGAGAGAGAAATTCAGTGTGTGTGTGTGTGTGTGTGTGTGCGCGCGCGCGTACTTGCGTGTGCATCACGTATATCTGGGATAATTAGGAAATCAATTGTTTCTTATTCACAGGAATCATGTTCTATAAAATTACCACAAGTGTTGAATTTGTAAATACTGAACCATTATTCCTAGGAGAAATACAGGGTTATGTTCCTGTGAGCCTCTGGCCACACATTTCCATCAACTATTAGTATATAACTTTATGTGTTTTTGCTTAAGGACACTTGGCTGAGTATATATTGTTGAATCATTAATATTGCACTATAACTCATGCCTGAACAAACCTTATCTAACATATTTTCCCTGTAGGCATATCACAGCCTTTTTGTGCTTGGGGATGTTAGACGTCACTTCAGCACCATGTGTTGGGTCATGTTAAACAGCAAAATCAGGCCAGGTGTGGTGGCTTATGCCTGTAATCCTAGCACTTTGGGAGGCCAAGGTGGGCAGATCACTTGAGGTCAGGAGTTCGAGACCAGCCTGGCCAACACAGCGCAACCTCATCTCTATTAAAATTATAATAGGCCAGGCGCGGTGGCTCACACCTGTAATCCCAGCACTTTGGGAGGCCAAGGTGGGCGGATCATGAGGTCAGGAGATCGAGACCATCCTGGCTAACACGGTGAAACCCCATCTCTACTAAAAATACCAAAAAAAAAAAAAAAATTAGCCAGGCGTGGTGGCGAGCACTTGTAGTCCCAGCTACTCGGGAAGCTGAGGCAGGAGAATGGCATGAACCTGGGAGGCGGAGCTAGCAGTGAGCCGAGATGGTGCCACTGCACTCCAGCCTGGGCAACAGAGTAAGACTCCATCTCAAAAAATAAATAAATTAAATTAAATTAAATTACAATAAAACAAGTAACCAGGTGTGGTGGCACATGCCTGTAGTCTCAGCTACTTGCGAGACTGAGGGACAAGAATCCCTTGAACCCAGGAGGCAGAGGCTGCAGTGAGCTGAGATCACACCACTGCACTTCAGCCTGGGCAACAGAGCGAGACCCTGTCTCAAACAAAAAAACCCCCCAAAAAACAAAAATCAATAAACAGCAAAATCATAAACACAAAGCACAAAAATGTGAAAAACATGTCGTTAAATAGACTGTGAACAGGGCATTTATTTACAGTATGAGAACTGGAACCAGAAGACAGTGTTACCTTGTTCAACCTCAGATGGGAATGTGCATGTCAAGTAATTCAAATTTTTTGCCACTCTGAGCATGTCTGAGAAAGCCCATGAAAGCACAATGTGTATTAATTTTGGGGTTATAAATAAATTTTAGCAAGTGGGTATTCACAAATATGGAATCCACAAATAACAAGGATCAACTATACTTCAATCCACATTTGGGAGCTATCAGTGGCAGCATGAACCTGGTTATGGTTAGTCTCATAAATGTGTAGCGGGGCTAGTATGCATTTCTCGGTGTGATTTTTTTCAGAACTCTTGACAATATTAGGAGTCTAGAAAACTGACAAGAAATTAGTGATCTAGGACTGGGATTTGGTACTGCAGAAATGGAGGATTCTGGTGTGCTTATGGCAACACTAACTGAGTTAAGGTTTGCTAGAAGTTCAAGATTGATAATGACCTGGTAAGGAATTAAATACCACTGTTCTCAACAGTATTTCCATATTAGAATCATCCAAGGAGTTTGTTTGTTTTTAATGATGTTGCTTGGGCCCTACCCCAGATCTGAATTACAACCCCTGGGAAGTAGGACCTAGTATCAGTATTTAAAAAATACTTCCCTGCCGGGCATGGTGGCTCACGCCTGTATTCCCAGCACTTTGGGAGGCCGAGGCGGGCGGATCACAAGGTCAGGAGTTCCAGACCAGCCTGGCCAACATGGTGAAACCCCATCTCTACTAAAAATACAAATATTAGCCAGGTGTGGTGGCACACACCTCAGCTACGTGAGAGGCTGAGACAGGAGAGCCACTTAAACCTGGGAGACAGAGGTTGCAGTGAGCCAAGATCACGCCACTCTACTCCAGCCTGGGCAACAGAGCAAGACTCCATGTCGGGTTGGGGGGAGGGGGGAGAAAAAAAAAACACTTCCCAAGATATTTTTAATATGCAGCCAGGTTTAAGAGCCATTAGTTAAAGTAAGAAAAAGCACTTTCTGTGTTTTTATAGTCCAGGTAGAAAATAAAACATTGTGGTTGGAGAAGCATCCCAGTTATATTGGTGTTGCTCAGTGTCTGAAGCAAGGGATCTTGAAGTATTGGAGTTGAGAAGATATAGTTGCCCATATGTTAGATGGGCTGTCATCATAGACAGTGAAGTCACCAGTAAAGAAAGATCACAGGATCTGTCTAAGTGGAAAGATGATTCACCAACAAATGAATGGACTTTTGTGAAACATGTTAGATATTTATGTACTTCAAGTGACAAACCTGAATGTGATAGGCAGCAACTATATAGAAACTTGTGTTTATATGAGTTAAATACTAATACGAGTTAATACTAATATCATATTTCAGCTTAACTTACGTATGTCTGCAAAATCTTTGGCAGTCAGCTTTTTAATTTTGTTGAATCGTGCGTAAAGATAGGCTGATTCCTTTGGTAAGGGTGGTACAGCATCAATGTCAACTTCTTCACAGTATACAGAGCCACTTAAACAAACACACAGCAGACACGTGGGCATTTCTAAATTGGGAATAAAATCATAAAAATATGAACAATCGTTTGAAAATATTTCTCCTCTAGTAGTAAAATTATTGCTATTATGAATGCTATTACTAATTTGAAGAGATGTTTTACAGAATCATAAGAAAGATAGTCATGGTAACTCGTTACCTATATTGTGCTTGATAATTCACCAGAATATTGTTTGAGAATCTCTTTTTATTTTGTTTTACTGGTGATTGCTTAAATGCTGAATTGATTGACAGTTACATTTCCTTATTTGAAAACCAAAAAAATTTACAAAGCAGGAGTTAAGGTAAACATGAGCTTGACTTATTAAGTTTAATGTGTGAGAAACATATTTCAGATTGGTGACAGTAGCTAGACTTTAGTAACCACTAGTTAAGTAAGGAAGCCATTAACTTGAAAATTAGAGTAATCGTAGGCACTGTTTGGATCCTTTAGCACCCCAAGTCATTTATTACATTTACTTGTCATACCTCTTGGAACATTCCTTAGTCTTTGTTTTTTATACCTTTTCCTGTTTTTGAAAAGTGTAGAGCTTTTTTTTTTGTTTAGTTTTCTTTTTCAGGGCATTTATTCTGCAGAATGCCTTTCAGTTGGCAGAGGTTTCTCATTTTTGGCAGGAGTACCATGGATCGTCAGTGCTGTGTGTCCAAAAGCACATGATATCTGTTTATCCCATTCCTGATAATATCTTTGGTCACTTGGTTCAACTAGTATTTGCCATGTTTCTCACTGAGTAAAGTTAATATTTTTCACTTCATAACAAGTAATTCTGGAGAAGTACTTTGAGAATCTAAATGTCTGGTGTGACATTGTACTTTCATATACTAGTTTTAGCATCCATTGATGATTCTTACCCGAATCATTTGTGACTAACCAAATAGTGATTTTCTAATTCCATCATTCCTTCTACATTTGTTAGTTGGCACTCTCTTCTTATTTTTATATCAATATGAACTTGTTTTATATATTTTGATATATTTTATTATTTTATTTACTTACTTATTTTTGAGACAGAGTCTTGCCCTGTTGCTCATGCTGGAGTGTGGTGGTGTGATCTTGGCTCATTGCAACCTCCACCTCCCCATTTCAAGCGATTCTTCTGCCTCAGCCTCCTGAGTAGCTGGGATTACTGGCGTATGCCACCACACATGGCTATTTTTTTTTTTTTTTTGAATTTTTAGTATAGACAAGGTTTCACCATGTTGGCCAGGCTGGTCTCGAACATGACCTCAAGTGATCTGCCTGCCTCGGTCTCCCAAAGTGCCGGGATTACAGACGTGAGCCATCACACCTGACCTATTTTGATATATTTTAAATATATCAAATAAACATGTCAAATTTTATTTTTTGAATTTTTTTTCTTTTTTTTGAGATGAAGTCTCGCTTCGTCACCCAGGTTGGAGTGCAGTGGTGTGATCTCGGCTCACTGCAGTCTCCGCCTCCCGGGTTCAAGCAATTCTCCTGCCTCAGCCTCCCAAGTATCCGGGATTACAGGCATGTGCCACCATGTCCGGCTAATTTTTTTGTATTTTTAGTAGAGACTGGGTTTCACCATGTTGGCCAGGCTGCTTTCGAACTCCTGACCTCAGGTGATCTGCCCGCCTCAGCCTCCCAAAGTGCTAGGATTACAGGTGTGAGCCACCACGCCCGGCCTATTTTTTGAAATTTTAATTGATATTTTCATATCAATATGAATTGTGTCCCATAAGTCATAATCTGTGTTTATTTTAATAGTCAAATTGTCACAGATTAGGCCCTTTCAAGCTTTTTTTTCCTGCTACAGCTTTTTGTGGTTAGCTGACTTACAATTAATTGCGTGTATTTAAATCGTACAACATATACGATTTTTACATATGTACACCCCCATGAAACGTTCACTACAAGTGAGTTAATTAACATACCTGTCACTCCAAAAAGTTTTCTCCTGCCCTTTGGTAATCTCTCCCTCCCACTCTTGTCCTCGAGCAATGACTGACCTGCTTTTGGTCAGTATACATTAGTTTGCATTTAGGAGAATTTTATATTAAAAGAATCATGGAGTATCTACTTCCTTTTCTGGCTTCTTTTACTCAGCATTATTATTTTGATTTTCAATCTTTATCAGTAGTTCATTCTTCTTTATTACTCAGTAGTATTCAATTGTCTCAATATATACAATTTACATGGTCATTTCATATGGACATTGGGTTGTTTCCAGGTTTTCACTATTTCAAAGAAATTTATGTGTAAGTTTGTGTGGACTTAATGCTTTCATTTCTCTTGGGTAAGTACCTAAGGAGTGGAATGGCTGGGTCTTTTTATAAATGTATGTTTTATCTTTTGAAGAAAGTGTCAAACTATTTTCCAAAGGACTGTGCCATTTTACATTCCTACCAGCAGCATATGAGAGTTCCAGCTGCTCCACATCCTTGCCAACATTTGGTATGGTCAGTCTTTTTAATTTTAGCAATTGAAATGTAGGGCATGTTATAGTATCTCATTGTGTTTTAATTTGTATTCTCTGATAACTAATGATGTTAGCATCTTTTCATGTGCTTGTTTGGCATCCATATATTTGATGACTTGTCTTTTTTTTTTTCCCTCTTACTAGTTTTCCTTTTGGAAATGAAACATTTTAAATTTTAATGAAGAACAGTTGGTTCCTTGATAATTCATGGTTTCTGTGTTGTATTTAAGTAATGTTTGCCGACCACCAAGATTTGACACTTTGTTTTCTTCTAGAAGTTGTATAGTTTAAGATCTTTACCTTTAGGTGTGGGGTATACTTTGGGCTAATTTTTATATATGGTGCCAGGAAGGGTTAATTCTTTTTTGAAAAATTTTCCTACAGTTGTCTGGTTCTTTCAGCACCGTTTTTTAAAAGGATTATTCTTTCCCCATTGAATTGTATTGTCACATTGTCAAGAACTAGTTGGTTACTTCATGTTAGCCTGTTTCTGGATTTTATTTTGTTCTGGTGACCCACTTTAACATTTTTATGCCAATACTGCAGTGTCTTGATTCCTGTACCTTTGTAACAGTCTTGTTAGTATAAATCCTGCAACTTTGTTCTTCTTCAATGTTGTTAGACTATTCTAGGTCCTTTATATTTTTATATATATTTTAGAATCAGCTTGTTAATTAAACAAAAAAAAAACCTATTAGGATTTTGATTGGGATTGTGTTGAATCTCTAAATTTGGGGAAAACTGACATCTTAATGATATTGAATCTTCTAGACCTCGAACATAATACATTTCTCCTTATATATAGGTCTTCTTTATTTTCTCTTAGCAGCGTTATTTAGATTTCAGTGTACAGGCCTTACATACCTTTATTTTTTTTTTTTTGAGACAAGATCTCATGCTGTCACTCAGGGTGGGGTACAGTCGCATGATCATGGTTCACTGCAAACCTCGACCTCCTGGGCTCAAGCGATCCTCCTGCCTCAGCCTCTCAAGTAACTGGGACTACAGGTTTGTGCCACCACACCTGGCTTTTTCTTGGTTAAATTTTTTGTAGAGACATGGTGTCACTATGTTGCCCAAGCTGGTCTCAAACTCCTGAGGTCAAGCAGTCCTCTTGCCTCGGCCTTCCCATAAACATCTTTTATATCTATTTCTTTTATATATTTTGATGGATTTAAAAACATTTTGTCAGGAGACTGGGTGCAATGGCTCATATATGTAATCTTGGCACTTTTAGAGGCTGAGGCAGGTGGATCATTTGAGTCTAGGAGTTTGAGACCAACCTGGGCAACATGATGAAACCTCATCTCTACAAAAAAATACAAAAATTAGCCAGGTGTGGTGGCACGTTCCTGTAGTCCCAGCTACTTGGGAGGCTGAGGCAGGAGGATTGCTGGAGCCCAGGAGGTCAAGACTGCAGTGAGCCATGATCATGCCACTATACTCCAGCATGGGTAATAGAGCGAGACCCTGTCTAAAAAAACAAACAAACAAACAAAAAAACACCATTATTCTTTGAGAACTTCCTTATTTCCTAACATAGCAAGATGTCCCAAACTAACCTTGCATTTTTCCTGCCCCAACCCTGAAATCAGCTATCTCTTCAGAAAGCACTGGGGGTTTTTTTGGTTTGTTCATTTGTTTTTAAGACAGAGTCTCGCCCTGTCACCCAGGCTGGAGTGCAGTGGTGCCATCTCGTCTCACTGCAGCTCTGCCTCCTGAGTCCAAGTGATGCTCCCACCTCAGCCTCCCGAGTAGCTGGGATTACAGACATGTGCCACCATGCCCAGCTAATTTTTTTTGTATTTTTAGTAGAGACGGGGTTTCACCATGTTGGCCAGGCTTGTCTCAAATTCCTAACTTCAGGTGGTCCACCCGCCTTGGCCTCCCAGAGTGCTGATATTACAGGCATGAGCCACCACACCCGGCCAGCATTGGTTTCTTTTAGTGGAGAATGGTATTAGAAACCAAGATGCAGGTGCTGGGTGTGCTCATTGCCATTGAGATCACGTTGCTTCTAGGCTCTTTCAGCAGAGAGAGCTAGGAAATAAATGTGTGTGTTTATTTGTCTCTTTCTCCACAGATAATACACATACATGCAACATATACGGATATAAACATATACAATATACATGCATATGTATACCATATACTCATGTATACATACACACACATAGAGATAAACAGAGAGAAACATTTCTATATTTCTGTATCTCTGTATATACAAACCCTGAGTTAATAGTAGTATCTTCTATTCCAAACCAACTCCACAGTGTTCTTTCTAGCCTTCCACCTTTCCGTATTTGTAATGTTTCTCTGACAGTGCGGAACCTGGCTCTCATTATTTACGTATATTTACTTAGTTC
This sequence comes from Homo sapiens, assembly GCF_000001405.40. Taxonomy (NCBI): domain Eukaryota; kingdom Metazoa; phylum Chordata; class Mammalia; order Primates; family Hominidae; genus Homo; species Homo sapiens. The sequence goes on from NW_025791788.1 coordinate 232,795, forward strand.
TGGCACACATATTAAGTAGTTCCAGTATTGCTAACTCATAACACTGTGCATAACAAACCTACTCACTGGAACTTCATATTTGTTTATAGTTCTTTTTTGTCCTTAGCCTGAAGGTATATAGGAAAATGCTGTGTTTAACAGTTACTTAGAGTTTTTTCTTCCTTTGCTGAGTTATTAATTTGAAGCACAATCAAGTTTATGTTTTTATGTTTGTATTCCAATTTGGGTTCTTTTTACCTTATTCTTGTTGATTTCATTTATATACGTATTTGGTTTTTTGACTATACGAAACAGCATTGTTCTAAAAATTAAATCTACATTAAAAAGTATATACGCAGAGAACTGCCATCCCCTCTCCCCCAATTTCTTTTTAGCCTGTATTTATTTTCACAGAAACAAGCAGATACATATATATTTTCTTATATCCTTTTCTTTCTTACATGAAAGACAGCATATTATAGATATTCTTTTGCACTTTGTTTTTTTTTTCCACATAGTGTATCCTGGAAATCACTCCATGTTAGTTCTTAGAGATCTTCCTCATTCATTTTTACAACTGCATAGTATTCTCTTCTGTTGGATTTACCATTGTTTATTCAACTACTCTTCAGTGTTTGGGCAGTTAAATTATTTCTGATATTTTGCAATTGCATGCAATGCTTTAGTGATTTTGCATTTGTATTTTATTTTGGAGTATATCATCAAGGTAAATTTCTCAAAGTTGGCCGGGAGTGGTGGCTCACGCCTGTAATACCAGCACTTTGGGAGGCTGAGGCACTTGAGGTCAGGAGTTCAAGACCAGCCTGACCAACATGGTGAAACCTGTCTCTACTAAAAATACAATAAATTAGCCTGGCGTGGTGGCGCGTGCCTGTAATCCCAGCTACTCGGAGGCTGAAGCAGGAGAATTGCTTGAGCCCAAATGGCGGAGGTTGCAGTGAGCCAAGATTGTACTGCTGCACACCAGTCTGAGAGCGAGACTCTGTCTCAAAAAAAAAAAAAAATCCTCAAAGTTGGTTCTTATGTCAAAAAGTAAATGCATTTTTTATTTTGTTAGATATTGCCAAGTTCCTGTCCAAAAGCATTGTGTTGATTTGCCTTCCTGCTGCCGTGTATGAGTGTCTTACCCCATAGCCCTTGCTCATGGAATATATTAATGTGTTGTCATACTTCAATTTTTTTCAATCAGATAGGTTAAAAATGGTATCTCAATGTAATTTTAATTTATATGTCTCTGTGTGAGATTGAACACTTATTTGGGTTAAATCATTTAAATCATCTTGTGAACTGTCATTTTTCCAGTGGATTTTTGGTTAATCTCTTTTCCTCGATTTTTAAGAGTGCTTTATAAATTAGAGTTACTAGATCTTTATTTTTAGTTATATTATCTGTGAGCTCTTTATCTAGTGATATTATTTATCTGTAGTATATGTTACAAATATTTTTCCCAGTTTTTAGTTGCCTTCGACTTTACCACAGGTATTTTTAGGGTCAAATTTATTGTTCTGTTCTATTGTTGTCTCTGGATTTTGAGGCACCCTGCACCCAGATTCTTTTCTAGTACTTGTACGATTTCATTTTATACATTCAGATTGCTAATCTATTTGGAGTTTATTTTTTGTGTAAGGTATGGACCTAAATGTACACCTCTTCAAATGGCTGTTTCTCCCAGCACCATTTTTTAAAAAGACCATTTTTGCTTCAGTGATTTAGGTTGGTACCTTTAGTATGTACTGAATTTTCATGTGTATTTTTGTCTGTTTCTGGATTTTCTATTCTATTTCATTGATCTTTTTGTCTATTCATATACCAGTATCGCACTTTTTAAAGTATAGAGTTTTATAATATATTTTAATGTGTAGTACATCTGATTCCTACATATACTTGTTACTGTTTACTGTTTCCCTTGTTATTTGTTACATGTTGTTCCATATGAATTCTAGAATCTGGTTTTCCAGCTTTATAAAAAAATTTATTGGTAATTTTAGTTGGATTGTTTTAAATTTATAAATTTAGAAAGAACTGACATCTTTATGATTTTGAGTCATTCCATCCAAGAACAAGGGATGTCTTTTGTTTTTTGTTTTTGTTTTTGTTTTTTTTGAGACAGAGTCTTGCTCTGCCGCCTAGGCTGGAGTACAATGGCACGACCTCGGCTCACCGCAACCTCCACCTCCCAGGTTCAAGCAATTCTCTGCCTCAGCTTCCCGAGTAGCTGGGATTACAGGCACCTGCCACCACGCCTGGCTAATTTTTTGTATTTTTAGTAGAGACAGGGTTTCACCATCTTGACCAGGCTGGTCTTGAACTCCTGACCTCGTGATCCACCCGCCTCAGCCTCCCAAAGTACTGGGATTACAGGCGTGAGCCACCACGCCCAGCCTGGGATGTCTTTAAATTTATTCAAATCTATTTTTACTATCATACTTCTCGCTTTTTAAGCTTTATTTTCTGTTATGGTTCATTTTCATTTTATTTTAGAAATATAGAAATTAATATGTGGTTTTTGTCATGTTTTCATGTGAAATAATGTTCTGTGATAGAGTAAGAGTAAGCCAAGTACACAGGAATTATTAAGTAGGACTTGTAATTTGTTATTTCATGACAAGTTTTCTATTTTAATTGAAATGTATGTGTAATTATTGATGTATATGTGTGTTTCTGTTCTGTAAGTTTCTTAAAGGCAATAATTATATTTACCGTATACTGAGGCTGCACATTGTATTTTGCAAATAATCCGTGTTTAAGTATTTCTCGAATAGATTTTATATGGATGGAAACCACACTTTGTGGAGGCTAAGCTTGCCTAAGCTTTGGTTGTTCTCACAAGTTCTTGCTCCACATTTCTCACTCATAATGTGGGATGGCAAATGGTGTGCACTCCCAGTTTGAGTTTATCATTGGAAATAAAATTCCACTGTTTGTATTTACTGTATCTTGAGTCAGTTTTTGATTACCACAAGGAATAAAGTCCATTATAGCTATTTTTAAAAGATCCATTTGAAAAATATTTAGATGATACTTACCATCATTTTCTTTCTTGGGAGGTAATGGTGTTATTGCCTCATCTTTTTGTAATTGAAGACTTTTCTCATTGGGTATTATCACAGTTTCTTTTTCCTATTGGAAAAATAAAAGTTTGTTACCTAGCTTCATTAAGTCTGTGTTTCTCTGTAAAATGAAGGGATCACAGACACCTTCTCGTAGTTACAATTAGTGGCATTTCCTTTGTGCTCCATTAGGCTTTCATACATATTTCCATTTTATCATCTATTAAATTACAATAAGTATTTTTTAGCTTGTTTTTATTCTAGACTATGAGCTCCTTGAGTAAAAGAACTGGGTGTTTTTATTTTTATATCGCCAGTAGCTACACTCAGTGCTTAATAAATGTTGAACATCCTGAAATTCCAAATGAAAGCTAGGTGAGAATTCCCTGAATTGGAATGAAAGTTTTTCTGAGGTGAAACTGTTCCTCAGGGGTCTTGTCTGAACTGAGTTTCTCATTCAGATTCTACCATTTTGAGTAAGACTAGAGCTCCAGCCATGTCACAAGTATAAACTACCAATTAAGGTCTTTAGGTCTCTTCTTGGGGTGACCCTTTAATTACCTATATCCCTCCATTAAGCCCTGGCTCTTGGATCCCTTTTATTCCAGCTTACCTTACCTACCCTGCTTGGGCCACTGGGGTAGGCCATTAATTCTGGGGAAATTGGAGTAGATACAATTTAGATCCTGTCTTTCCTGTTCTTGGAGAGTACGTTTTCTGCCATTAGATTACAGTGTATTATGTGGTGTCCTATTCTTTCTGTCCTTTGTAAGCATGTTCCATTTTAGTCTCGGTCTTGACTCCTGACTCTGCCCTTCACCTTCATTCTCCCATCTGTGTGGTGGTTGAACTTCCTCCCTCTACTCTGTGTTTGCACATCAAGTCCTGTTGAATTCTACTCCACTCCACAAATATCTTAGACCCTGCATTTATATTAAGATAGAGAAACTTCTAAAGCCCTGTAAAGAGAAGAAGCAGAGAGAAAAATAATCTCTAAACTCTTTAGGGATCAGGGAATCTTAATAGATTCAAATCATCCAAGTGAGCCAATAGCCTATGTTATGATGGGACTTTTTTTTCTTTAACTTGAAGCTATAATTAGTAATACCTATCCTTTGTGTCTTAGTGATGGGCAAAAATAATGCTATCATATTAAAAGCATTAACTGAAAGAAAGAAACTGTGGTGTTAACATTTGCTCATTGTGTACCCCTGCAAAAAAGAAAAGAGAAAGTAGCAATTATAACTGGTCAATCTTATAAGTCTTTATCCTCCAATTTATAGTGGAGAAGAACTTCTGAAACAATCAGTATTGTTATATATTTGGCTGAATTTCTCATTTTCCAGTGTGTATGTGTATGTGTCATACATAGTGGGCAACAGATACTTAAGTGCTGTATTAACTTTTTCCTTACCCAGCATTCATTTCTGTGTGCCAAGAAAACCACAAGTAATTAGTTTGCCCATAAAGGTGGGGAATGAATGATGTGGTATAACGTCACCCTTGCAGTGTTAACTCAAAGACAGTTACAGTTACTTGGTACCAATTGATAGAGGGTCTAAACTGTTAAAATTGATTTAAAAAGAAAGTCCTATATTGACTAGGTTTTCAGTTTTTGGTACTGTATGTAGATGGCATATATAAATTATTGTGGAATGCTATTGATATCAAAATAACCAGTACTCTTCTATGTATTTTCTTCAAATTGTTTTCTATAATAATAACCTTAAGCTGATAATTCATCTTTATTTCTCCAAATACACATTTCCGCTAATTTATTTTTGAGGCAACACAACATTGCAAGTATAGGGCATTGTGTAACATTACTTAATATATAAATTGCAACTGGTGAGGGATCATCTTAAAGTCTAGTTTTCTTTAAGTTTTATTTTTTGGTTACTATAGATACTGTTTGGTTACCATAGATACCATTTATTAATTTGGAAAGCATACATACTCTAAAAATACAATCTTAGGGACAATTATTATGAATTCGTTTGAATCATTTAAAGTGATTTTCCCTTCCCCTTACCTTATCAGACACATTCAGGAAAAGCAAAAACATGCATTTAAATGGGCAGTATTTTAGAAGCTAAATTTAGAATAGAAATAAAGTACCTTAATATTTTTTCCATCCAGGTATTTATCCTCATAATCTTGGCTAAATATGGATTCTTCAAAATTATCTGTTCCATAATCATAGATAATGCGTGAGTCCTGCTGGGTTGGTGGTGCTGGCTTTATCAGAGGCACAAGCAGTAACAGGAGAAGTGTAGACTGCAGAGTCTTCATTTTAGCAAAAATCAAGGTGACTGGAAGTTAATAAACTAGTGGCCTGCTGACTGTGGGACAAAACTCTCTTTTTCCCTGGAAATAAAAATTCAGACCATCGAAGCAATATTTAAAAGCTTAGAGGATGTTTTGGCAGGGTGTGCGCAGTAAGGGCCAGAGAACAGTATTTAACCCTTAGTGATCTTTAATTAGATGCTAGCAGTTTTTATGTATCAGTGAACATTCTGAAAAATAGTTTTGGAAAATAGTTTTACTTCTCTATCAGAAATTCAAGAAAGATTGATAATTTTAAGTTTCTTAATAATTAAGTGCCTTCAGCAGACATACTAATATTTAATTGAAATATTCTTAGGATACCTGTAGTATAAATAGTTAAAATAAAGTCCCAAGATCCTGTCTCATGTGAGTTAAAAATATCATATTTCCACTTAGCTACTTTATAAGAACTCTTGATTTATATTGGTATGAACAGAAACAAGTTCCAAGAAAAGTTTTAAAACTTAAATTTAACATTATGAAAAGTAGTCATTAACACCTTTAGGTGGTACAGAATATAGGAAAAGCCATACGTTTTTAATTTTCTTAGTTTTGTAATTTTAATAGGTGATCATAATTTTTAGTTAATAGTATTGTATTTTTAATTTAAGCTAAGAAAACTGAAAGAATAGTATTGCAGGCTAGAGGAAATACCGAACTTTAATCAAAGAACTTTGAGGAATGTAATAGAAAGGATTCCTTTAGGCTCATCAATGGATTTTCTCTGGTGGGTACACATTTCAGACTTTTTCTTAAGTAACTTCAAACAGAATCACTCAAGAGTTGCTGATGCTGCATTATAGATGCCAGTTTGTCAAAAATCCAGAGGTTGAAAATGAAGAAGATAATGGATTTGTGACTTCTGCAGCACCCTATTCTTGCCTGCGTGGATGTTAAATTTATGCGATGATATACATAAGTACTTCTTAAAAATTAATTGAGGTAACTGAAACTTAAACCAGAGATGGCCTTTACATTTATTAAGACTATTAGATGAGTCAGTCGCACTTTAACAAACAATATTTAAAATAATATATGAAAAGTAAGCCTACCGTTGTAGCTGTTTTGAAGTTTTTTGTGGTTTTCCTCAATAGATGTTCATGTCTGTGCATTAGCCCCAAGTGGGAGGGTGAATGAGAAAAGCTATGTCTTGATTTCAAACTGCTGAGTAAAATTTCAGGGCCCAGCAGCTTTAAGAACAGTTTCCATGTGGTAGAGATCTTTGCCAGCATTCTTTCTCTAGGGTGAAATGCAGTGTGTTGTACTAGAGAACTGTGCTTAAGTTATTTGTTGTAACTGCTGCACTCAGTCTGCTTCAACTAATTTGACTATAAACTTGTGTGATTTTATTATTGTGTAATAAACATTCATGTTTTGGTGAATATTAGTTTATGAAAAATGATATAGTTTTAAAGTCATCCTTTTCATTTTGGTGATTTCCCAGGAGATCAAACAATCTGCTTTTTGAATGAAATAGGACACCAAATGACAACATAGTCCATGTTGTTAATTTTATGAGGATTAAAAATATTGCCCTAATACCATAATTAATATATAGCCAGTGTAATATATTTTTCCAGTGTAAAAATTAGTTTTAGCACAAATTATTTGATAGTTTTGTCATTTGGATTTTTTCTCCCCTTTATTTTAGTTACATATAAGAAAAACTGATGCATAAAAATTAGCTTTTTAAAAGTAAATTTGATTTATAGTTTTTGAGGTTGATAGTAAAAGATACTTTTGTTTGCTGAATGAAGGAAACTTTATAAAATTACTTTAATATTGAAATTGGCTTTTAAAAATTAAAGTGGCATTGTAGATACCATACAAGCAACTTTGAAGATTTTTTTAAAGAGTCACTTTTAAAAAATTCCTCCTTGGTGCTTTTACCAATCAAATTAACTTTTCTCCTTTAAGCTAAAAATTTAACAAATATGGATATATATTTTATTAAAATAGAAAATGAAAGAATAACAATTTGTTTTCTTTTCTAGACAAAATTGTTTTAGAACCTTTCAAATCAAAGCTTAAATAAACTAAGACTTGAGCACTGAAGTTTTTATTTGAATGTGAATTATCTTAAATTTAATTGTGATATTGTCTGGCTTGAGTTGATATAAATTGTTGGTTTTATGGCTTCAAGGATACAGTAAAACTTTTTTAAATACTTTGAAATATATAATAATGAAACAACAGACATTGATTTGTTTTGTATTGTGTGGCAAGTTAACAAGATATTGAGAAGTAAGCTGGATAGATACCATATGTCCAAATTTAGAGAATCTTAGAGATTCATAGTTTCATTAATGGTACACTTTGATGCTTTGTACTACAGAAAATTATTTTGTGAAGAACAACTTTCCTTGAAAAGTTATGACCAGTGAATACAATGTTATTAGCATTCACTCATTTAATAAAAGTTTATTGAGCGCCAATTCTGTGCCAGGACTTCAGACACGTAAGCTCAGATAAGCAAACTTCAGTTTCTTCCCTCAAGGAAGATTTATAGCCTCTAAGTCAGCAGGAAAAGCAGCAAACAAGCAACTAGAATCCATGGTAGGGCTTGCTACACAGAAATATGCAGAGTTCTGTGATAACCTGGGAGAAGCCACAAACTGACTGGGAGTCAAGGAGACTGCACCCAAACTGACTTCTATAGAGAGGATAGGAGAGGAGGGTAAGCGCAGGTGATGAGGTATTCTAGGCAAGGGGATCATCACGTGCTCCCCTTAGGGAGGGGATGGGGGTAGATCATTCAGAAAATTTATAATTTGTTTTGCATACTGCTGGAGCTTGGAGGGAGAGAGAGAAGAAGTCAGGGGGATGGACCATATTAAGAGATGCGACTAGACAGGGGGAATAGAGGTTGGATTAAAGAAAGTATTTTATATCCTGCTAAAGTATTTGGGCTTTAGTCTGTAGTCAGTGAGAGACCATGTAGAGATTTTTAAGCCAGTGATGGCTTAAATATGATCCTGTTTGCATTTTAGAAACATTCCTCTAATGTTGCATTGCTGAAGAATACCACTGTTCATCTATTGTAGTGGTTATCTATTACTGTGTAAAAAACTACCACAAAGGAATGGCTTAGTTAAAATAACACACATTTATTATCTCACAGTTTCTGTGGGTCAGGAATTTGGCGTGTCTTTGCTTGATGGTCTGCTTCAGGATCTGCATTTGAAGTGCATCTGGCACTGCAGCCTCACTTCAGGGGTTGAGTAGGGAATGATCCAGTTCTAAGCCCATGTGGTTGTTGACAGCATTCAGTTCCTTGCAGAATGTGAAACTGTGGACGTAAGTTTCTTGCTAGCTGTTGACTGACGGCCTCCCTCAGTTCCTTGCCATGTGACTTCCTCAAAAGGGCAGCTCACAACATTGCAGCCTGCTTCTTCACAGCTAGAGGAGGAAATAGTCTTCTGGCAAGATGGGTATTACCCGCACTTCTGATACCAACAGCAATTTCAGGAGATTCCTAGAACCACTCTTATTACATTTGATAATTCCCTAGAAGAACTCTCAGAACTCACTGAAGACCATTATACTCATGATTATGGTTTATATAGAAAAAGGATACACCCTAAAATCAGCCAAAGGGGGAGATGCGTAGGGGCAGTGTCTAGAAGGCTCCAGACTTGAAACTTCCATTGTTCTCTGGATGCATTGCCTTACGTTGATATGTGGCAGTGTATGTGGGGTATTGCCAACCAGGCAAGCTTATTCTCAGTGTTCAGAGTTTTTATTGGGGCTTTATTAATAGGTTTGATTGATTGATTGATTGAATTCAGCCTCCTGGTCCACTGATACTACATAACCCAAATCCCTTATCCTACATCACGTGGTTGGTCTTCCTGGCATAGCCACCTCTACCTCAAGACTATCAGGTGTGGCTGATCTCACCCTAAACAAAAACACTCCTATCAGAAATAACATAGATCACCTCTCAGAAGCCAAGGCAAAGCCCAGACCTCTCTTTAGGCAAAGCCAAAATCTTTACTACACAGTACTCAATATAAAATGCTTGAAACTGAGGTGATTTTCTATTCCAGAAAGAATTGAATGCTGATAGAAAGCTATTTAGCTTTTACTCTACAGGAGTAAAAGATGAAAGCTGTCTCATGCTCAAGAGCAGGCATTGTATCCAAAGATGAAAGAGTCTTCTTTGTGGAATTCTTTTTATGAAGGCAAGGTCTTGCTCTGTCACCCAAGCTGGAGTGCAGTGGCACGATCATGACTCTCTGCAGCCTCAACTTTGTGGGCCCAAATGATCCTCCCACTTCAACCTTCTGAGTAGCTGGGACTACAGGCATGCACCACCATGCCTGGCTAATTAAAAAAATTAAAAGAATTGTAGAGACGGGGTCCTCTTATGTTACCCAGGCTGGTCTCGAACTTTTGACCTAAAGTGATCCACCTTGGCCTCTGTGGAGTTCTTTTAGGTGACCCTATTGTATTATCTTTGGTGCCTTATAGGGGTTTTATTTCCTCAAAAGTGTACCATTTGTCTGTTGGCAACCAAAAAAATGTGTTGAATGGAATGGAATTTTGGAAACAAGAGCTTCCAGGGAAAAAGTATTTTTGGGGAGTGGCTTAATTCTGATAGAGACCATATGACCTCCAAGTGGATTAGCTTTCAATGAATGCTACAAACCAGAAGAGTCTTTCCCCCATCTTCATCTTCATTCTCTAACTTTGTAGGAAATAGTTTGGTTTAGGAGTCAAAACACCTGAGTTCTAGTTTTTGTTTGTTTGTTTGTTTTTGAGACGGAGTCTTGCTCTGTCTCCAGGCTGGAGTGCAGTGGTGCGATCTCAGCTCACTGCAACCTCCGCCTCCCGGGTTTAAGCAATTCTTCTGCCTCAGCCTCCTGAGTAGCTGGGACTACAGGCATGCGCCACCACGCCCAGCTAATTTTTATGTTGTCAGTAGAGACAGGGTTTCACCATGTTAGCCAGGATGGTCTCGATCTCTTGATCTCGTGATTTGCCCGCCTCGGCCTCCCAAAGTACTGGGATTACAGGTGTGAGCCATTGCACCCAGCTGAGTTCTAGTTTTGATTCTTCATGAACCTTCCCCTGACCTTGGCAAGTTCTTTAACGTTTTGGGCCACAGTTTTTTTATCGATTGAACTTTTATCGATTGAATCGGGTTACTACAGAGTTCCTCAGCCTCTGCACTACTGACATTTTGGACCTGATAATTCTCTGTTGTGGGGGCTGTCCTGTGTGCACTTTAGGATGTTTAGCAGCACCTCTGCCTTCTACCCACTAGATGCTAGTAGTTGCACCCCACCCCCACCCCTACTTTGTGATGACCAAAAATGTCTCCAGACATTGCCAGCTGTCCACTGATGGGTGGGGGTTGGGGAAGCAAAATCATTCGTATTGATAACTGCTGAGTTACTAGATACACATAGACCCTTTTTAATCCAGCATTCTGGATTTTGTGGAAAGTCTGTGGTTTGGATCTCCGTCTTAAATCTCATACTTATGCTTGAAGCCTAATTGTTTGTTCAAACAAGAAATATGAGAACCCATGTATTTTACTTCCCAGACTAAAGGGTAAAATTTATATGGAGAGAATTATGACTCAATGTAAGGAAGAGCTCATGGTAAAATTGTATTTTATTTGTTAATTTAGTTTTTCTCAGTAGTACATAAATCTCTGTATAGTGAATTCATAACCTAAACAAGTAAAGTGATGCAAGATGTGTCCATGATGTTATGATATTTACACCTAGGCAGATTTATAACTTGGAATAGTTATATCAATTTAGGAAATTGGAACATATAAGAAACTTCAGATGTGTAGCCATTATGATTTAATTTTGTTTCCAGCTGCTCTTATGCTTTATTTCCAAGATGTAGAAGAAATGGATTTAGAATCAGGAAACCAGGGTTTTAGGTCTAGCCATCCTTGGGGACATATGAATTCTTAAAACAGAAAAATTATGTAGAACAGACAAGGTTTATTTCTTCTATTTTCTTTTTTACATCATGGAGCTGATTAAGTGTGTTATATAATATGCATACATCTGTATTTTACTTTAGTGCTCCCAAGCTTGAGAAATCGAGTGAAAATGTGTAGTGTTTCAGGTAATTCTTAAACACTGGCTAAACATTCTCAACCAGTATTATTGTGAACAAATTTATGAAGTATCCTTCTTAAAATTTCCTTTCTAAAAGTTAAATGTGTGTTCGTTATGCATTTATATTTGTTAATTAAATGGGTTTATGGTGCAACTTGGACTTATTTGTTAATAGTTACAGTTTAACCTATTAGCTAACATAACTAAATACTTGGTAGTATAATGAGAAAAATAATAAATGAATTTTCACATTTTTATTTCCTGCTATAAATATCAAATTAACTGGTTTAGTCTGTAGCTCCGATAGGTAACTGTGCAGTCTTGATGTACTATTTGAAGAAAATACTTTATTCTTCATCGTCTCCCAGGGAATGCATTGAGGTTTTTCTTTGTTTTGTTTTGTTTTTTGTTTGTTTGCTTGTTTTGAGACGGAGTCTTGCTCAGTCACCCAGGCTGGAGCTCAGTGGTTCAATCTCGGCTCACTGCAACCTCTGCCTCCTGGGTTCAAGCAACTCTCCTGCTTCAGCCTCCCAAGTAGCTGGGACTTCAGGTGCGTACCACCGCGCCTGGCTAATTTTTTGTGTTTTTAGTAGAGACAGGGTTTCACCATGTTAGCCAGGGTGGTCTCAATCTCCTGACCTCATGATCTACCCACCTCGGCCTCCTGAAGTGCTGGGATTACAGGCGTGAGCCACCGTGCCCAGCCTCATTGTTTTGTTTTTAATGAGAAGTACTTAAGCAGGTTTGAGTTAAGGCATTTTCAAGTACCAAAAAATGATTGTTAATCTGTCTCCTCCTTGGGCCCTGAGCTAGAGGACGTGGGATGCATTTACTTATATGCACTTTTAGAGGGAGGAGCCAGAGCAGAGTTGAACTGTTCTTGCTAATAAACAGGAGGAGGTTGACCACACTCTGGGGCAGGGAAGCCAGCAACTGAGTGCCTTGTGAGGGGGTGGAGGGAACCCTGCCATCCTCACCCTGGTGGGCCATCCAGATGGTGCTTTGAAAAGCTGCAGTGTCCAATAGTGGTTGTGAACTTGTGAGATATATGATTTAAGCACCCTAATGAAACCCTTAGTAGTCTCTCTTGTCCACTATCTTTTGTATGAGTAAAATGTTGGAAGGAACCCAAAGAGATGCTTACTCTGTTTTGTGTGCCAGGAAAAACAGTGTGAGCACCCAGGAGTGTGCAGCATCTGGATCTGTGGGCTGCTGGGCCAGATGTGCTACAGTGAGCCTTACTGTTTACTTGATACCTCCAACTCATGTGCACTTTATGTGCTTTATTATACCAATTATTTATCTTTATCCTTATGACAACCATATGGAAACCATCTTTTTTAAAAAACAAAGAAAGAGACACTTAAACTAAATAACTCACTCAAAGTCACCTAGCTTAAAAGTGTCATGTCAGGCTTTATACCCACATAGCTCTTATATCAGATTCCTTTTTTTTTCCTTTTGAGACAGAGTCTCGCTCTGTCTCCCAGGCTGGAGTGCAGTGGTGCAATCTCGGCTCACTGCAAGCTCTGCCTCCCCAGTTCACACCTCTCCTGCCTCAGCCTCCTGAGTATCTGGGACTACAGGCGCCTGCCACCACGCCCAGCTACTTTTTTGTATTTTTAGTAGAGACGGGGTTTCACTGTGTTAGCCAGGATGGTCTCAGTCTCCTGACCTCGTGATCTGCCCTCCTCGGCCTCCCAAAGTGCTGGGATTACAGATGTGAGACACCACACCCAGCCAGATTCCTTGTTTTGAATTGCTAAATTTGTTTTTGTTTTTTGAAACAGGATCTCACTCTGACACCCAGGCTGGTGTGCAGTGGCATGATGTCATTTCACTGCAATGTCCACTTGCTAGGCTCAGATGATCCTCCCACCTCATCCTCCCAAGTAGCTGGGACTACAGGCATGCACCACCATGCCCGGTTACTTTTTCTATTTTTAGTGGAGATGGAGTTTCACCATGTTGCCCAGGCTGGTCTAGAACTCCTGGGCTCAAAGGATCAGCCCACCTCAGCCTCCCAAAGTGCTGGTATTACAGGTGTAATCCACCATGCCAGGCCAGAATTGCTAAATTTGAATTGCAATTTTATTATTTGCTAAGGCTGTTCTTTGAGAATTAAAATGTATTTTCTTTTATTCATTTAGGAGGAGATACAAATTGAAACTCCAGAGCTCTGAAAAAGGAAGGGTTTTCAATCTCTTAAACTGTGCAAGAAGTGAAACAAGTAATTACCATGTCTTTATATTAACCCCAGTCAGGAGCTTGTTCTCTCTACTTTTGCCAGTCAGTTCCTGCCACACATTAACTTTTTCCTGGGAGCCTTCAACTACTCCTCCAGGTCCTCACCAGATGTGAAAGTTATGGTATCTGTGCTTATACAGTTTTTCATAGTCACTGCCGCTTTAGCATTTTATTTCTTCCTTGTGTTAGAGTGAGTTGTTTGATCTTCTCTTTATTAAATTCTTCAAATAACTGTTTTATTGAGATAAGTCACATTCAATACAATTCATCTTTTTAAAGTATATAATTTAATTAATGAATTAATTAATTAATTAATTTATTTATTTTTAGAGACGGGGTCTCACTCTATTGCCAGGGTGGAGTGCAGAAGCATGATCATGGCTCACTGCAACCTTGGTCTCCGGGGCTCAAGCAATCTTTCTGCTTCAGCCTCTTGAATAGCTAAGACTGCAGGCATGCACCACCATGCCTGGCTAATTTTTAATTTTTTTGTAGAGACAGGGTTTCACTGTGTTGCCTAGGCCAGTCTTGAACTTCTGGCCTCAAGCAATTCTCCCACCTTGGTCTTCCAGAGCACTAGGATTACAGATATGAGCCACTGCACCCAGCCTAAAGTATACAATTTAATAGTACTTAGTGTTTTTGCATTTGTACAACCATCACCACAGTCAATTTTGGAACATTTTCATTACTCCAAAAAAGAAACCATATACCCATTAGCAGTTACTTCTCACTTTCCCCATTCCCATGATCCCCAGCTCTAGGCAACCAATAGTCTTTGTCTCCATAGATTTCCCAGTTCTGGACATTTCATAAAGATGGAATCATACAATTTGTGTCTTTTTACGACTGACTTCTTTCACTGAGCATAATGTTTTCAAGGTTATCCATGTTGTAGCATATGTCAGTGCTTCGTTACTTTTTATTGCTGAATAATATTCCACTGTATGGATATATCACATTTTGTGTATCCATTGATGGACATTTGCGTGGTTTCTACCTTTGGATATGGCTGAATAATATTCCATGAAATGGATATACCACATTTTGTTTATCCATTGATGGACATGTGGGTGATTTCTACCTTGTGGATAATGCTGCTGTGGACATTTATATGCAAATTTTGGTGTGAACATGTGTGTTCAGTTCTATTGGGTATATAGTTAGGAATGGAATCGCTGGGTTATATGTAACTAAGCTTTTTTTTTTTTTTTTTTTTTTTTTTGATATGGACTTTTGCTCTTGTTGCCCAGGCTGGAGTGCAATGGCATGGTCTTGGCTCACCGCAACTTCTGCCTCTTGGGTTTAGGCAATTCTCCTGCCTCAGCCTCGCAAGTAGCCGGGATTACAGGCATGTGCCACCATGCCTGGCTAATTATTTTGTATTTTTAGTAGAGATGGGGTTTCTCCATGTTGGTCAGGCTGGTCTCAAACTCCCGACCCCAGGTGATCCACCTAACTCGGCCTTCCAAAGTGCTGGGATTACAGGTGTGAGCTAATGCGCCCGACTATATGTAACTAACTTTTTAAGGAACTTCCATACTGCTTTTCTAAGCAGCTGCAGTATTTACACTCCTTCCAAAGGTGTATGAAGGCTCCAATTTTTCCACATCTTGCCAACACTTGTTATTTGTCTGCCTTTTGATTTCAGCTATCCTAGTGAGCACATAGTAATATCTCATTTATTTGCATTTCCCTAATGGCTCATAAATTTTAAATTGCTCTAGGTTAGGAATTGTCTTATCTTTGTTTTCTAAAACACCTATAGTATTTTCCACGTATTAACTCTTAATGTTTGAATTTATATCCTGTATTTAAAAATTGCAAGAAAAGGGAGGTGGGCCTTAAGATTTTTTTTTTAACCTCTGTTGAAAATGTGCTTTGCCCATATTGTGGCATCATAGTTGCACATTGTACTTTGTTTATTGATCCCTTATTGCCAAGCCCTATATAAGAAAGGACTTGATGAATGTTGATTAGACGAATGAATGGAGTTTTCTTCATATTCATCCTGGATTCTTGAGGTTGTCCCTGGGAACAGGTGGGCGTTCTGGTTCTGATAATGCTAATAATTCCTCAAAGATGTAAAGAGCATTAAAGACTTCACTTTAAACTGGTATTTCCAGAAAAAAAGACTTGCAAGCTTGAAAACTATTTCTGAAGTATAGTTTGACTTGTCTGTCTGTTGCATATTGTCAGAATTGTTATCATTTGTATAGGCAGCCCTAGATTGGTATTTGTCCCTTATCTGAGAAATTCTATGAAACATTAGCATGGTATATCAAGAGAGTTCATCACAGCAGTTAGATAATCATCATTGTAAGGCACACTTACAATACTTAAAAATAATACATTAACGAAAAAGTGATTTTTAAGGTTTTAAAGAAGATGTTAAAACCTGTCATTCAAATTATAAAGGAACTGTATTCAATTTTAGCTTATGTAGATATTGGCTGATAAGCATAAAGTGTTTAGTATTATCTTTAGAACTTTATTTTGCCAACACTAATTTAATCTTGCAAACAAAGCAGTTATTTCTTTGCAAATCATTTTGTAACAAAGAGGCCTTTCTATGGTTGTATTTTTACAAAAACATTTATCCCAGTTAAAATGGAACACAATAACATTGTTTAGGATAGTTGCTGAAATCTGCTAAAATACAAATTGCAATGAGATAGTTTGGTGTTTTTTAGTTGTCCAAATACAGCTTTATAATTTTGTTGTTTTGGTATTCTGAGGCAAAAAGATTAGTTAATTTTGTGAATCTGTATGCCTTGGGTCCTTAGTACCTGGATGGCCTCTTACAAATCAAAAATATCATTCTATGTGCTATGTGGTGAGCTAGGGGGATGGATGTCATAATGGTGAGATCACAAATACCAGTGTGAAAGCTTTCCTGAAGAAGAGGTCAGAGAAAATGGTCTATTCCTTAAATGAATGCTTGTTACATTAATATACCTTCCTGTCATTTAAATATTGTCCTCAGAGTGATCAAAAAGGTCATGGCCTGTGGGTCTTTACTGCTAATGCTACTTCCTTCCTCATTTTTAGAAAAATTACTGTTAATAGAAATGATACACTCACTTTCTTTAACATGATATTTCTATATTTAAAAAGAGCATAAGAAACCATTAACGTTTAATTTATGATTCCCACTTGTCATTCTAATTTATATTTTTAAAGATTTACATTATTTTGAGTAAGTTCTAATCCTATGAAATGATGCAGATGTCACCAACAACTTAAATTCAATTCTGATCTTATACTAATACATAATTCTAAATATATTACTTTGAGTAATACATGTTTACTTAGATTTACTATATTAAGTATAGGTTTTGTGAAGTCGTAAGTGTATACCTATATAGTTTCTTGCTATTCTTGATTTTCATAATAATGAAGGTCAAAGTGCCCTTCTGCTCCTTCTTGTTCTGGGCTCTCATGAGCATTGTCAGGATCATCGTGATCTTCACTTTCATCATCATCATCTGGAAATCTCCTGAAAACTTGTGTCTTTAGTTGTATTGTTTGACCATTAGTGCTTCGTTGTTCACCATAATAAATAGTGTGTATATGAGGGAAGCAGAAGAAGATGTATGAGCTTATTGGTTCTTTTAGTTTATTTTGGTCCACACGAATGTATGTTAAATGGTGGTAATGTAGTGGGTCAATAGAAGGACACATCACTGTAAGATTCATCTCTGAAAGAAATAAATTAAAAATTAATCTTGTATTATAGTATAATCCATAGTTATAGCCATAATTCTATGTTAGATTTTATATTGTATGGGATATAATTCTGTTAATTAAAATATTTATAAATTGAATTAGGTTTCCTTTTTATATTAATCAAATAATAAAAAGAAAATTAAATTATGAGTTTTATATTAACAAAATATATATGGCTTCATTGGCTTTTCTGATTAATAAATTCCTAGTAGAACAATCTCAAAAAAAAATTATCTACAATCCCACTACTTAGGATACTCATATTTCTTCATGTACTCTATTATTTCTCTCTTTTATATATATACATATATAAAACTGACAATTTATACATATATATAAAAAAATATATATATATAAAATTATATATTTCTTCTTTTTTTCTTTTTTTTTTTCCTGTTGCAAGGAGAAAAGGAAACATTGTGGAGAAAGTGAGTAAACTCAGAATACGCTCTGTATAAATTGTCAGTTATATATATATGTATAAATTATCAGTTATATATATAAAAGAGAATATATATTTTTTATATATAAATAAATATATTATATATGTGTGTATATATATATATTTATTTATTTATTTATTTATTTATTTATTTTATTTTTTTTTTTTTTAAGACAGAGTTTTGCTCTGTCATCCAGGCCAGAAAGCAGTGGCATGATCTCAGCTCACTGCAACCTCCGATTCCTGGGTTCAAGCAACTCTCATGCCTCGGCCTCTTAAGTAGCTGGGAGTACAGGCACATGCCACCATGCCTGGCTAATTTTTCTATTTTTGGTAGAGATGGGACTTCACTATATTGACCAGGCTGATCTCGAACTCCTGGCCTCAAGTGATCCACCCCACCCGCCTTAGCCTCCCAAAGTGCTCTGATTACAGGCATGAGCCACCACGCCCAGCCTATTTCTCAATATTTAAGGCAATAAAATTTAATAAAAAGGACTATAAACTGAATAGCACACATTTCTCTGGGGCAGATTTCTGCCATTCCCTTAAGCAACTTCAAAACAACTATTTTCAGCAATGTCTAAAGCATAGCTTATTGAATATTTTTTTCTTTAAAAGATCAGGATTCCATTCTTTCTCTCTTCAAAACACAATAAAAGTCTACATACTTTCTATTTCATTATTTTGTAGGTATAGGTGTTCCAAATTTCTTGGAATATAGAATGCTTGCTTCAATTTGTTGTGTCCAACACTGAGTTCTACAATGTTGGGAAGATTAAAAATATTATATGGGATGTCTTGTAGTTTGTTGTGTGACATTCTTAGAGTATGAAGTTTTGGAAGTTTGTCGAAGTATTTTTCGGGTATAGAAGAAATTGAATTATTTTCTAAAGACAGATACATAAGTGAAGAAGGCAAACCAGGAGGCATTGATTCTAATCTGTTACTGCAGAGGTTGAGCTGCATTAGTTTTTCCATTTTGGCAAAGATTTTGTCTTTTAGCAGAGAATCATGAAGATAATTATAACAGAGATCAAGCATGGTCAAGTTTACTAGCCCATCCATAGCATTTGTCTGCAGTTTGGAGATTTCATTGTAACCAAGAAGGAGTCTTTCCAGAGATTTAGGAAGAGGAAATGGAAATTCTTCTAAATTATTATGCTCTAGATGAAGTTGTAGTAGATTTGGAAGCTTAGCAAACACACCATAATCAATCTTTTGAGATTTAATTTTGTTGTGGCTGAGGTTAATTTCTTTAAGATGAGTTGCATTGATGAATGAATTTGCAGTCACAGCCTCAATTTCATTGAACTGAAGGTAGAGTTGCTGAATGTGCATCGGAATATTTGGGATAGTCTTGAGTTTGCGATTATCACAGTACATTGATGATGGAAAGTTAGTTGGACAGAAGCATTCACTGACACAGCCTAAAGTATACTGATGAAAAGGAACTCCGTAGTCTACATTTTGACGAAATGGGAATCCTGTTTGGTAATCATCATCTGGCTCTTGGTCATAGTCTTCATCCCACTGATAAGTTTCATATTGGCAATGTACTTTGACTCCAAAAAAGAAGAAAATAACATATATTGGACTTAAAAAACCCATCTTCTTTTTTTTTTTCCTATTGCAAGGAGAAAAGGAAACATTGTGGAGAAAGTGAGTAAACTCAGAATACGCTTTGTATAAATTCTCAGTTATATGAAATGTATTATACCTATGTCTATATATAAAAGAATATCCAGAAAGAATGGGCAGTGCTCAAACCAAAATTTTTTTCTTTTTTTGTGACAGTGTCTCCTCTGTCACCCAGGCTGGAGTGCAGTGGCACAATCTCGGCTCACTGCAACTTCTGCCTCCCAGGCTCCCAGGTTCAAGCAATTCTCATGCCTCAGCCTCCCAAGTAGCTGGGACTACAGGTGCATGCCACTATGCCCAGCTTATTTTTGTATTTTTTAGTAGAGACAAGGTTTCGTTGTGTTGCCCAAGCTGGTCTCAAACTCCTGACCTCAAGGGATCCTCTGGCCTCGGCCTCCCAAAGTGCTGGGATTACAGGTGTGAGCCACCACGCCTGGCCTCAAACCAAAATTAATGTTTAAGTACAAATGAAGTGAGTTTTTTTTCTTTTTTCTTTTTCTTTTTCTTTTTATTTTTGAGATGGAGTCTTGCCTTGTCACCCAGGGTGGAGTGTAGTGGTGCAGGCTTGGCTCACTGCAGCCTCCACCTCCCCGGTTCAAGTGATTCTCCTGCCTCAGCCTCCCAAGTATCTGGGACTACAGGCGCGTGCCACCACGCTTGGCTAATTTTTGTATTGTTAGTAGAGACGGGGTTTCTCCATCTTGGCCAGGCTGGTCTCTAACTCCTGACCTCAGGTGATCCACCCACCTCAGCCTCTCAAAGTGCTGGGATTACAGGCGTGAGCCACTGCGCCTGGCCGAGATTTTTTTTTTTTTTAAGTCACATATTACACTGAACTTGAGTCAAAAGTCTGGTATACTAGACTTTCTACTAAGTAACCATCTTTTAAGAGTCCCAGTTTCTCTTGCTTACTAGGGTATAGATCTATGATAATAGCATGACATCAGTCAACTACAGTCTGATCCCTCCACTGTAAATGCTGTGTGTTCTTTGGAATTACCTGATCCTTTAATGATGGTCACTGCCTGGGGGAGGAAAGACCTTTATTTTAGTTAGAGAGCTTTTGCCTGGGAGATTCTACAACTTCTATTTGCTGATACCTTTTTCTGCCCTTCAGAAGAACGTGAAATGCTCCCTTTTGTGTGATAACTTCAGATATTTAGAAATAGTATTCATGTTTCCTTTTAATATTTTCTGTCCAAAACTAACAGCACCATCAAATTTTCCTCATGAAACAGTTTCCAGAATCCAATTATTTAGTCTCCGACTCTGCTTGAATAACTACTTTAAATCCTAAAGACATACAGTGTTTACATTCTACAAAGTTCAAGTGTCTTTACATTTTTCTTCCTAGCTTCCTTTTTTCCATTAATATATTTAAGTTTTAGATACAAAAATATTATTAAAAACACACTGTCCTTGTCTCCCAGGTGTTTAAAGTCTTGTGGAGAATCAAATACACGTGCAGTAGAATGCAGGAGGAGGATATTGTGTGGAAAAGAATTGCAAAAGGGCACACTTCACAATGAACACTCAGTGCTGAAACTTGAAGTTCTAGGGAAGGGTCAATTATGTCCCAGATGAGAAGCCTGAAACCTATATTTCATTTCTGTCACTTAACATATCTGCCTCTTGCCTCATCAATAAAATAAGAATTGCAATTATAGCTGAATTATACCTTGGCTGCTTATCTTGTATGTTGCCTTGTGTCTTTTTTTTTTTTTTTTTTTGAGATGGAGTCTTGCTCTGTTGCCCAGACTGGAGTGCAGTGGTGCGATCTCGGCTCACTGCAGCCACCACCTCCTGGGTTTAAGCAATTCTCCTGCCTCAGCCTCCCCAGTAGCTGGGATTACAGGTGCACTCCACCACACCCGGCTAATTTTTGTATTTTTAGTAGAGATGGAGTTTCACCATGTTGACCAGGCTGCTCTCGAACTCCTGACCTCATGATCCACCCACCTTGGGCTCCCAAAGTGCTGGGATTACGGGCGTGAGCCACTGCATCCAGCCTCCTTGTGTCATATCTTGCCTGCTTATCCGCCTGGTCGTTGTTAGCATTGTATGAGCTATGCATGTACAAGTACTTTGCACGTTGAAAACTGCTATCCAGATGAAATGAATGTATCATTTAGGAAAAAGGTTTTAAAAAATCCTACCTCTTTTATTCTGAGACCTTTCTACTTTTCCCACCCAGGGTTTCATGAGAGAATGAGTTTCCAAACAAATCATTGCATATAATGAAATGACTTATCTCCTGTTCATGTAGAATGGTTCTAGCTATTTTTCATCATTGGTATAATTGAGAGAATAGTTACTTAAGTTATTTTCTTTGACAGAACCCCATTTGAGAAAGGTTAAGAAACATCTCAATTTCTTCTTCTTTTCTTGTCAGAAATTATAAATGTAACTATTGTGTGTATTTGGAATTTGAAGTAGTTATTCAGGTAGAGTCAGAGACCCTTGAGCTCTCTTCCTGCAGTGATACTTTCCTTCATTCTTCCTCACCATTTGCTCCCATGCACCCGCATCCTGGGTTTTGTCTTTTCTATTACTGGAACCCTTCATACTCTTCATTTTGAGTATTCCGCACTCAGACCACTATCTCTATGTAGTAACTCCAGCTGCAATAATTCTCCAATTTCCGTGGAACCTCAGCTATATTGATTCTACTGTTTTTCACTGTCCCTCATCCATACCTCCCAACATTGTCAGTTCCTTCTTACCAACTTAGACCCCATAGTTGATCACTATCGTTGCTCTTTTGCACATGCCCTAAACTTTCTGGCTCCTTCAATCTGCCAAACTCCAACTCTGGTTACTCCAATTCTCTACCTACTCACAGCCTGACTGTCACAGCTGAATGTAACTAAAGAAAAACAGGAGCATGGTGACTGGTCTCACTCTCGATTCAAGACCACTAACCTCAAGTGCTGTCCTGCTGCATTTCCTTAGACCATCCTCCTTCCCTCTCTTCTACGCTACTGTTTTGTAACTTTCCTCTCTGAAGCCTCTAATACCTTATTCCCCATTATTGTTTTTGGGTGATGACCTTGCTTCTTTTTTTTAAGTCAAGAAAATAGGATCAAGATATCATTTATTTCTATTTTCTTATATGTATCCCTACCTACAAGAAAATGCCAAAATAGCAATGGTTTGGGTTTTGTTTTTGTTTTTTTTTTAACAATATGTGCTTTTGAAATTCATGATGTTTCTTTGTGCAACTCTATATTACATCCATTTTTCTTTCTTTTCTGTGAGATTCGTGGAAGATGTGGCATTTGACCTAGACTTTGAAGGAGTGTTGAGGTTCTCATAGAGGGAAGTGAGGAAGAAGATCTCTGGCTAGAAGAGATGAGCAAAAACATAGAAGCAACAGATGGTGATGTGTTTGGGAAATGTGGTTGGTTAACTCTTGAAGGAGCAAAATAAGACTATTAAATCCAGATCTGAAGGGATTAGCCTAACTTTTTTTTTCTGAGACAGTCTCACTCTGTCACCCAGGCTGGAGCGCAGTGGTGCACTCTTGGCTCACCCTCCATCTCCTGGGCTCAAGTGACTCTCTTACTTCAGCCTCCTGAGTAGCTGGGATTACAGATGCGTGCCACCACACCTGGCTAATTTTTTAATTTTTTGTAAAGACAGGGTTTTGCCATGTTGCTCAGGCTGGTCATGAACTTCTGGGCTCAACCAGTCTGCCCCCCTCAGCCTCCCAAAGTGCTGGGATTACAGGCATGAGCCACCACCCCCGGCCTTGGAGGGCCTAAATTCTGACCTGAGGAATTTGCACTCTGGGAATGAATGCCTAATTTAATGAATTAACATATTTGGGCTGTGATTTCACACTACAGTCAGTGTTCGTGGGTGAAAAAGTAGAGAATCTTGGAAGGAGGTAGATTTAAGGAGTTATGGTATCATACCAAAGGGCAGTGTTCAGAGCAGGCTCTCCTTGCTGGGCTGGAAGCTCCCAGTGGGTCTGCTTGGAAATGCTTATTCACCTAGTGTACTCTACTACTTTACTGTATGTAAACATGCTTAGTGAAGCACTTTACAAATATTAGTAGTTAGTTTGATTGGGTTACATCAGTTTACCGTTGTCCTGAATTATTTCTAGTGATGAGGCACTATGCTAAGTTGGTGGAGAATACAGAAATGAAGAAGACGTGAAGCCATAGTCCCTTCTGTAAAGAGCAAACAGCTTAGTGGAGGAGAGAGATACAACAAAGTGAACCCTAATCTAAGGCAGAGGGTAATATCCTTTATAGCAGAGATAGGCAATGCTGTGGGGCCAGTGGCTTACCTCAGCCTTACGGAGACAGGAAAGTCTTTTGTAGACATCATTTGACCCAGACTTTGGGAGATTAATAGGAATGGATATAGAATATTCTATACATTTTATACTCATTGATGATATTTTATGTATAATTTTATAATATTTTATTGTACTTATTATAGTATAACATATTAACTTTTTTTTTTTTGGAGACAAGAGTCTCGTGCTGTCACCCAGGCTGGAGTGCAGTGGCACAATCTCGGCTCACTGCAACCTCCGCCTCCCAGGCTCAAGTGATTCTTGTGCCTCAGCCTCCTGAGTAGCTGGGATTACAGGCGTGCACCACCACGACTGGCTACATTTTTTTGTATTTTTAGTTAAGACGGGATTTTGCCATGTTGGCCAGCCTGGTCTCGAACTCCTGACCTCAGGTGATCCGCCCACCTCAGCCTCCCAAAGTGCTGAGATTACAGGTGTGAGCCACCTGCCTGGCTGAAAACTCAGCTTGAATTTTATCCCTTTGTTGAGAACATTAGCTAATCATCAGTTATCAACCTTACATTTGAGAATTAGAGTCTGTTGTTCAACAACTATGAAAAATTGTTGGGAAAAAAGAAGAAGGCCTTGAATCAAGACATGACTGGGGCGTCTCTGAAAATAAAGAGGTTTTTAATATTGTCTGCTTTCCGCCTTTGTGAGCACCTAAGAAGAAAGTCTTTCCTTGAGGAACAATTTCTCTTCTAAACCTGAACTTATCTTAAACATCCTTGTCCTCCTCCCTCCACGTTCCTAACCATGTAGTACAATCTTGTCCCACTCCCTTTGATTAAGTGCAGTTTTCTGTTTTGAAATCCATCCTGTTTTCATCTATATGCTCATTATTTTCTATGCCTCTTGCTCTTTCCCCAGGATAATTTCCCCTGTTACAACAATCTCTTATTTTATCCAAATTTTTCATTCCCCAACTAATCTCTTCTGAGTCATTTGCTAAGCATATTTTTGTTACTTCTGCTTTTCATACTCTACAATGTATGCCTTGTTCTCTATAGGATAACTCACAGCAATATTGTATAATTCATTGTTGATCATCTCATTTCCTAATATCTTTTAACAGAATCTAATACAATGCAGTGTTATAAGTGCTCAAAGGTGTGTTGAATGAATAAGTTAATAAGTTATAGGTTAAGGCTTGCTAGCAAATGCTTCTCTCTACTAATGTTGATTATTCCTAGGCATTTATTTCACTATGATAATTTCTTCAAATGAACATATTCATGAGAGCTTGACTGTTCCTTTTTCTATTGAATATTTCTTCATCACAATATACTGTATTCCTCACTTTCCTAGTACATCGTGTAGCAGGAAAAGAACAAATGTGAAAAAGAATGTTTGGAGCAAAGTAATATATATATATTACCAGTTTTCAATGTGAATTTTTCATATTATAGCAATAAAACCATCTGTGTCATAATATTTCTCTTACTTGGAGAAAAGCACTCGTGTTCATCAAGAAAAGTTTCAATTGAAATTACTAATGAGGTATAATTTACTTGTTCAGGAAAAGTTTAAAGTAAAATCCTCAACATTTTATTATGTTAAAGACATAATTGTTTTTATTTGTATGACATAGAAACTAGCATATAAGAAAGCAAATATTAGCATATAATTTAGATTTTTCCAAAAAAGTTCTAAATTTTAATTTTATAAAATTTTTTTGCTATTAAAAATACAATTACCTCAATTATTTTTAGCCATAATACATTTAAATCGTAATTAACTAAAACCCAAAGTAACTAGATCCTTCAATAGACTAGATAGAGCATCTGTATTTTCCCTTTGAGAAAGAAGTAAATGAAAAGAAAAACATTCTATATCAGGGATTTAGTCAGTAGAGAAATTTGGAGAAAATCTTGAGTGAAATTTGTACAAATGCCCATCAACCCCCCAACCGGAATCACTAGCATTGCTCAGCTGTATGCCTCAAAGGCATTAGCTGGTTCTTTGTTACTTATAATTCATAGAAAAAAAGAGACCTAAGGAAGAGAAAGAGATTGATTCCTTTAACCTGAGAATCTTTCCTTTCATTCAAAGTAAAAAAAAATCTAAACAAAGATTTTTTATTGGGTAAATCTTAAATGAGAAAGTTAAACTCATTATACTACTTTATTTGAACATTTTGCCTAATCAAAAGTTTAACATAACTTTTTTACCAGATTTTGCTTCCAAAAATTGTGCTTTTGTAATAGATGCAGTCTATTTTAATATTAAAAAATCCAATATACTTTTAAATTTTAACAGTAGGAATACATTCTTAAAAAATTGAAAATTATTTTATTATCATACCTGTTCAATTTGCTTTAGTTTTCAGGGGTTGATGAATTTGTAAATCCTTTAAATGAATCAGAAATTCCTAAATTCTTTAACTGAGTCTCTTAAAAATCCACAGTAACTCTGTGTCCAGACAGGGCTGTCTCTTGAATTACTGTAGCAATTTAAGCAAATACAATCTTCTTGGAAAACACTCGGGTTGAATTAAAATTATGTATTTCTTTTCATTACATGAAACTTTGTGGATTCAAATTAAGATGCTTGTGTTCTTGGTCAGATTTATGTGGCTTACTTCTTTCTTTTCCCCTTAATTTTGGTTTGAGGTGTGGCAAGAATTTCCTCTAATGTGAAAGGCAAACAAAACTAAATGAAACAGCATGTACTGATTACTGTTTTTATTTTCATTTTCATGCCAAAGAATTCTTCAAATTAAGGCCCACTGTGACAGGGAACTCCAGAGTCTCAGCAACTTAAGGTGGAACTCAAAATTTCTTTTTTAATTTTTTGAGATGGAGTCTTGCTTTGCTGCCCAGGCCAGAGTATAGTGGTGCAACCTCGGCTCACCACAACCTCCACCTCCCGGGTTCAAGCAATTCTCCTGTCTCAGCCTCCCAAGTAGCTGGGATTACAGGCATGAGCCACCATGCCTGGCTAATTTCTTGTATTTTTAGTAGAGATGGGGTTTCACCATGTTGGCCAGGCTGGTCTTGAACTCCTGACCTCAGGTGATCCTCCCGCCTCCACCTCCCAAATTGCTGGGATTACAGGCATGAGCCACCACGCCTGGCCTGGAACTCAAAATTTCTTGAGTCCCTTGGTTATTCAACACCTAGGTTCATATCAGTACTTCTATTTGTTAAAACAAGAAATCAGGATTAGAAACATAACATTTCGCATTGTTTATTTTTAAAATGCACTTGATTGTCATTGCTTACACAGATTAACTATACGACTTTTCTATACAAAGGCTTACATCTTCATTTTTATCATCATTTTTATCAGCTATCTCATTTCTCCTCTTTTTGGCAGATGTACCCACTAGAATGACTTCTAATATCCTTTCAGATAAAATTAGTCAGTTGGTTGCACTCCAAAGGTGTATCTTCAATTTGCCTGTTTTTACTATTGCACAAAATAATTCTGTAGTATTGAATAAAATGGGATGAAAAGCTTATGTTACTCAATAGCTATTGCCTTTATTTTGTAGATTTAGAAAATTTCTTCATTTCATAGAGCTATCTCTCCTGAATAGTAACAGTTAACTGTTTTTAATGTTTAATTTTTACACTGTTCTCATATTCTAAACAGAGAGTTGACTTGTGTCTTTTGGCAGTAGATTCGGAGTTCATTTTGGGGGGGAATTCTTTTAAGCTTTTACAAACTAATAAGATAAAGTGAATCCTGGAGTTCATTTTGTTTCCTCAAAAAAGTGTTTTCCATTAGCTTTTTACAAAGAACTCACAAGATTTATTTTGTTAAACTTTGCATTAAGAAAAGTATACAGTGTTTCAAGTGATGCTTTGGCAGTTGTAAAAATCTAGTCTATTATTTGAGACATTGGTATGAAAAACGTGGCAGACCACACTTTAGCCAAGATTCCATCTTGTTACTGATCTTTTCCATATGTTTTCTGTTAGTGTCTTTGTTCTTAAAACTCAGGCTTTCACTAAGGAAGAGAGAGCAAATCTGTGTACTTTTTCAAAAAATTGTTTTATAGGCCTTCACAGTCCTTTTGGAAGATTAACTGAAAATCAACAGCCTAATGTTTATATAACTTCTCATTAACTCTGTGATTTGGATTTATGATATTGATTATGTTATTCATGTTTTTAACAAGTGTGAAAGAAAAATCAGTAGATAACTAGAGCAGACAGAATAAAAATGTCTAGAAAATTTAAACTGATTGGCAGTGTCTATCTAGGAGGTTTAAGGTGGCAAGGGATGGGGATGGGGGGAGGTGGTGGTAGTTAGAGTCAGGCCTTAAAGGAAAAAATAGGGGATGTGAGTTTGTAATAGTTCACTGTTTTAGTTAAGTGGTTATAATTGTAGCAATTGGGGAGAAAAGGAGTTGAATTGTTGAAAAGTGTAAATTATATGCTATGATTATACTTTGATTGAAATAGATTCAGTATCTCAAAGCTGAGTGACACAGGACTGGCTAGGAAAGGCCCTCCTGAGACCTGCTTAATTAACATAATAAGCATTACAATTTTCTGCTCATTTGTTCCACTTTATTCACTGGACACCTACTTTGTGCAGATTTTAGATGCTTGGGACTCAGCAGTGAAAGTCTCTGTTATAGAGAAGGAAAACAGAAAATAAACATAAATAAGCATAAAATGCAGAATATAAACAATGTAGAGTGCGATGGAAGAGAATAATGCAAGGTAAAGGGATAAAAATGAATGAGGCATGGGGGTACGGGTCAACAGTTCAGGCACCGCTGTATGTGGGGACTGGAATGGAACAATTAAGTTACTGTATGGCAGATGGTGAGAGCCAGGTGTCTCACCGTTGGAGTGGAAGTTACAAATAAATAAGCGAGGTGAGGTGGTGACAGTGATTCATGTGGTAATAGATTAGAGTTGAAGACATCAGTATGAACTCATATTTAGCTTAATATAGATACAGCTGGTTAAAAGGGAAATGTAATTATGTTATATACACATAGTACACACATAGACCTCCTTGCTCTGTTGGCTGAGAGATCCTACAAGCAGGAGCACTTTAAGCAGCAACAAACACAAAGCCCAGATCTTGGTTTCTAACATCATTTTCCAGTAAAAGGAACCAGGGCTGCTCCTTGGAGAAATGGCTGTTTCCAGGAGGACTGGAGCAAGGAAAGTAGGAGATGGGCCTGGAGCATTGTACAGTACCAGAAAAAGGGCACTCAGCAAAGAAAGGGATCTGGGGAGTCTCTGTTCTTCCACTCAGTTTTGCTGTGAACCTAAAACTGCTCTAAAAAATAAAGTCTATTAATCTTTTTTGTTGTTGTTGAGACAGTCTGGCTCTGTCGCCAAGGCTGGAGTGCAATGGCGCCGTCTTGGCTCACTGCAGCCTCCACCTCCTGGGTTCAAGCGATTCTCCTGCCTCAGCCTCCTGACTAGCTGGGATTACAGGTGTGCACCACCACACCCAGCTAATTTTTGTATTTTTAGTAGAGACTGGGTTTCACCATGTTGGCCAGCCTGGTCTTGAACTCCTGACCTCAGGTGATCCGCCCGCCTCAGCCTCCCAAAGTGCTGGGATTACAGGCATGAGCCACCGCAGCTGGCTATTAATCTTTATTATTTATTTAAGTATTTATTTTTGAGATGGAGTTCCACTCTTGTTGCCCAGGCTGGAGTGCAGTGGTGTGATCTTGGCCCACTGTACCCTCTGCCTCCCGGGTTTAAGCAATTCTTCTGCCTCGGCCTCCCAAGTAGCTGGTATTACAGGCATGTGCCACCATGTCTGGCTAATTTTGTATTTTCAGTAGAGTCGGGGGTTTTCCATGTTGGTCAGGCAGGTCTCGAGCTCCTGACCTCAGGCAGTCCACCCGCCTCAGCCTCCCAAAGTGCTGGGATTACAGGCTTGAGCCACCATGCCCTGACTATTAATTAATCTTTGAAAAAGGGCAGGCAGAAACTATTTTAAGTAGTTTAGATATTTAGAACTAAATATGGTGATGGGGCAAGCCAAGTTGGTATCAGAGTGGTGACAGGCCAGCTTGGCTGATGCCTAGTGATCTAGGAGGAGGGAGTAGGTGGTACTCTCACAGGTAGCCAGTGTCAGCAGGGTCAAGGCAGACATATGCCTGGAAGTAACCACCTCTCAGCATTCTAAATGGAATCAAGTTTGTAAGGCAGATAATGACACTTAGCTGATGAACTACTTCTATCAGAAAGGCCACTTGGGCAGCCCTATAGAAACAGTCCAAACATTAATTGCAGTCAGTCTCTTAGTCTATCTGCTCCCAGGGGGCTATGAGGAGCAGAGGCTCCTGAATTCATGGCCCATACTCACAGGCTTTCTTGGCCATCATCATTCACATTTTCTGTAAATGGTGCCCCCATGCCAACCCTGACCACTCTCTTGTGTAAGCCAGAAGTTTGGGAGTCCTTTAAATTAGTACCTTCTCAAGTGTGGCCGGAGGTCCATCATCATCAGAATTACCA
Organism: Homo sapiens; assembly: GCF_000001405.40. Classification (NCBI taxonomy): domain Eukaryota; kingdom Metazoa; phylum Chordata; class Mammalia; order Primates; family Hominidae; genus Homo; species Homo sapiens. The sequence continues at coordinate 263,073 of NW_025791788.1, forward strand.
GAGCTGCTTATTAAAAATTCAGGTTCCAGCATCTTTATACTCAAGATCTACAAAATCAGAACCTCTGAGCATGGGCCCAGGAACTTCCATTTTAAACAAGTGTCCCAGGTCCCACCAAACCTTGAGAACCACTGATGTAAATACTTCTCCCTGACTTTCAAATTGAATCTATTGGTGAATCTTTTGTGTTCTACACCCAAGTATCTTTTTGGTCTGTCTGTGTCTCATACCATGACTGCCATCATCTCAAACCCAGGTGTTCTGGGTAGGGTCTTGACTATGTTCATACATCTCCAAGCAATTTTCTTCTTGTCTGCATAAAAATCAGACTGCACACTGTGTCTACTTAAACTTCCTTGTTTCTGCTTGTTACTTGCTTCTACTTGTTACTTCCAGTGATGCTTTATTTAAAAAAGTAAATTCCAAACATTGATCTTCAAGATTGGGGATGATCTGACCTTGGCCTACTACTTGCCCATTCTTGGAATGTTCAGTTTGCAGCACTGCTGGTTTCTGCGCTGTACCCACACTGGCTTCTTTTTGACCCTCACATTGCCATGTTTCTGTCTCACTATGACCTTTGAAGGAGCTTCTCTGTCTCTTGAGGATGCTAGGCCTCTGTACCTCTCAATCTTGTTGTTAGCTAACTCTTATCTTTAAGACATCAGCTTATTCCAGTTGCAATTAATTATGAATGTAATTATTTGTCTGCTTTCTCCTTTCTGATAAGACTCTTTTATGAGCTACCATGTCCCCAAACTGTCTGTCAATAGTGGGTGCTCAATAAATATTGTTTGAATGAATGAATGAATGCACAGTACCCTCCAATGTGCATCTTCTTCTCCATTTTCTGAATGTTTCTATTTTCCTGACTGTTGGAGGAAAGATGCCTCCAGACAATGGCCTCTGTACCAATTCAGGGGAATAATCTTACTCTCACCTCCCAGACCTTACCTGGTGAACTCATCAGCAGGCCTCATATGGCCTATATGTGAAACAAACTTTTATTAACATAAAAGCATGAATACAGAAACACTGAAAACAGAAGACAATCAGTGAATACTTGGCTAAAGTCTACAGAACACAGAGAAGGTAAAGAACAAATGACTGTTATCCTTAACTCAGCATCTGAATTACCTGAATATAATCTTGTCATTTTCAGGCCAAGTGCAGTGGCTCACTCCTGTAATCCCAGGACCTTGGGAGGCTGAGGAGGGCGGATTACCTGAGGTCAGGAGTTCCAGACTAGTCTGGCCAACATGATGAAACCTTGTCTGTACTAAAAATACAAAAATTAGCCGAGCGTGGTGGTAGGCGCCTATAATCCCAGCTACTTGGGAGGTTGAGGCAGGAGAATTCCTTGAACCCAGGAGGCGGAGGTTGCAGTGAGCCGAGATTGCACCATTGCACTCTGACCTGGGTGACAAGAACGAAACTCCGTCTCAAAATCATCATCATCATCATCATCATCATCATCATCTTGTCATTTTCTTGTGAATCCTTCCAGAGATATTTTGTACATATAGAAGCAAATACATATATTTAGAAATCATTATTTCTCAAAAAGCATTCTTGTATGAAATTGGAGATGTTTCTACTCTTTTCCTAATGTAAACAATGGTGCAGCTAATAAACTTTTATAAGGGACTGCATATGTGTGCTAGTGTGTCTGAGGGGTCAATCCTCAGGCACAGATGTGATTGTTCTCCTCAGAGGCCCTTCCAAGTGGCACTCCCAGCTGTTAAATCCTCCGCATACCATTTATCAGGTTTTAATCTTTTAATGATCTGGTGGATTAAAATGGTATCTTATAGTTGAGTTCTTTTTTCTCTTACTATGGATCTGGTTGAAAATCTTTTATATTTTACAGCCCTGTATGCTGCGTTTTCTGGAACTGCTTATATCTTTTATTTCTATTGTATTGTAGATCTTTTGCTTAATGACTTCTAGGAGTTTTTTTATGTATAAGGGAAACTGTGTGCTATGACTTTTAACTATTATTTTCCAATCTGTAATTTGCTTTTGATGGTTTTGCCATGAAGACTTTTTGTTATGTCATTGGGTTTATCCATCTCTTCTCTCTCTTTTTTTTTTTTTAAGATGAAGTCATTCAAGCGATTCTTCTGCTTCAGTCGCCCGAGTAGCTGGGATTACAGGCACCCACAACTACACCTGGCTAATTTTTGTATTGTAGTAGAGACAGGGTTTCATCATGTTGACCACGCTAGTCTCGAACTCCTGAACTCGGGTGATCTGCCCTCTTCGGCCTCCCAAAGTTCTGGGATTACAGGTGTGAGCCACCACGCCTGGACAAGTTTATCCATCTCTTCTTAACAGCCTCCTGGCTTTTGTGTTATAGTTACTTCTGCATTTGCTGAAAAATTCTTCCTTGATTTCCACTGTTCATTTTAGGACTATTATGGTTTCTTTTGTTGTTGTTGTTGTTGTTTTGTTTTTATTTATTTGTTGTTGAGATGGAGTCTCGCTCTGTCACCAGGCTGGAGTGCAGTGGCACGATCTCGGCTCACTGCACCCTCCGCCTCCTGAGTTCAAGTAATTCTCCTGCCTCAGCCTCTCAAGTAGCTGGGACTACAGGTGCACACCACCACTCCCAGCTAATTTTTGTATTTTTAGTAGAGACAGGGTTTCACCATGTCGGCCAGGATGGTCTCGATCTCTTAACCTGGTGATCCGCCTGCTTCAGCCTCCCAATGTGCTGGGATTACAGGCGTGAGCCACTGCGCCTGGCCAGTTTCTTTATTTTTAAATTTAAAAAATTTTTTTGCATTTGAAAATCTGGTGTTTAGTGTTTACAGTGCTTGTTAAGTATGAGATGTGATCCCACTGAATATGTTGCTGGCATTAATTGAATAGTCCACCTTTCCCCTATCAAATTTGAAATGGGACTGTTTCCATACACTAGATTTCTTTAACTATTGAAGGCATTTCTCAACGTTATATTATTTCCCTTTGACATGCCTGTCGATTGATGCACTGTTGGCATTTGATGTGGATAAGGGTACGTTTGTTTAGATCTCATTAATACTTGATACTTGATATTCTCTAAACTTTTTCCAATTTGGTAAGTATTCAGTGGCATTACATTGTGATTTTAACTTCCATTGGCCTGCCTATTAAAGAGATTGAACATCTTTTCGAATGTTTTTCAGCCATTTGGATTTTCTCTTCTGTTGTATGCCTGTTGATGTTTTTTACTCATTTTTCTTTTCTTTTCTTTTCTTTTTTTCCAAGACAGAGTCTAGCTCTGTTTCCCAGGCTGGGGTGCAGTGGCATGATGTTGGCTCACTGCAACCTCTGCCTCCCAGGTTCAAGCAATTCTTCTGCCTCAGCCTCCCGAGTAGCTGGGATTACAGGCGCCTGCCACCACGCCTGGCTAATTTTTGTATTTTTAGTAGAAATGGGGTTTCACCACATTGGCTAGGGTGGTCTCAAACTCCTGACCTCATGATCTGCCCACCTCAGCCTCCCAAACTGCTGGGATTGCAGGCGTTAGCCACCATGCCTGGCCTTTACTCATTTTTCTATTATGTAATTTTTTTAAATTGATTTTTACAAGTTCATTATATCTCATAGATACTAACCTCTTGCTAGTTATACCTATGACTGTGTGTTACAGTTTTTCAGTTGATTCTCTTGAATTTTTTAGGCACATGTGGATCCCATGAAAATGGTAATTTTGGCCGGGCTCAGTGGCTCACGCCTGTAATCCCAACACTTTGGGAAGCTGAGGCGGTTGGATCACCTGAGGTCAGGAGTTCGAGACCAGCCTGACCAACATGGCAAAACCCGGTCTCTACTAAAAATATAAAAATTAGCTGGGCGTGGTGATGGGTGCATGTAATCCCAGCTACTTGGGAGGCTGAGGCAGGAGAATCGCTTGAACCTGGGAGGCAGAGGTTGCAGTGAGTCAAGATGGCGCCATTGCACTCCAGCCTGGGCGACAAGAGCGAAACTCCATCTCAAAAAAAAAAAGGAAAAAAGAAAATGGTAATTTGACCTTCTCTTTAATTGCTTTTAAGGGACTAGCTCTTTGTTTGAAAGACATTTTGTAAATCTTTAGTATCTAGACAGCTGGACTATTTATTGTTCGGTCTTTCTCCCAGTTAGCTCCTATAAACCACGAGATGAAAGTACATTTCAAATCAATAAGCCATGTGACAACAAAACTAGCAGATGTTGTAGAATCCTTGCCAAATAAGGAGGATTGGGTATAAAAGCCAGCACACAACCAATCACAGGCTGCAGAAGAAGCGAGAGAGCACTCATAGGCACGGGGAGCAGCCAGTACTCCACCCTCACAGAAGCAAAGTCCCAAAATTATATACACGATTAAAAAATTATTTTCTACATAATTAATTCAAAGTTTCTTCTACAATGACTGGTAACTTAGTACTTAGCATTTAGCAGTTTTAGAAATCACATTTTCAGGACTAGGAAAGGGTGGAAAGATGCATTTTACTTGGTGAAATCATTGGGAAATATTTTTGTTGTTGAGGAGGTGCATATAGAAGTAGACCCTTTAATTTGGGGAATACATAATCCATTGTATTAGTTAATTGGAGGAAAGGGCAGGAAAAAGATACAAAAAAAATTTTGGATTTGAATCTTTCATGGTATTGATTTATTTTTTCTTCTTTGACTAAATAAAAAACATACCGTGAGATACCACAAAGCAAAAAGGCATTTGGGGAGTGCCTTAGTTCATCTTTTGCTACTATAACAGAATACCACGCAATGAATAATTTATAATGAACAGGAATTTATTTCCTCACAGTTCTGGAGTTATTGGGAAGTCCAAGATCAAGGCACCAGCATTTGGCAAGGGACTTCTTGCTGGGTTAAAGAGAGCAAGAGGGAGTGATTCCACTCCTGTAATAACAGCATCAGATAACCTAAATACTTCTTAAAAGTTCCCACCTCTGAATACTGTTATGATGGCAGTTAGATTTCAACATGATTTTTGGAGGAGACAAACATTAAAACCATAACAAGGAAGGAGGAGTAAATTCCTCCCGCAATCAGTTTTCGGTTTGACTGGTACTTGGTACAGACAGTGAGTCTCCCTAATTACATTTGAGTTTTTGTAAGGCAGCCTGATACCTTTTTTTCTTCTCTAATGTGGGGAAAAGGTACATTAGGCAGAAAGATTACGTTCTACAAGTTAATAAGGGATTATATAATTTGAGATACATTTATAAAACATTATTATTTGTAAAACATCTGAAATGTTTTATAAATGGTTGCTATGAGAACAATGAAAATGTAATTACAAAAATGTACCCTAGGCTGGGTGTGATAGCTCACGGCCTATAATCCCAGCACTTTGGGAGGCCGAAGCAGGCAGATCACTTGAGGTCAGAACTTCGAGACCAGCGTGACCAACATGGCAAAACCCCATCTCTACTAGAACTACAAAAAGTAGCTGGGTACAGTGGTGCTTGCCTGTAATCCCAGCTACTTGGGAGGCTAAGGCAGGAGAATCGCTTGAACCCGGGAGGCAGAGGTTGCAGGTGAGCCAAGATCGCGCCATTGCACTCCAGCCTGGGTGACAGAGCAAGACTTCATCTAAAAAAAAAAGTATACATTTTTTTAAACATCAACTGTTTAAAATACACTTATCTTATACTTTGTGCTCACCTTCCTTTAAATATCATTCCCAAAGCACACTAATTCTAGCTGAGCCAAGATTGAAGTCAGTATACAAAAATCCATTTTATTTCTATATACTAGAATGAATAATTGGAGACTGGGCGCGGTGGCTCACGCCTGTAATCCCAACACTTTGGGAGGCTGAGGTCAGTGGATCACAAAGTCAGGAGTTCCAGACCAGCCTGGCCAATATGGTGAAACCCCGTCTCTACTAAAAATACAAAAATTAGCTGGGTGTGGTGGTGCACACCTGTAGTCCCAGCCACTCGGGAGGCTGAGGCAGAAGAATCGCTTGAACCCAGTAGACCAAGGTTGCAGTGAGCCAAGATTGTGCCCCTGCATTTCAGCCTAGGCAACTGGGCGAGACTCTGTCTCAAAAAAAAAAAAAAAAATAGAATGAGTAATTGGAGATCGAAATATTTAGTTAACATCTAATAAGATTTGTGTAAGAATTGCATGCTGAAAACTGCAAACATTGAGGAAGATCTAAATAAACATAAGTATTGGCAAAAGGATAGACACATGAGCAGTGGAATAGAGAAAGTTCAGATATAAGCTTACAAATTTCTGATTAATTTATTTTTGCCAAAGGTAAGTCAGTGGAGAAGGAATCATCTTTTTAACAAATATTGGGAGAAAATCTCATTCAGAAAAGTAAAACTTTAAAAAAAAGAAATTGTTAAATTTGGAGGAAAACATCCAGAGATGCAAGATGATTCAGACCTTAATTTTTTAAAAAGTTTTCTGGGCAAGATGGGGTGGCTCACACCTGTAATCCCAGCACTTTGGGAGCCTGAAGCGGACGGATCACCTGAGGTCAGGAGTTCAAGAAGTTCAAGACCAGCCGGGCCGACATGGCGAAACCCCATCTCTATTAAAAATACAAAATTTAGTGGGGCGTGGTGGTGCACGCCTGTAATCCCAGCTACTCAGGAGGCTGAGGCAGGAGAATTGCTTGAACCTGGGAGGTGGAGATTGCAGTGAGCCAACATCATGCCACTGCACTCCAGCCTGGACAACAGAGCGAGACTCCATCTCAAAAATAAAATAAAAAGTATACTGTACACTGTGTACAACCTTAGATGTGTTTTGGCAATGCTTGGTAGACATAATCCAGGGATGAAACTCTTATCAGGCAATCTATGGTCATCTTTTTCAAGATTCAGATGTTTGTCTTTATCACCCTTATTTTTCATTTTATTTATAAATCCCCAAGGTTCAGAGTGATTAAAAATACTGTCTGACCATTTTATAAAACCATTCTCAAGTGGGCCCTGGTGTAGATTTCTCCTATTACCTTAGATTCTACTGCAATCATTTACTTTTTAATTAAAAATGTTATTTCAATTTCATTATTGAGTCACATGCAGTTATGAGAACTAATACAGAAAGAAACCGTGTACCCTTTACCCAGTTTCCCCTAATGATAACATCTTGCAAAACTATGGTACAGTATTACAATCAGGATATTGAGGTTGAGATAGTAGAATTACAGAACATTTTTATCCCTGCAAGAGTTTCACATGTTGCCCTTTTATAGGTACATAAATCTCTTGCCCTTCCCCCTTCATCTTTAAACCCTAGCAAAAACTAATCTTTTCTCAATTTTACAGTTTTGTTATTTCAGGAATGTTACAGAAATGGAATCATACAGTATATAACCTTTTGGAAATGTGTCACTAAACATAATTATCTGGGGATTCATTTGAGGTGCTGCATGTATCACTGGTTTATTCCTTTTTATTACTGAGTGATATTCCATGAAATGGATGTACCATAGTTGGTTTAACTGTCCACTGAAAAAACATCTGGGCTGCCTCCAATTTGGGCTAATACTAATAAAGTTGTTCTAAACATTCATGTACAGGTTTTTGTGTCAACATGAGTCTTCATTTCTATGGGGTACATGCCCAGAGTATAATTGCTGGGTCGTATGGTAAGTGCATGTTTAGTTTTTAAAAACCTGGCAAACTATTTTCCAGAACAGCTGCACCATTTTACATTCCCACGAACAGTGTATGAGTGATTCAGTTTCTCGACATCCTCACTAACATTTGATGTTTTAACACATTTTAATTTTAGCCATTCTAATAGGTATGTAGTGATATATTACTGTAGTTTTAATTTGCATTTCCCAAATAGCTAATGATGTTCAGAATCTTTTCATGTGCTTATTTGCTATCTGTGTATTCTTTTTAGTGAAATGTCTGTTCATGTCCTTTGCCTATTTTCCCATTGAATTTTTTATTTGCTCTTGAGTTTTATCAGTTCTAGATACTAGAACAAGGAGTACCTTTGTAGGATATGTAGTTTGCAAAGATTTTCTCCATTCTATTGCATGCCTTTTCATCTTCTTATCAGCATCTTTCACAGAGCAAAAGTTTTAAATTTTGGTGAAGTCCAGTTTATTGATTCTTTTTTCTTTTGTAGATCATGCTTTTGGTGTCATATCTAAGAACTCTTTACAAAGTCCTAGCTCTCAAAGATCTTCATCTATGTTATTTTCTAAAAGTATAGCTTGACATTTTACTTTTATGATTCATTTCGAGTTAATTTTTATATAGGGTTTGAAAGGTTTTTTTTGCTTATGGCTATTCAATTACTCAATTCATTTGTTTAAAAGACTGTCTTTCCTTCAGTAATTGCTTTGGTGCCTATGTCAAAAATCAATTGTCTGCACTTAATGCTATTTCTGGCTTTTCTTTTTCAGTTCTATTTATTTATACGTCTGTCTTCCTGACAACACCACCTAGTCTTGATTACTATAGTTATATTGTAAGTCTTGAAATCAAGTAGAATGACTTTTCTCACTATATTCTTTTTTCAGAATTGTTTTGGCTATTCTAGTTCCTTTGCCTTTCTACATAAATTTTAGAATGATCTTGTCTGTATCTGTAAGAAATCTGCTGGGTGTGGTGGCTCACACTTGTAATCCCAGCACTTTGGGAGGCCAAGGCGGGCAGATCACTTGAGGACAGGAGTTTGAGACCAGCCTGGCCAACATGATGAAACCCCATCTCTGCTAAAAATACAAAAAAATTAGCCGGGCATGGTGGCAGGTGCCTGTAATCCCAGCTACTTAGGAGGCTGTGGCAGGAGAATCGCTCAAACCCAGGGGTCGGAGGTTGCAGTGAGCAGAGCTCACACCATTGCAATCCAGCCTGGGCAACAAGAGCGAAACTCTGTCTCAAAAATAAATAAATAAATCTTGCTGGGATTTTGGTAGGAATTACATTAAAACTGTATATCAATTTGCCTTTTTTTAATTGGGTTTTTGTCTTATTACACATTGTAAGGGTTCTTTGTATATTCTGGATATAAGTCCTTTATCAAATATATAGCTTGTAATATTTTTCTTCTAGTGTATGATTAGTCTTTTTCTTTTGTCTTTTTTTTTGTTTTGTTTTTTTTTTTTGGACAGAGTCTCGCTATGTTGCCCAGGCTGGAGTGCAGTAGTAGGTTCTTGGTTCACTGAAGCTTCTGCCTCCTGGGCTCAAGTAATCCTCCCACCTCAGCTTCCCGAGTAGCTGAGACCACAGGCATATGCCAACACACCCAGCTAATTTTTGTATTTTTTGTAGAGACAGGGTTTCGCCATGTTGCCCAAGCTGATCTTGAATTCCTGGGCTTAAGCGATCCACTCTGCTTCCCAAAGTGTTGGGATTACAGGCATGAGCCATTGTGCCTAGGCTTTTCATCTTCTTAATAGCCTTTTGGCACATAAATATTAATTTTGTAAAGTCCAATTTATAAGTTATTTTTTGGAGACACTGTCTCACTCTGTTGCCCAGGCTGGAGTGCAGTGGCTCAATCACAACTTACTGCAACTTTAACCTTCCAGGCTCAAGTGATCCTCCCACCTCAGCCTCCAGTGATCCTCCCACCTCAGCCTCCAGTGATCCTCCCTCCTCAGCATCTCGAGTAGCTGAGACCACAGGCATGTGCCTCCACACCTGGCTAATTTTTTTATTGTTTGTAGAGATGAGGTCTCCCTGTGTTGCCCAGGCTGGTCTTGAACTCCTAGGCTCAAGTGATCCTCCCACCTCAGCTACCCATAGTGCTGGGATTACAGATGTCAGCCACTGCACTGGGACCAATTTATGATTTTTTATCTTTTATTTTTCATGCTTTTGGTGTCAAGTCTAAGAACTCTTTGCCTCAGGTCTTAAATATTTTTTCCTGTTTCTTCCAGAAGTTTTATAAGTTTTATCTCTTATATTTAGGTCTATGATCTGTTTTGATTTAATTTTTGTGTGTGGTGTGAGGTTAGGATCTAAGTTCACTTTTTTGCATGTGAATATCCAATTGTCTCAGCACCATTTGTTGAAAGGACAGTTATTTCTCCATTGTCAAAAATTAGTTAACCATAAATGTGCAGGTTTGTTTCTGATCCTCAGTTCTGTTCTATTGCTCTATGTGTCTGCCTTATACCAGTGTCATGCCCTCCTTATTAGGGTAGTTTTACAGTAAGTTCTGCCATTGGAGAGTATACATCCTCTAACTTTGTTGTTCTTTTTCCAAATTGTTTTCACTGTTGTAAGTCCTTTGCATTTTCATATAATTTTTGAGATTGGTGTGTCTACATCTACCATTATTAAGATTTCATAATGATTGAGTGCTTAGTATTTAAACATTGCATTTAAACTGCTTCATTTTTGACTGGGTGTGGTGGTTCTTGCCTGGAATCCCAGCACTTTGGGAGGCCAAGGCAGGTGGATCACTTGAGGTCAGGAGTTCGAGGCCAGCCTGGCCAACATGGTGAAACCCCGTCACTACTAAAAATACAAAAATTAACCAGGCATGGTGGCATGTGCCTGTAATCCCAGCTGCTTGGGAGGCTGAGGCAGGAGAATCTCCTGAACCTGGGAGGCAGAGGTTGCAAAGCTGAGGTTGCATTACTGCACTCCAGCCTGTGTGACAGAGCGAGACTCCATCTCAGTCAATCAATCGGTCAATCAATAAACTGCTTCATTTGTTATTGCTACGTGGTATGGCCTTAGTAAATGCTTGGTGCTGTTCTTTTGTTCTTATTAAGATTTTCCAGTATGGGGAAGTGACTTAGATTTTTTTGCATATGAAGCACAATTCTGTTTGTCCGTTTTCAAGTATTTCATCTTTTTGTTTTCCCAAGTATTTTTATTAGATCGTGTGTTATTATTTTTGCTTCTAGTTAGAAGTTATTGGCTAAATTTTAAAAATATAATAATAGTGGCTTAAGACTATTTTAAAGTAGACCTGGCTTTCTTGTCTTTATTTTCAGACTTCCATAGCTTATTAGAATAAGACTGCCCTCCCATGGTGAAAATTAGGTAATTTTTTTCAGTAAATTTAATGGGCTTATTTTTGGAAAAAATAATTTAAAATATATATATTTTTAAAATATGTGGGAAATAAGTGATAAGCTATTCTGTGTTTCCAAATAAACAGAGATTGTAGAATCCTCCCCAGCCCCCACTAGCTATAGAGTCACAGTGGCTGACCAGCATGGGAGGCCCTGGCCACAGCTTTTCATGAGTTGGTGGTCTTAAGTCACCTGTCTCTCTGGAGAATCAGTTTTATAATCTTAAAATGAAGAGGTTTCAATGAGGCTGCTCCACATCTAAACTTGTGTGGCTCCTTTGTCTTTCTATGCCACCTTCTCTTTGTCTTCCTATTATTTTATGGGATATCGCTTTATATCTAGTCCTCTTTCTCAATCCCATGTTAAAATTCTTGGAATGCTCTTGAGTCTTATTGGTCTGATCCCCTCTATATTTTCTGTAGAATTATGTAATATTACTACAAGTACCATTTGGGTGAAAGGAACTCTTTGATCTTCAAAGTAGTGAAATGATTCTAAGTATGGATAAGAGTGGTGAATATAGAGACCTAGGAACCAGAATTTCTGTTACTTATGTTTATTCAAGTTAATATTTACAGTGGCCTCCCCTTATCCACAGTTTTGCTTTCCCCCATTTGAGTTACCCATGGTCAACCATGGTCCAAAAATATTAAATGGAAAATTCCAGAAAGAAATAATTCATGTTTCAAATTACATGCTATTTTGAGTAGCCTGACGAAGTCCTGTGCTGTCCAGCTCTGTCTAGTCCAGGACATGAATCATCCCTGTGTGCAACATATCCACACTATATACACTCACCTCCCATTAGTCACTTAGGGTTATCAGATCACCTGTCATGGTATCCCAGCACTTACGTTGTAGTAAACCTTATGTCAAAGAGAATCTATAACGGGGTGCCTAGTCTTTTGGCTTCCCTGGGCCACATTGGAAGAAAAAGAATTGTCATGGGCCACACATAAAACACACTAACACTAGTGATAGCTGATGAGTTAAAATAAATAAATAAATAAATAAATAAATAAATAAATAAATCACAAGAAAACTCATCATGTTTTAAGAAAGCTTACGAATTTGTGTTGGGCCACATTCAAAGCCATCCTGGGCTACAGTGGGCCATGGCTGTGGGTTGGACAAGCTTGATCTATAAAGTGCTTCCCTTAAGTGAAAACTTTTCCCTTAGTAAAAGTTCTCAACTTAATAAGGAAAGAAAAAGAATGGTATGGTAAGAGTGCTAACATCTGTAGTAAGACCAAATCTCCTATCTGTAAAATTGTGAAGAAGGAAAAAGAAACTAGTTTAGTTTCCTGTTGCACCTCAAACTGCGAAAGTTATGACCACAATTAATGCATTATAAGTATTTAGTTAAGAGGGAAAAGGCATTAAATCTGTGAGTGGAAGACGTGAACAGAAATGTGTTTTGACTGACAACAATCAGGTTTTGTACTTGCTGTGGTTTCAGGCATCTACAGGGGATGTCTTGAAACATATCCCCCAAGGTAAAACCGAGACTATTGTTCAGTAAGTCCTCACTTAACATCGTCAATGGGTTCTTTGAAACTGCGACTTTAAGTGAAATGACATATAATGAAACCAATTTTACCATAGGCTAATTGTTATCAAACAAGTGTTAAGTTCCTGTGGCATATTTCTGGTTATAGAATCATCACCGAACTTCGTAATGAAGACCCAAAACACTTCTAATATTAAACATTGAAATAAATGTGAGCTATCTGTATGTTTAAGAAAACGTTAATAAAAAACAAGTGCATGAATTTTTGTATTTTATTAGTCATACTTTTGGATGTTACTTACATGGTATGTAACTACAGTGTTAAAATTAATCAAGCTACATATTTATCATCTATGTACTTTTCTATACATATATCAAACATCAATAGAAAGTTTATAAGAAGTCGACAGTATGGATTCAACTACTAATTTATAGGAAATGCAGACAGAGGAATATGTTAAAGTACACCACAAGTACGCAGTCAGCAAAATCTAGACTGTGGGAAATGCCTGTGAGACAAACAACTTGGTTTCTCCATCAAATAAAATGTAAGGAAGAAAAAAAGGGATGAAGGGGAAATGTATAGGTTAAAAAAGACTTAAAAGGTATATTGGCCAGGTGCAGTGGCTCACACCTGTAATCCCCACACTTTGGGAGGCTGAGGCAGGCAGATCACTTGAGCCCAGGAGTTCAAGACCAGCCTGAGCAACATAACAAGACTCCACCTCTACAAAAAACACAAAAGTCAGCCTGGCATGATAGCGCGTACCTGTAGTCCCAGCTACTCAGGAGGCTGAGGCACGAGAGTCACTTCAACCGTGGAGGTGGAGGTTGCAGTGAGCCGAGATCGCGCCACTGCACTCCAGCCTAGGTGCCAGAGTGAGACTCTTAGGAAACAAAGCAAAACAAAACAAAGACTTAAAAGATATATCAACTTATGACATCTGTGTGGGCCTTATGTGGATACTGACTCAACAGACAAACGAGTTTAAAAATTGTGGAACAGTTGGCAAGTTGAACATTTGCTGGGTTTGATGATAGTAAGGAAATATTGTCAATTATTTTTTGGTATGGTAATTGTATTGTAGTTAATGTTTTAAAAAGTAGAGAGAGGTATTCTTTCTAAGGCCGAAATAACCCCTACCCCAAAATTTGACAGGTGCATCACAAGAAAATAGAATTACAGTCCAGTAAACACACAAATAGTAAATAAAACATTATAAGTTAAAATTTAGATATATATAAAAACAAGGCCGGGCACAGTGGCTCACACCTGTAATCCCAGAACTGTGGGAGGCCAAGGCGGGCAAATCTCCTGAGGTCAGGAGTTCGAGACCAGCCTGACCAACATGGAGAAACCCCGTCTCTACTAAAAATAAAAAAATTAGCCGAGCGTGGTGGCGCATGCCTGTAATCCCAGCCACTTGGGAGGCTGACGCAGGAGAATCAGTTGAATCCGGGAGGCGGAGGTTGCAGTGAGCCGAGGTCGCGCCATTGCACTCCAGCCTGGACAACAAGAGTGAAACTCTGTCTCAAAAAAAAAAAAAAAAAAGAAAAAACAAAAAAAAACCACTCCATTATGATCAAGTGGGATTTGTATCAGGAACTCCAAATTGGTTTGAAAAAGCCCAGTGTGATTCATAATATTAACAGAATAAAGGAAAATTATATGAACATCTTAGTAAATAAAAAACATTTGATACAGTTGGGCACAGTGGCTCACGCCTGTAATCCTAGCACTTTGGGAAGCCGAGGCAGGTGGATCACGAGGTCAGATCAAGACCATCCTGGCTAAAACAATGAAACCCCGTCTCTACTAAAAATACAAAAAAAAATTAGCCAGGCGTGGTGGTGGGTGCCTGTAGTACCAGCTGCTTGGGAGGCTGAGGCAGGAGAATGGCGTGAACCCGGGAGGCGGAGCTTGCAGTGAGCCGAGATCACGCCACTGCATTCCAGCCTAGGTGACGGTGCAAGACTCCTTCTCAAAAAAAAAAAAAACATTGGATACAATTAAATACACCATTATGATGAAAATTTTTAGGAAGGTGACTTAATTTGATAGAGGGTATCTACAAAAATATCTGCCACTAACATAACATGAGGAAATACTCAACTCTCTTCTCCCCAAAAATTGAGAACAAGGCAAGAATATCTACTTTCATCACTCCTATTCAGTTTTATACTGGAGCTCCTAGCAGTGAGATACAGAAAAGAAGAAATAAAAGGTACAAAAGTAGAGAAAAAAGGAATAAAAACTAACTTTAATTACAGTAGACATAATTATATTTTTGAAATCCCAAAAGAATATACAAGCAAACTATTAGAATTAATAAGTCTAATTCTAATCAGTCTAATTCTAATCAGTGTAATCAGCAGGATTTAGCAAGACTGCTGATTATAATTTCAATATAAAAATATCAATTTTTACCATATATTACCAATACATAATTGGAAAATAAAACTTTAAAAGATCATTTATAATAGCCTCTGAGCTATCAGTAACCTGGGGTAACTCTAAAAAAAATGTGTAAGACTTTTATCAGAATACTACAAAACAATGCCAAGAAGGAAATTGAAGAATAGCTAGCTCGTTAACTGAAAGACTCAGTATTGCTAAGATGCCAGTTCTCTCCAAAATGATCCGAGATTCACTGCAATCTCAATAATAATCTCAGCTTGGTTTTTGTGTGATTTTACATGCTAATTCTGAAATTAATATGGAAATGCAAAGGACCTAGAATAACCAAGACAATCCTGAGATAAAACAACAAAGAGGACTTAGTATGTTACAAAGTTTTTTTTTTTTGTTTTTTGAGACAGAGTTTTGCTCTGTCCCCCAGGCTGGAGTGCAGTGGCGCAATCTCGGCTCACTGCGACCTCCACCTCCCTGGTTCAATCAATTCCCCTGCCTCAGCCTCCCAAGTAGCTGGAATTACAGGTGCACACCACCACGCCCAGCTAATTTTTTTTGTATTTTTAGTAGAGATGGGGTTTCACCATTTTGGCCAGGCTGGTCTCAAACTCCTGACCTCAGGCAGTCCACCCACTTCGGCCTCCCAAAGTGCTGGGCTTACAGGCATGAGCCACTGTGCCCGGCCACAAAATCTTAAGGTATAGACCTATGGGATAAAAATTCAGGCTTAGAAATAGACATTGAACTCAGAAATAAACTCGACATATATGATTGCTTGATTTATGATACATATACACTGCAAGTCAGTGGGGATAAGATCTTTTCAATAAATAAATTATAAATTTTCCTAGCCAGTCCTATATCACTCCGCTTTGAGATACTGAATCTATTTTAATCAAATTATAATCATAGCATATAATTTACATTTCATACAGTGAGTATGAAATGAGATGCCTCACTGTGGTGTGATTTTCCATTTCCCTGATGATTAGTGATGCTATCTTTTCATGTGTTTATTTGGTCATTTCTTTGGAGAAATGTCAATTTAGATCCTTCATGCATTTTTAAATTGGGGTTTTTAAGTATTGAGTGGTAGGAATTTTATTCTAGATACAAGTCCCTTATCGATAGATATGATTTGCAAAATTCTTCCATTCTATGAGCTTTTTTTTTTTTACTTTCTTGATGATGTCTTTTGATGGACAAAACGTTTTAATTTTGCTGATGTCTAATTTATGTCTTTTTTGCTTGTGATTTTGGTGTCACATCTAAGAAATCATTGCATAATCCAAACTCATGAGTATTTATGTCTGTTTTACGAGTTTAATAGTGTTAGCTCTTATGCTTATTATCTCTGTCCCATGTTAAGCTCTGCATATGGTGTGTTGTGAATGTATTGTCCCAGCACCATTTGTTCACTATTAAAGTAATGTTGGGGGTGCCTGTGGGCGAGTACCTGCAGGCAAAGCAGCATGGGGGAGGCTGCAGTGGGGAGAGGGCGTGTGCAAGCTGGTGCATGTCAGCAGTGGCCTCTCTGCTGGAGCACTCTGCCAGTTAGGTGAGCTCAGCCACTACAGGAGCTGACATGGGCCCCTAGGAGTTACCTGGCGGCTGTACTGCAAGCAGGTGTGGCCAGGCTGGGGACCCTGGAGAGACCAACAGACCAAACAGTGGTCCAGTCGGACCAGCCCTGTCTCCTGGAGTTCAGGTCCAGCAGTTCCCCTAGGGCCAACGTCTCCTATGGGAGCAAGTTGAGCCTAGGGGGATGGGCGTCCCTGTTCATGCTCCACTGCAGATGCTTCTGCACTAAACCCTCTGGGCTCCACACCAGCTGGAGTTCTGTGCCTACCACTTCTCTAAGCAGCTTTCTCTGCCAACTTAAATGTTCAAGGTGGTCACAGTGTCTCATCCTGCTGGGCTTCCAGAGGCCTCTGGTGAGAGTGGGTTTCTCCTTTGTCTGTTCAGTCACCCCTTCTTCAAGCATCATTGGGGTCCAGCAATGAGTCCCGGTGCGTGGTAGCCCCATGCAGGGTTCCCAGCTTCCTTCCCCTTGAGCCTAGCATCTCTGTCTTCCCTCATCTGCTCTTAATGCCTTCCCTCTGAAGATCTGCTAGGAGTGAGCTAGTCTTCCTGATGTCGTGGTCCCTCCATTGGAGATGTTCTCCCTGACTGCATCTAGTTGTCCACCTTGGAGCCTGACAAGAGTGTTTTAAAATGGACTGTAGTGATGGTTGTACAACCCTGAGTATAAAAATCAATGAATTGTATACTTTAAAGGATTGAATTATATAGTATATTAATTGTACCTCAATAAAGCTGTTATTGGCCGGGCGTGGTAGCTCACGCCTGTAATCTCAACACTTTGGGAGGCCGAGGTGGGCCAATCACCTGAGGTCAGGAGTTGAAGACCAGCCTGGCCAACATGGTAAAACCCTGTCTCTACTAAAAATACAAAAATTAGCTGGGCGTGTTGGTAGACACCTGTAATCCCAGCTACTTGAGAGGCTGAGCAGGAGAATCACTTGAACCTGAGAGGTGGAGGTTGCAGTGAGCCGAGTTACACCACTGCACTCCAGCCTGGACGACAGAGCAAGATAATGTCTCAAAAAAAAAAAATGCTGTTATTAAGATAATAATAGGGATGGAAGTATATATGAAATGATTGGTTATAAATTAATAATTTTTGAAACTGAGTGAGAAGTATACAGAAGTTTATTATTTTATTCTTTCTACTTTCGCTTCTGTCATAAATTCTCCTTGGTAAAAAGGTAAAGAATAAAAGTTGCTAGCACTGTAAATGTAAAGAAAAAAAAACTCTCCATCACTGGAAGTCTTAATACCAGGACTTTATACAAATGATTGTGCCTTGACTGTAAAGCCAAGGAATGGCATGTGCTTTTGTGCCTTAGCCTGAGTTGTCCCAGTGTTTCTGCCTCTTTAGACCCTCTATAATTTCATTCTTTTTCTATATTTGGGTTCATTTTAAAGCAGCTCCTTAATTTTTTATTATTTCTCCAAGAGAGATATAACTGCTGGAAATGTTTTCTTTGTTATAGCACTGGTCAGAGGTGATTGGGAAAATCGGTTTCAGAGCTCCTCAGAGTCTATAATAGAAACTATAATGAATGCCTCCATTAATAAATACTTAATAAAAGTGCATTGGGGAAAAATGCCGTTTGCCCCTTCCTCTGTGTAATGTAGAATATAACAGTGTATCTCTAAATAGTAACTGTAGTCTGTTGTAGAGCTATAAGGTAAAGTGAGCTACTGGAGTGGAAGAAGATATAGCAGATAAAAACACATTGTGTTCCTAAGGTGTGAATAAATTTTTTTTCTTTTCCTTCACTAATAAGCATCATTCAGTGATTTCATTCAGAAAAGTATATTGAACAAAGGCAGCATGTTAGCTTTGGGGAGGGGAAGAGAGGATGCAAAGATGACTAACACACAGTCCTTGCAACCAAGCTATCTAAAATCCTCTGGAGAATATGAAAGAACAGACCAAGCTGGGCAACAGAGTGGGACTCTGTCTCTTAAAAAAAAAAAAAAATAGAAAAGAAAAGAAAAACAGAAAGAGAGTGAGGGAGGGAGAGAAAGAGAAAAAAAGGAATGAAGAAAAGGAGGGAAAAAGGGAGGGCTGGAAGAATAGTCAACTATGTATTCATCTCAGCTCAGTAAATCAGCACTTTAGGTAAGATAAAGTAAACAGAGTAGCTACCTGTGGGGACATCTGGCCTTCTAAATGTTTCAAAACAAAGGAATGAGTTGCTTGCATGATTCAGCTTCGAGCTTAACTTTTCCTCTTTAACATAGTGTAGCGGACCCCAGACTTTTTGTCACCAGGGACCAGTTTTGTGGAATACAATTTTTCCACGGACAGGCATGAGGGAGGAAGGAATGGTTTCAGGGTGATTCAGTCGCATTACATTTATTGTGTACTTTGTTTCTATTATTATTACATTGTAATATATAATGAAATAATTATACAGATCACCATCATGTAGAATCAGTAGGAACCCTGAGCTTGTTTTCCTGCAACTAGATGGTCCCACCTGGGGGTGATGGGAGACAGTGACAGGTCATCAGACAGTAGATTCTCATAAGGAGCATGCAAGTTAGATCCCTCACATGTGTGGTTCATAATAGGGTTTGCACTCCTATGAGAATCTAATGTCACTGCTGATTTGACAGGAGATGGAGCTCAGGCAGTAACACAAGCAATGGGAAGTGGCTGTAAATACAGATGAAGCTTCACTCACTTGCCCACCTTTCACCTCCTGCTGTGTATTTCAGTTCGTACCAGTTGTGGTCCATGACCCTAGGGTTATAGACCCCTGGCATAGTGAATTTGGGGTCCTGAGATTTTGTTTTCCTTTCACATATTCCAACAAGAATGTGATTGTGATACAGTGACTGAGAATAAAAAGGAAGGAATGGATGCAAGAAGCATGAGAAGGTAGGGCAGGACTTGGCACCTGGTTGTCCGTAGAGATGCAGGAAGGTTAGAAATCAGCTGAGCAACTCCTAGAAGTTTAGAACCTGCACAGCTGGGAGGAAAAACAGAGTCAATAGGGACCTTATGAGTTCGAAGGAAATGGTTTATGATGTTCATTTTGATTGAGTTTTATGCCACCAGATGTTTAAGTTTGCTTCTGAAAGGTTGCTACTTTTGAATGAGGTAAGTGTTTGAGATGTGGATTTTGAAGGACTCACCCTAAAGGTAATGATTACAATGGATGAAATTTTTAGGGAATAAAGAGAAGAGACCAAATGAAGGATATTGGGGAACACTAGCCACTAAAGGACAACCAGAAAAGCATAATGTGTGTTAGCAAAGTTGTAACCACCCAAGGGTTTCTTCCAGCCCACTGCACAAATGAAGACTGCAGCATTGTAGTAAAGAAAGAGTTTAATAGACACAAGGCTGGCCACACCACGTGGGAGATGGAGTTAGTACTCAAATCATCTTGTGGGTTAGGGGTTTTTCTCTTTTTTCTTTTTTTTTTTTTGAGAGAGTCTTGCTCTGTCACCCAGGAGGCTGGTGTGCGGTGGCATGATTTCTGCTGACTGCAGCCTCTGCCTCCCAGGTTCAAGCGATTATCCTGCCTCAGCCTCCCAAGTAGCTGGGATTACAGGTGCCCACCACTATGCCCAGCTAATTTTTTTGTATTTTTGGTAGAGACGGGGTTTCACCATTTTGGCAGGCTGGTCTCGAACTCCTGAGGGTTAGGGGTTTTTCAAAGGCAGTTTTGGAGAAGTGGTCAGGGAGGCAAGGCTTGCTGCTGATTGGTTGGGGCAGAGATGAAATCCTATGATTTCATCTCTAGGGGGGTGTAAGCCGTTCTCCTGTGGGCTGAATTGCTTCTGGATGGGGCCACAGGAATGGGATTGGAAGGTCCAGGTGAAGCCGTAGGTGTCAGCCATGCAAAAAAACCTGAAAAGGTATCCCAAAAAGCCAGTCTACAATAGTTACGTTATTTCCAGGAATGGCTGACAATCTATGTCTACACCTTAGCAGAATCGGGCTCCTCTCTTCACCCAGTTCATGGCCTTCCATTAGCTTTACAAAATAAGCTGAGTTTTGGGCAAGGTCTATTACATTTAAACTATAGCCTAAATGTCTTCCAAAGTTAGCTCAGCCCAAAAGCACAGTGATAATTTAAGGAAAGGGAAGATGGAGGGTAGGTTAGTCAGATCTTTTTTACTGTCATAATATTCTCATTGATATATTTGCAAAGGTGATTTCAAAGTGAACAGAGATTTTCAAGAAAAATAGTGTATCATCATAGTTAAAAGCATGGAGCTAGACTGCTGTATTCAAATCCCAGATCTGCCACAAGTGATTTAATTTCCTTAGCTCCTACACCTAAAAAAACAGATACAGGCTGGGTGTGGTGGCTCAAGCCTGTAATCCCAGCACTTTGGGAGGCCAAGGCGGGCGGACACGAGGTCAGGAGATCGAGACCATCGTGGCTAACACAGTGAAACCCCGTCTCTACTAAAAATACAAAAAATTAGCCGGGCGTGGTGGCGGGCGCCTGTAGTCCCAGCTACTCAGGAGGCTGAGGCAGAATGGCGTGAACCCAGGAGGCAGAGCTTGCAGTGAGCCAAGATTGCACCACTGCACTCCAGCCTGGGTGATGAGCGAGACTCTATCTCCAAAAAAAAAAAAAAAAAAAAAAAAAAAAAAAAAAAAAAAAATACCAGATATAAGTAAAAGTACCTCATAGGGTTATTGTGAGGATTAAAAGTAAGGCATTTAGAAGAATATCTGAAAATGTTCTTTAAACATCAGTGATATGGTTTGGATCTGTGTTCCCACCCAAATCTCATGTCAAATTTTAATCCCCAATGTTGGAGGTTGGGCCTGGTGGGAGGTGATTGGATCATGGGGGCGGATTTTCCCCTTGGAGCAGTTCTCATGATAGTAAGTGAGTTCTCATGAGATCAGGTCATTTAAAAGTGTGTGGCACCTCCCCTTTCTCTAGCCAAGTGAAATGCTGCTCCCCCTTCTCCTTCCGCCATCATTGGATGCTTCCTGAGGCCTCCCCAGAAGCAGACTCTGCCATGCTTCCTATACAGCCTGCAGAACTATGAGCCAATTAAACATTGTTTATAAATTACCCAGTGTCAGGTATTTCTTTATAGCAGTGTGAGAATGGACTAATAAAATCAGCTATTATTGTTTAATGTTATTTGTATAAGATAATTTTGGGAAAATAGATTAAGGAGAATTGTTAGGTCAGCCACAACAGATTAAGGTCCATGTGAATAGAAAGGTAATACAGACTGAGGTAAGGCAATTCTTTCTTTTTATTATTATTATTATTATTATACTTTAAGTTTTACGGTACATGTGCACAATGTGCAGGTAAGTTACATATGTATACATGTGCCATGCTGGTGTGCTGTACCCATTAACTCGTCATTTAGCATTAGGTATATCTCCTAAAGCTATCCCTCCCCCCTCCCCCGACCCCACGACAGTCCCCAGAGTGTGATGTTCCCCTTCCTGTGTCCATGTGTTCTCATTGTTCAATTCCCACCTATGAGTGAGAAGATGCGGTGTTTGGTTTTTTGTTCTTGCGATAGTTTACTGAGAACGATGATTTCCAGTTTCATCCATGTCCCTACAAAGGACATGAACTCATCATTTTTTATGGCTGCATAGTATTCCATGGTGTATATGTGCCACGTTTTCTTAATCCAGTCTATCATTGTTGGACATTAGGGTTGGTTCCAAGTCTTTGCTATTGTGAATAGTGCCACAATAAACATACGTGTGCATGTGTCTTTATAGCAGCATGATTTATAGTCCTTTGGGTATATACTCAGTAATGGGATGTCTGGGTCTAATGGTATTTCTAGTTCCAGATCTCTGGGGAATCGCCACACTGACTTCCACAATGGTTGAACTAGTTTACAGTCCTACCAACAGTGTAAAAGTGTTCCTATTTCTCCACATCCTCTCCAGCACCTGTTGTTTCCTGACTTTTTAATGATTGCCATTCTAACTGGTGTGAGATGGTATCTCATTGTGGTTTTGATTTGCATTTCTCTGATGGTCAGTGATGGTGAGCATTTTTTCATGTGTTTTTTGGCTGCATACATGTCTTCTTTTGAGAAGTGTCTGTTCATGTCGTTCGCCCACTTTTTGATGGGGTTGTTTGTTTTTTTCTTGTAAATTTGTTTGAGTTCATTGTAGATTCTGGATATTAGCTCTTTGTCAGATGAGTAGGTTGCAAAAATTTTCTCCCATTCTGTAGGTTGCCTGTTCACTCTGATGGTAGTTTCTTTTGCTGTGCAGAAGCTCTTTAGTTTAATTAGATCCCATTTGTCAATTTTGTCTTTTGTTGCCATTGCTTTTGGTGTTTTAGACATGAAGTCCTTGCCCATGCCTATGTCCTGAATGGTAATGCCTAGGTTTTCTTCTAGGGTTTTTATGGTTTTAGGTCTAACGTTTAAGTCTTTAATCCATCTTGAATTAATTTTGGTATAAGGTGTAAGGAAGGGATCCAGTTTCAGCTTTCTGCATATGGCTAGCCAGTTTTCCCAGCACCATTTATTAAATAGGGAATCCTTTCCCCATTGCTTGTTTTTCTCAGGTTTGTCAAAGATCAGATAGTTGTAGATATGCGGCGTTATTTCTGAGGGCTCTGTTCTGTTCCATTGATCTATATCTCTGTTTTGGTACCAGTACCATGCTGTTTTGGTTACTGTAGCCTTGTAGTATAGTTTGAAGTCAGGTAGCATGATGCCTCCAGCTTTGTTCTTTTGGCTTGGGATTGACTTGGCGATGCGGGCTCTTTTTTTGGTTCCATATAAACTTTAAAGTAGTTTTTTCCGATTCTGTGAAGAAAGTCATTGGTAGCTTGATGGGGATGGCATTGAATCTATAAATTACCTTGGGCAGTATGGCCATTTTCACGATATTGATTCTTCCTACCCATGAGCATGGAATGTTCTTCCATTTGTTTGTATCCTCTTTTATTTCATTGAGCAGTGGTTTGTAGTTCTCCTTGAAGAGGTCCTTCACATCCCTTGTAAGTTGGATTCCTAGGTATTTTAATCTCTTTGAAGCAATTGTGAATGGGAGTTCACTCATGATTTGGCTCTCTGTTTGTCTGTTATTGGTGTATAAGAATGCTTGTGATTTTTGTACATCGATTTTGTATCCTGAGACTTTGCTGAAGTTGCTTATCAGCTTAAGGAGATTTTGGGCTGAGACAATGGGGTTTTCTAGATATACAATCATGTCATCTGCAAACAGGGACAATTTGACTTCCTCTTTTCCTAATTGAATACCCTTTATTTCCTTCTCCTGCCTAATTGCCCTGGCCAGAACTTCCAACACTATGTTGAATAGGAGTGGTGAGAGAGGGCATCCCTGTCTTGTGCCACTTTTCAAAGGGAATGCTTCCAGTTTTTGCCCATTCAGTATGATATTGGCTGTGGGTCTGTCATAGATAGCTCTTATTATTTTGAGATACGTCCCATCAATACCTAATTTATTGAGAGTTTTTAGCATGAAGGGTTGTTGAATTTTGTCAAAGGCCTTTTCTGCATCTATTGAGATAATCATGTGGTTTTTGTCTTTGGTTGTGTTTATATGCTGGATTACATTTATTGATTTGTGTATATTGAACCAGCCTTGCATCCCAGGGATGAAGCCCACTTGATCATGGTAGATAAGCTTTTTGATGTGCTGCTGGATTCGGTTTGCCAGTATTTTATTGAGGATTTTTGCATCAAAGTTCATCAAGGATATTGGTCTAAAATTCTCCTTTTTTGTGGTGTCTCTGCCAGGCTTTGGTATCAGGATGATGCTGGCCTCATAAAAAGAGTTAGGGAGGATTCCCTCTTTTTCTGTTGATTGGAATAGTTTCAGAAGGAATGGTACCAGTTCCTCCTTGTAGCTCTGGTAGAATTCGGCTGTGAATCCATCTGGTCCTGGACTCTTTTTGGTTGGTAAGCTATTGATTATTGCCACAATTTCAGAGTCTGTTATTGGTCTATTCAGAGATTCAACTTCTTCCTGGTTTAGTCTTGGGAGGGTGTATGTGTCGAGGAATTTATCCATTTCTTCTAGATTTTCTAGTTTATTTGCATAGAGGTGTTTGTAGTATGCTCTGATGGTAGTTTGTATTTCTGTGGGATCGGTGGTGATATCCCCTTTATCATTTTTTATTGCGTCTATTTGAATCTTCTCTCTTTTCTTCTTTATTAGTCTTGCTAGGGGTCTATCAATTTTGTTGATCCTTTCAAAAAACCAGCTCCTGGATTCATTAATTTTTTGAAGGGTTTTTTATGTCTCTATTTCCTTCAGTTCTGCTCTGATTTTAGTTATTTCTTGCCTTCTGCTAGCTTTTGAATGTGTTTGCTCTTGCT
The DNA here is from genome assembly GCF_000001405.40 of Homo sapiens. NCBI lineage: Eukaryota > Metazoa > Chordata > Mammalia > Primates > Hominidae > Homo > Homo sapiens. The sequence goes on from NW_025791788.1 coordinate 287,895, forward strand.
TTTCTAGTTCTTTTAATTGTGATGTTAGGGTGTCAATTTTGGATCTTTCCTGCTTTCTCTTGTGGGCATTTAGTGCTATAAATTTCCCTCTACACACTGCTTTGAATGTGTCCCAGGGATTCTGGTATGTTGTGTCTTTGTTCTCATTGGTTTCAAAGAACATCTTTATTTCTGCCTTCATTTCGTTATGTACCCATTAGTCATTCAGGAGCAGGTTGTTCAGTTTCCATGTAGTTGAGCGGTTTTGAGTGAGTTTCTTAATACTGAGTTCTAATTTGATTGCACTGTGGTCTGAGAGACAGTTTGTTATAATTTCTGTTCTTTTACATTTGCTGAGGAGAGCTTCACTTCCAACTATATGGTCAATTTTGGAAAAGGTGTGGTGTGGTGCTGAAAAAAAAGTATATTCTGTTGATTTGGGGTGGAGAGTTCTGTAGATGTCTATTAGAGACTTAGACTCCCACACAATAATAATGGGAGACTTTAACACCCCACTGTCAACATTAGACAGATCAGTGAGACGGAAAGTTAACAAGGATACCCAGGAATTGAACTCAGCTCTGCACCAAGCGGCAATTCTTTCAAAAAGGGATTGAATTGTGAATGAAAGAGAAATAGTATGGTAGCTTAAGGGAAACGAAAATTGAAATTTTTTAAAAAAAGCTTTTGGAATGCTGGGTGTGGTGGCTCACGCCTGTAATCCCATCTACTCTGGAGTCTGAGACAGGAAGATCACTTAAGCCCAAGAGTTTGAGACCAGCCTGGACAATTTGTGGAAAGACCTCATCTCAGGAAAAAAAAGAAAAAAAAAAAGTTTTTGTTTTAGTGACTTCTAAATACCTCATAATAGTTAAAGAAAATCACTTCAGTAATTTAGTCCTTCATAAACCCAATAAATAGTAAGTCACTTGTTTTCAATCTTTAATGGATTTTTCCAGTGGGTAATATTTTGTATTCACCAGAAAATGTGTTTTTGGCAGTAAATGTTAATGCAGTTTTGGTTGTTTATGATTTTTATTAGTGATTTGTTTTTTGCAAACTTAAAACCAAAAATGGCTAACAGCTGGAAGATTGAAAATACAAACATAAACCTCAGTGAATTAATTGCAGGGATTTCAAGAATCATTTCCAGTATTTTAAAATTTTGGTTTTGTCTTTTCTTTTTGTAAAAAGATTAACTTGGCTACTTTAAGCTCCACTATTCAGATCATAGATAAATCTGTCTTTTATTCTAACCTTAGTATTTACCTTATGATTTTAATGATGAATTTCAAGATGTTGGGTTTTTTCAATGTCAGTAAACATTTTTTACTTTTACATATGTTCTTATAAGTGCCATGATATCACAATTTTTTGTTACATTGTAGAAAAATTTATTTTGTTTATTAAAGCAATTGAAACTTTAGAATATTTTAATTTTTGAGTGATTATTATAGTATTGTTTTCTTTTATCTTTAAGGACTTCATGATCTTTTATTTTTCTTTGTAAATGTTTATGGTTTACAAAGCATTGCATATATATTTTTATCATTTATTCTTCATAGCAACCTTGTTCAGTGTTGTCACCCCTACCCTTTATAGGTGAGGAAGCAGGCTCAGAGAGGTGGTAACTTGCCCAAGACTATAAATGGAACTGGATTTCCAAGGCAAAGTTCTGCAACCCGGGACACTGCTGGTTCTAGCACTACTGGTGGTGAACATTTATTATTAAAATCATACTATCATCATCCCTCTACTCATACCATGGTCTTCCCTCTTTTTTTGCTCAAAAAAGTAGCAGTTTTGTTCTAGGTTTCCAGATATGTCATTTTAGAAATTGACTAACTTTCCTGTAAAGCCGTTGTTTGCAACCTGCTGAGATTTTGCCCTACCTTCCACCACTCCCTGCAGGGACATTTGTCAATTTCTGGAGAAATTGTTGTTTGTCAAAACTATAGAGGTAGAGGGGAGGCTGGATGCAGTGGCTCATGCCTGTAATCCTAACACTTTAGGAGGCTAAGGCTTGGAGGATTACTTGAAGCCAGGAGTTCAATATCAGCCTGGGCAACAAAGTGAGACCCTGTCTCCACAAAAAATTAGCTGAGCACAGTGGTATGCACCTGTAGTCCCAGCTACTTGGAAGCCTGAAGCAGGAGGATTGCTTGAGCCTAGGAGTTTGTGGCTACAGTGTGCTATGATCACACTGCTGCACTGAAGCCTGGGCAACAGAGCAAGACTCTGTCTCTTAACAAAATAAAAAACAAACAAAAACCTGTGGAGGGCAGGGGACGCAGGTGTTACTGCCATCTAGTGTGTAGAGACCAGGGTGCAACTAAAAGATGTACAGGGCAGCCCCTGCCGCAAAGAATGACCTGGCCCAAAATGTCAAGGGAGCCAAAGTTGAGTAACTCCACTGTGAAGAATAAGACTTTATTTACCCATTCTTAACCTCGAAATCCAAACCTCCATCTCTTGTATATCTGTAATGTTGTTCTTTCCCCCTCGCCCCCAAGTTATTTAAAATCTTGTTTTTGATGTAGCTTAATATAAAGGTGATTATCTTTCATAGCATAGGAATTACATGGTGTATTGTTATTATTATATGTATTAATAACATGTATTATTGTTATTAAGAATTTACATTAGGCCAGGCTCAGTGGCTCACGCCTGTAATCCCAGCACTTTGGGAGGCAGAGGCGGGCAGATCACGAGGTCAGGAGTTCGAGACTAGCCTGGCCAACATGGTGAAACCCCGTCTCTACTAAAGATACAAAAAATTAGCTGGGCATGGTGGCATGTGCCTGTAATCCCAGCTATTTGGGAGGCTGGAGCAGGAGAATCGCTTGAACCCAGGAGGCGGAGGTTGCAGTGAGCCAAGATCAGGCCACTGCACTCCATCCAGCCTGGGCTACAGGGCGAGATTCCATCTCAAAACAAAACAAAAAGTAATAATAATTGACATTAATACTGCTCTAAACATGTTATATATAGATTAGAGTTTTCTGAAGAATAGTTTATATTGCTGGGTGGGTGAAGAAAAATAACATCAAAGCACAAATATTTTATTTCAAACCAATATTTTTAATGAAAATTTCCCTGTTTTCTGATTTTACATATGTTGAATGCCAATAAGAAATACATAAAGAACTCTGAGCATTTATATAGAGCTTTCGGTTTCTGTCTGTTTAATTTGATGCTCTGCTTATTCAGTTATACTAGATGTGTTTCTCAGAGTTATCCAGTCCATACGTATTTGAAGAGACAATTTGGTGTAGAATTGTTAGTGTCCAGGCTCTTCCAAGCAAGGTCTTCCAAAGGGATATCTCAAAAATATTCCTTAGAGTTGAAGTGGCAATGTTATATAGCCTAACAATTTTCATGCTATTAAAAGCTTATAATAGCGGATCATTAAAATGCGAGTTACAGATTTTATGAAACACTACACGTTTTTACAGAGATTTTTAAATCAGGTAATAATTAAAAAAAAAAAAGCATATGCTATAGCCCCAAACCAGCTCTTATGAGTAGCATTTATCAAGTTGGTAATGAACATTTACTGAAGGCTTTATTTTAAGAAATTAGTTTTAAACATAAAGACGGGCTCTAAGACATGATAAGGTAATTTCAATAAGATTATATCAAATCATACTTTAAGATGATTAAAAATATTACAGTACTACCCAAGTTACTAAAGAATAAGAATAGTGTAATGCACTCTTCACATTACTGTCTTTGTTAATTCTGTTTTTCTAACAGCAAATGAAAGAGCACAAATTTTGCTAAGTCAAGCATTCCATTTACAGTACAGTTCTTTTTAAAATGTGCTTGATAACAAAGTGTTAAATACCGAATATCTTACTTTTTTGTTATGAAGAAAGGAATGGTCAAGCATGAGATTTATGTAAGATCATTTGTACGCAAAAAGAAACTGCAATAGATGCTTGTTTCTCTCAACCCTTATGTATCAATAGTTTGGCAAAATTCCGTTGAAATTTCTTGTCATAAAATAAGTCAGTGGACTTACCACTTGAGAATAGATATTTGCTTGTATATATAATACTACCATTATTAATAGAGTTCAAGTATTCCAAATGTAGGGATTTTTGAATCTTATATTAAATGGACATTACCAATTACTAATTATTACATTCCAAAGTTCCCAAGCTGAACACTCATTCTGCTCAAAACACAACGAAATGTTGCAGGTTGCATTTCCCAGTATTTCACCGGGTTGTTGAATAAACTTATTGCACTGTATAAAGATTTCTTCATCTTTGGCACTGTTGGACAGAAGTCATTTACTCCCACTCTTGCAATTGAATTAGAATGAAGGAAGATTATCTGTTGTAGTAGGAAAAAAGAAAGGATTAAAAATACCCAGTAAATGTAAACGGAAGATACTCTGTAGTCGCCATTTGTTTGTGGGTTTATTCATCTGTTTATTTTACATTGGCTTGAATGTATTTTCAGGTAAAGTAGATGTACTCACTTATGCATGTTAAATACCTATTATAAAAACTCAAGCTCATGTGTTGTACACAAAAGTGTTGGGGAAGGACTCCCGCCAGGGCCCAGAGCATACTGCCTGGTCACATGGGTCGCTGTCTCTCTCTCTCTCCAGATAGATAGATAGATACATACATACGTACATACATACATATATACATAAATACATACATGCGTAATGTTTACTTTTATAAACATACATATTTTTAAATATACATATTTATGTGTATATATATGGTTACTTCAGTGCCATATTTACAATAATGCATTTAAAACATTAGAAATGATCAGAAGAATGAAATTTAATGCTCTAAGAATTAGGCTCACAATTTGATTGTGAAGAATTATTAGCTAGCATTTTCTGTGACCAAAGGAGAATTTTTCTAAGTTGTTTTGTAGAAAGATCTATCAACATCCTAAATGCAGAATTGTAATATAGCATCAATAATTGAAATCACTTGATCTTATGTACACCAGTGGACAAGTCACAATTTTACAGGCCGTGTACATGTCTTTTTAAATTAAATTCTTACTCAAAAAGTATGGTAAATAGAGGAACTTTCCCTCATTCCCTTTAACAGCCCTTCTAATTTCTTCTTTGGCCTTTTTTGGTAACAGTGAGATTTCTGGGAAATAAAAGCAATCTACTTAACTGACAGCATTTTTGTGTACTGAAGAGCAGAAGTCTTTTGCTGGCCAACGTGGGATATCCTCCCTGGCTGTTGTTACCTCTAGATTCTGCCTTTATGTCTTAGTAAGACTGATATGAGACCAATCATGAAAATTCTAGGCATTGCTAAAACATTTAAGTTTGGTGTTCAGTCCCCCAGCTGCTCAATATAAGTGCAAGGTATAGTTTACCATAGTACTGATCTCACTGGGAATGAAAACCTGCTGGACATCAGTGTGTTTACTTTGTGGACATTCATTGAAATATATGCTTATGACATGTGTTCTTCTGTTTGTGTTATAATTCTATTCATTTAATTAATGCTAGCAAGAGTATAGGTAGATTTAAGAGAGACCAGAAGCTGGAAGCAGAGTTGTGGAGCAAATTAAGCAGAAATGACATCAGGAATGGGGCAGCTTGAGAGAGGACGGACTCAAGTTGTAGTCACTGGCTAAACAGACATCCAAATGCAGCATTTGGAAAAGTCAAAGCAAAAGTTGTGATCTTGAGATTAGCACCTGCCTATATTACATTCATTTTGATGGTTTGTATCTCAAAGGAGTACAGTGAACGAAACTTGTTTAAAGATACACCGGAAAGAAAAAGAGAAGAGGCAGAGTGGCTTGTTGCCCAGTTTTGTTCTCAAGCTCCTTGGAAGATGAAAACTTTTGTTCTTGGGAAGATCTAAATCTTTATTAGATTCTCCAAGGAATCTGTGGCCCCTTCCAGCCAGTTAAGAGTTGTCAAATAGAAGGAAAAGATTTCTAATAATGAATAAAAACAAACAACAAAATGGGAACTCATGATGCTCCAGATGGTGACTTTAAATTGGTTATATACTGTATTCTGGTTGGAATGTTTAAAAAAAAATATACATGTCTATCCTAGCACCACACTGAAAGCGAAAATACCAGGAGCCTAATCCTCTTGCTCTGCCTTGAGAAATGTTTCCAGATCAAAAGGACACGTGACACTGCTCCATGTCCTCCTGACCAGTCCTGCCTCTGCGTAGCCACCCCTGCCCTAAAATCTGAAATTAACTGTGCCAGCGGCTTTGCCGCAATGTCCTCAGCAGTTTCAACAGGAGAAACCAAAAGATGGAAATGGATCCTGAGCTTTCTTGTGACGTCGATGTAGAAACCATTCTCCTAAAGCTCTCCTACTTCTTAAAACACCTCATGCAACCTGGAGAGTCATTATGTTTGAATCACCCTTGCTGCTTACTTGGTCTTTGCTTGAGGTGTGCTAAAGTGTGTTATAAAAACTGAAGAAAAATACCAATATCTACTGAACACAAGTAGAATGTTTTACCTGGAGGTATTTCAACTCTGGTAATCCTGAAGGGATTTTTTTTAGTTTATTGTTTTCCAAATGTATTTCTCTCACACGTGGTATGTTAGCAAGACTCCCATTTTCGATATCTGTGATTTTGTTGTTTCCTAGGCCCAGCCTAAAAATGATATAAAATGCATCAAGTCTTACACAGATGGTTAGGTGTGATAGAGTTAGCTGAAAACACCGCAAACTAGTTAGAATATAAGCCTGTCCTATTTATATATATGTTCAAAGATATTTCATTACTTTATTTAATAACCTACTTCAGTATGTAACAACTATCTTCCAGTTTTGTCAGAAAATTCTTTGACCTAAATTTAACAAAAGGGAAATTTGAAAAGTCATTTTCTTCTTTTCACTTGATTCGCCCCTATCAGCAGAGGTGGTAATAACGGTGGTTCTTTTTTTTTTTTTTTTTTTTTTTAAGATGGAGTCTCGCTCTGTTGCCCATGCCCAGGCTGGAGTGCAGTGGCACAGTCTTGGCTCACTGCAACCTCAGCCTCCCGAGTAGCTGGGATTACAGGCGCCCTCCACCATGCCTGGCTAATTTTCGTATTTTTTAGTAGAGATGGGGTTTTACCATGTTAGCCAGACTGGTCTCGAACTCCTGACCTCGGGATCTGCCCGCCTTGGCCTCCCAAAGTGCTGGGATTACAGGCGTGAGCCACCACACCCGGCCAATTGTGGTTCTTTCTAGTTTTCCCTTCACACTCTCCAGTTCCAACAGCAACTGGCTAAACAGACAGTGATCTCTACCAGGGTCCCTGTGCACATTCTCCAGGAGGTATCATTCTAAGTTAAAATTTTGGGAACGTTTACCTTTGTAGTTCTTTGTATCGTTTAAAATCCTCAAGTTCCACTGTTGAAATTTTATTATAATCTAAGTGAAGCTCCAATAAAGTTGGTGGTAAGCCTAATAAGAAGAGAAATATATATGTTAAGTCAAGTATCACTAAGCCCAATTGACTATTTGTTTACTTTTCAAGTTTCAGATTATGGATTTAGGCAACTTTTTAGGCACTAACTCTTTTTTTTCTTTGAGACAGAGTTTCACTCTTGTTGCCCAGACTGGAGTGCAGTGCCGTGATATCAGCTTACTGCAACCTCCATCTCCTGGGTTCAAGCAGTTCTTCGGCCTCAGCCTCCTGAGTAGCTGAGATAACAGGTATGCACCACCATACCTGGCTAATTTTTTGTACTTTTTAGTAGAGATGGGGTTTCACCATGTTGGCCAGGTTGGTTTCAAACTTCTGACCTCAGGTGATCCACCCCCCTCGGCCTCCTAAAGTGCTGAGATTACAGGCGTGAGCCACCACACCCAGCCTGGTACCTACTTTTTATTAACTTCTTATTATGGTAAAATTGTAACCATTCATAAAATAGTAACTAGTATTATGAACCACCATGCTCAGCTTCAACAGTTATCTCCATTTTTCCTATCTTGTTTTATCTACTCTTAATTATTTATTGATCTGTTTATCTATTTTTATTTTGCCATATTTCTTTTGCTGGAGTATTTAAAGTCAAATCTTATACATAATGTCATTTCTTCTATAAATTCTTCAATTAGATGTCTCTAACTGATAAGGTCATCTTGTTTTTTGTTTTTTGTTTTTTAACATAACCACCCTGTTAATATCACATCTAACAAGATTAATACATTCTTTACTGTCATCTAATATAGTAAAGTTTCCCCACTTGTCTCAAATACGTCATTTTACAGTTGATTTGTTCAAGTTAGGATTAAATGAAGTTTACAGAATACATTTGGTTCTTATCGCTCTTGAAATCTCTCTTAATGTACAACATACTCCCTCCTTTTTTCTCCCTCTTCTTTTGATTTATTTCCATATTAATTTGTTTGAGACACTCCTTTTGTGGATTTGGCTGACAGCTTCCATGTGATATCATTTATCAGGATCCTTTAACTTCTTCCTATGCCCTGGTAGTCAGATGCAGAGAGACATTCAGATAAAAGCAAATCAGCCTTTCACCTGAGGGTCTTAGCATTCATGCACGATTGTTGCCTAGATCCATTCTGTCATTAGGAATTGGAAAATGGTGACTTCCTGATGTCATTCTTGATGGATTTATTAGCTGGAATTCTTCTCTAAAGAATTTTCTTTCATTAATTATTTAGTTACTTTGTAAGATTGTTTTTATAGAAAAGGCAGCAAAACTTGATTCATTCAAGTAATGAATTCATGCAATGCCCAGAGGTGACCAGTTAAGGTTTTTTGTGTTTTTTTTAAAACACCATTATAAACACGGATTTTTACCCTATTTGATATGTTCAGGTCATTGCAGTATTTATTCTTTCTTTTCTTTTCTTTTCTTTTTTGTGGCAGGGTCTCACTCTGTCACCCAGGCTGGAGTGTAGTAGCGCAGTCTTGGCTCACTGCAGCCTCCGCCTCCCAGGTTCAACTGATTCTCTTGCCTCAGCCTCCCAAGTAGCTGGGACTACAGGTGTGCACCACCATGCCCAGCTAATTTTTGCATTTTTGATAGACATGGGGTTTTACCATATTGGCCAGACTGGTCTTGAACTCCTGACCTCAAGCGATCCGCCTACCTTGGCCTCCCAAAATGCTGGGATTACAGGCATGAGCCACTGTGCCTGGCTCTATTCTTTCAATTAGCAGTAGTTTTTGTGTAAGCTAAGTGTATCTGTAGTACCCCCGCACATGGCAGGTGCCCAGTGAATAATCGTTCTTTCTCTTCTCAACGGGGCATATCCTGACCCCCACTCTCCCCAAATGAACTGAAGCTGGAATGAAAGGGACTGACCAGAAGATTCCATCAAACCTCATTTTGTTAGCCCTATATACAAAGTATTATTTGTCAACCCAAGTATCTGGTTAGCTAGCTGGAAAATGCTCTCCTTTTTTCAAGTCTTGATGAAATATTTCCCTTCTATATTAGCAATAAAGACGGATGAAGATAATTGAAACATCTTTATGAATAGCAATAATAGTTTCCATGACTGAATTTATTTTGATAACAGAATCTATTTTGAATTTTAAAATAAATAAACTAGGGAGCAGAAAAATAATTCTTCTAAACTGAGAAGGTTCTAATTTCTTGAATTTTGATTAATTGAGCTTAATTGTATTTATGGAATGATTATGTGGACCCTCCAGTATGTAAGGTAAAGGTTCTGTCCTCAAAGACATTATTTGCTAATTTAGAGCAGATCCATCATACATACAAAAATCACTAGAAAAATAGCTGGTGCAACGTGCCAGCGAATCTAGAATAGGTTGTACAAAGTTGGAAGAGAATAATCTCTGGGAGAGGACTTGTAGAAGTTGAGGGAACTGTTGTGTCCCTTAGGAAATGGGGAAGGTGGGTAACCAGAGAGAAGATTGAAGTGTAGCCTCTAGGATAAAACGAGCAGAGGTGTGAATTTGGCAGAAGCTCAGTAACTGCTGACAAATGTTAGCACACTTTTGTACCGGAATTTCTGTTCCCACCCTGTCTTCAAACAGGTCTCCCCTCTTCCCCACATAATATTATGCAGTAGAACTTCCTGAACGAATAGGAAAGAAGACATTTTCATCCTGTCCACATGATAACTTGTTGGGTCTGGTAAGGACCCTCAGGATACCTGCATCCTTTCATCTTGCCACAGGGGGTAATACTGACTGGATTATGCCATGCAGGCAGTCAGCTTTCACAGGTTAGTGAATTCTGAATGTCAAGGGGATTTGAAGGAATAGTTATTTAAGTTGAGAGATTTGATTCCAATTTAAATTTCTAAAGATTCCTTTTGGCTTTGAAAGAATCTTGAAAACTCATGAGAAGTTAAACCTTTACTTTTAAGATACACTTTGAAATTTAAATAGAATTTTGCAGTGTAGGAAAGACTTTTGGTGTGAACATAAAGAATGGCCATGTCAGGAGATGTGGCCTGGAACAGCAGCTCCCTCCTCCAGCCCTGTAGGCTGTCCTCCTCTCCTCCCTCTACCTTCCTCTTTTCCTTGTCTTCACTCTCCTTTACTGGATGTTATCTTCCAGCAGATGAAAGGGATTTTATATGTTTAACTTATTGGGTAGCATTTGCATTTTTTGTTGTTTTTCTAAAATGGGAAGGTAAATGTAACATTTTTGGTTTCTTGTAGAAAAACATCCACCTCCTTTAAAGCTACACTGAGGTGTTTTTTTGGATTTGTATAGTTCTGAATTAAACTGTTGTTTTCCTGGATAGAAAAGTTATTTTTCCTCTTTTACTTTAGATGATCTTTAGGTGACCTAAGTGAAAGGTCACCTCTTGATTAATAATAACAGCTTTACTGTGTCTTTTAAATTATCTGTATATGTTTGTTTTATTGATCTTCTGGATCAGGTGAGTAGATTAGAGGGGGTCGTGATGAAGTTGCTGCTTTAACTCATGGATACTGAAAGACGGAGCTGTTGGAAAGTAAAAATATGTTGTTAATCATAGGGGTTATTTTTGGCCCAGTTAGTCATCAAAGCAAAGAGAGCATGTGCCCTTGTTGGGAATAAGGAAAGCAAGACTTTGAGCAAGAGTTCCAAGAAAGGCAATCCTATGCAGCTAATCATCAGACAGGGAGCTTGGAAGTAATGGGTTAGAACACTGGTCATCTGGCAGACTTAAGGAGCATTCTACTTGAGGTGCTAGCCTTGGGTCACACAAAGCCATGATAAAGAGCACAGTGCTCATCTTGGTAATGATTATGTCACAGGTGGTCACTTCCTACGTGCTGGATGTTGTCCTCAGACCTTTCTGTGTATTGGCCCATTAGTCTTCACAGTACACCTGGGAAGAAGCTGGGTACAAAATGCCTTGCCTTGAATGGCATGTCCATTCCTGCCAGAGCCAGGGGCTGCCCAGTCTGGGCTCATAGGCTTCACCTCAAACTGTGGCTAAATGCCTGGGGACAGGGTCTCTTGCCCCATCTATCTTTCTCTGCTTTCTTCTGTATAGAATTCTCTACCTCTAACAGGTACTGCACAGAATGACAGGTATAAATGAGTAAATGTCAGGAAAGAGAAGGAAAACTAAAAGTTCATTGCTTCTTAATGTTTATTCTTAGTGGAGTAAAAAAAATTGTGGCTTAATTCTGTCAGGAAAAAGGCACTACATATGGCATTTTATGTGTGTGTAGACTATATTGACCAGATTTACTGGTGCAAAGATTTCTAGTTGCAGTGTATACTGCACAGTTTACAATATTAGATTGAATCGTTATTGAAAGGTGACAACTTTAAAATACCATATCTTAGATAAAGTAAATACAAACCTTTAGGAACTGAGGTCAGTTTTGCTTCTGCAATTCTGATATGGAACACCGTCACCCCTTCAAATGCCCCTGGCTCTATCCCATTATTATCAAGAGGGTTTGCACTCATTTCTGTCAGGGGAGAATGACATGACTTAGCACACATAGGTTGTATATAAAGGAAACTCACAGTGCAGAGAGACACATCCCAAGAATGAATATCCCAAGAAGCGTGAGCTTCATCCTTTAGGCTCATTTTCACTCGGTATATCTGCTTCTGTCTATCTACTGTCCTTTCTGTCAGCATCAGAAAAATACGGCTTTGTATTATGTAAACTGGAATATATGAGAAGTTCACTATTTTTCACTTTGA